>NC_000010.11:34269953-34574235 GCF_000001405.40 Homo sapiens | reverse complement strand
TTTTTAACCCATAAGTCCAGTGTCCCCTTTTTATAATCAATATTTTGTAAATCTTTTGGTATCCTACAATAAAATTCTTAGAAAATATAACCTAACTGAAAATACAAATAAATGAATAATAAGTAAATAGAAAAAAGAAAGTACCTGAATTCTTATAGAATATACTATATTAATTTATAATATTAACATTATAGGATGTATTGTATTATAGGCTAATTTGCTCTCAAAAGATAAATACAAAGGGCATAACTTATAATAAAAATATCAATCCAATATATAAATGCTCAAGCATGACTAAACTGGAAACAAATGCCTTCACAATGTCAAAACACCTCCCACTGGGTGGCAGAGCTCCTCTTGACAAACTCTTGGTTGAATACTTCACAGTGGCATTGTATGAAGAGTGTGTGCATGAAGCAAGTATAGTTCGGTACTTGGAGGCTGATTCTCTGTGTGTGTGTGTGTGTGTGTGTGTGTGTGTGTGTGTGTGTGTGTGTGTTTTTGTTTGTTTGTTTGTTTGTTTGTTTTTGAGACGGAGTCTCGTTCTCTCACCCAGGCTGGAGTGCAGTGGCATGATCTCGGCTTACTGCAACCTCTGCCTCCCAGGTTCAAGCAATTCTTCTGCCTCAGCCTCCTTAGTAGTTGGTACTACAGGTGCCTGCCGCCAGGCCTGGTTAATTTTATTTTTTGTCTTTTGGTAGAGATGGTGTTTTACCATGTTGCCCAGGCTGATCTTGAACTGCTGAGCTCAGGCAATCCACCCACCTTGGCCTCCCAAAGTGCTAGGATTACAGGCATGAGCCACTGCACCTGCTCGATTCTGTGTATTCTTACTTAGCGAAGACTGTAATACATTCTTGAAATTCTTACCTATTTTTAAGAGACAGGGTCTTACTCTGTTGCCTAGGCTGGAGTGCAGTGGTGTGATCATGGTTCACTACAGCCTCAACCTCCTGGGCTCAGGTGATCCTCCAACCTCAGCCTCTTGAGTAGCTGGGACTACAGACATGTGCCATCACACCTGGCTAATTTTTGAACTTTTTTGTAGAGATGGGGCCTCTCGCTATGTTGCCCAGGCTGATCTTGAACTCCTGGCCTCAAGGGATCCTCCCACTTTGGCCTCCCAAAGTGCTGGCATTACAGATGTGAGCCATCACCTGACTTATCCTTGAAATTCTTGATATTAAGTACAGATGCTATTTTAAATCTTCAAAATTTGGAGTATCTGTGTATGCAGTGTCCCCTAGAAAATATGTAAGGTAGACAACGTTGAGACCTTTTTAGGATACAAATAGAAAATAAGATATTATTTAAAAAATTCTGCCACCGAAATGGATTTTATGTTAAAATTCATTATTAGGTTTCACAATTGCATTATCACTTTTAATACCACAGCTAGTTGTTATGTTTTATCTATAGCTTTAGAAAGAAAAAAAAAATCAGGCCATATGGCCTGCGTAAGAGATGACAGATGAAGAGCAACAAAACCCCCGTTAGTTTTGATGCTGATCAGTCAAAAATTAACTTAGTCACTACTTAATGGTTCATCTGAGCTCAGTGTGCTTTTTCCTCTTTAAGTTTTTTTTTTTTTTTTTGAGACAGAGTCTTGCTCTGTCACCCCGGCTGGAGTGCAGTGATATGATCTCGGCTTACCGCAACTGCTGCCTCCCAGGTTCAAGCAATTCTCCTCCCTCTCAGCCTCCTGAGTAGCTGGGACTGCAGGCGCACCCACCACACCTGGCTAATTTTTGTATTTTTGGTAGAGACAGGGTTTTACCATGTTGGCCAGGCTGGTCTTAAACTCCTGACCTCAGAGTGATCCGCTTGCCTCGGCCTCCCAGAGTGCTGGGATTACAGGTGTGAGCCATCGTGTCTGCACCTCTTTAGGTTTTAATGAGACAGGGTCTCACTGTGTTGCCCATACTGGTCTCAAACTCCTAAGCTGAAGTGATCCCCCCATGTCAGCCTCCTAAAGTGCTGGGATTTCAGGTGTGAGCCACTTCCCCAGCCTCATTGTGCTTTTTTCAAGTCACAATCTTGGAATAATTTCTGTCTTGGTTAGTTTTGTTAGTGAGACAAATCTTTTTCTTCCTTATAGCATCAGTAATATTTTCAAGATACAAAAGAATTTGTAGAAGGTATTTAGAGTTAATAGTTGCTTGATCTAGTAATTCATAGTTCCAAATGTTCATATTTATGACAATTTGAAAAATGTCTTTTTTTGTAGAAATTCTAGTTGCTTGGGTAACGCAAAGGCAAATAATTTCTTACCAGATAGAGCATAATAATATTTGTATTCTCCCACTAAATCTAGAGTCCAACATTATTTTTGCTTGTTAGGTAACTTTTTTCAAAAAACAAATGGTTTTGTTTATCTGGATAGCTAACCTTGTGAAAGCGGTGCAACATCAAATTGGTACAGATATTAATACCTGCATTTAAATAAAAGAGTAATTTCACAACTCAGTGTTCCCAAAACTTGACTTGTTGGTTCAACCTTACTAGGTATATTAGCATTCTTAATTGAATCAGTCATTGCATTCTTCAACAAAAGTTTCCATTCCATCTGTTCTTTGGTTTATAATTCTTTGGTGTGTCGTTTGCTTTATTTCCCAAATATATAAGATTTTTTACATTTAGAATTATTGCTAGTTTTGCTACACCATGCTGAAGAGGAAGCCTTGTGACTTTATGTTTTATAGTATCTGATTTGCAATGGTTAATCCTCCTCACAGGATTGTAAAGCCCAAATGAGTGATATATGTAACAGACATAGAACAATGCATGTCAATGTTAGCTGCTCTTATCATCATCATCCTTTTACTATCATCAGCAGCATAAGAAGAAGTTTATTCTAAATATAAAATCTTTGCCAAAATTTTATCAATTAAGATACTTTTTTTGTTTTGTCTTGTTGTTTTTAAGACGGGGTCTTCCTCTGTCACCTAGGCTGGAGTGCAGTGAGGTGATCATAGCTCCCCACAGTTGTGACTTCCTGGGCTCAAGTAATCCTCCAGCCTCAGCCTCCTGAGTAGCTAAGACTACAGGTGTGTGCACTACTACCCCCAGCTAATTTTTACAATTTTTTGTAGAGATAGGGTCTTGCTATGTTGCCCAGGCTGGCCTTGCACTCCTGGCCTCAAGCAATCCTTCCCTCCTCAGCCTCCCAAAGTTGGGATTCCAGGCATGAGTTACTACGCCCAGTCGAAACATTTCTGTAGATAGGACCATAGGTGCTTGATATGTGTAGTTCTGCCCCTTCCACATGTTGTTGCAGGAGAGTAGTTTTATATGCCTGATGATCAGAACACTTGACACTTACAAGAATGTGGTCTAGGGACACCTGGGATCCTCAGGACCCTTTTAGGATTTACTGAGGTCACAAGTATTTTCATAATAATGCTGTCATTTATCTTTTAACTCCTGTTCCCTCCTGAGTGTACAGTGCATTTTCCTTGTAGCTGCTTCATGTGCTGGGGTGTCATCTGTCTGACAGTGTGTTTGTGACAATATGTGCTTTTCTATTGTTTTTCTAAAATTTTATTTTTCGGTTTCTGATATGTAGTATTCATGGATTTCACCCACATGAACAAAAGCTCTCTGGAGTTCTCCGTGATTTTTAAGAGCACCCAGATTCCCAAGGCATCGAAACTTTAGTCTAAATTGGAGGGGACCAGGCCACAGCTCCTAAGTCCCACTTGGCAGTTTGAATTTGGCAACTCAGTTGGCTCACTGCAGCATTAGGGTAAAAAATTTTGAAAAGTCTATTCTGTGTTATCTTTCATGGAATCCCAGAATTGAACATTTTAATATCCAAAGGGGAGTGGCAATTTTAACTTCATCTAGTAAGAATATATTAGTGTGCCTCTCACAATTTGGAACTCAATAATTAACTATTAGAATTCTCAATGGAAACAAAAACAGTCTATACATCTTGATTTTTCCTGAAAAGTCCTTGGTACCCCAACCTTCAGAAGTAAGAAGACACACATTGCCAAGCACAGTTGGAAAACCACAGAGTTTGCTGTATCGCATTGAAAAAATAACTCCAACAATGGGTAGAAATTGAAATATATGTATTTGAGTATTTTGGCCAGAACTGGGAGAGTAAGCAACTTTTATAATTCAAAACTAAAACTTCTTTACTTATTATAGGATTAGATAGATGTACTATGTTAAGTTTTCTATTTTGAGAAAATTTTGTCTGAGCCTAATATTTGTCTCTGTTTGAGGGAAATAAAAAAGTCTTACGATAACATTGGAATCACCTATTCTTTATATACAGCTTTTAATAACAAAATGAGAAATATTTATAATGTAATCTGTTTTTTTTTTTTTTGCTTGAGTAGGAAGAAAAATCTTGCATAACTAATGGTCATTTAATCTTCATTCTTTAATCTTCATTGTGAATGACTTTAGCGTTTTTTTCCTGAGGTTAGATTTTTTCAAAAATAAGTTTTGATATCCTTTAGTCATGCTGACTTATGTCCACTTTTTAATAAAATTAGTCACTAGTAGGTGCCGGGCACGGTGGCTCACGCCTGTAATCCCAGCACTTTGGCAGGCGGAGGCGGGCGGATCACGAGATCAGGAGATGGAGATCATCCTGGCTAACACGGTGAAACCCCGTCTCTACTAAAAATACAAAAAATTAGCTGGGTGTGATGGCGGGCACCTGTAGTCCCAGCTGCTCGGGAGGCTGAGGCAGGAGAATGGCATGAACCCGGGAGGCAGAGCTTGCAGTGAGCCGAGATCATGCCACTGCACTCTAGCCTGGGCAACAGAGCAAGACTCTGTCTCCAAAAAAATATATATATATAGTCACGTGTAACACAGTGTTATATTTAAGCATTGCAAATTTACTTTGTGAATAATTTCTCCCTCATAATTTAAAAATATTTAAAAATCAAACCCAAATTAAATATCCACTGTAAATTATCCTATAGTAAATGTCCTGTGGTAACATGAACATTTCCTCCCCAAACCCTCATTATTCTGTTGAATGATTTTGCGTTTCTCTACAATTTCCACATGTTGATGTTTGAACCTTAATGCAATACAATTTTTCTCATGTTGTATTTGGCTAATGTTGTCTGCTGTCTGCTTACTCAGGAGAGTGCCACAGTGATTTGCTTCTGAAGGAAAATAAAGTTATTTCTTAGATTTGTAAAATACAGTTCATCTGGCATTAAATATTTTTTAATACTTTTACTTAGCATGAACAGGACTTTGGAAAATTTGATGAGTTTAGATTTGAATATCAATAACCTTAGTGAGTGTTTATTTTTAGATGGTTTTGTTAACATTTTTATTTGGAGATAATAATATATACTGAAAATGTAATTAAGTCTCTACCAGTTGAAGTGTTTCATATTCAGTATTATTAGAAAAGTGAAGAGTAGGAATTGAGCAATTAACATTTGAGTGCATCTTTTTTACAATTGAGGAAATTGAAGTTCAGAGAGGTTAATTTGCCCTGAAGTCAAACAGCCAGCAAGTTCTGGAGCAGGACTTTAGCTCTTCTTTAACTGCAGCATCTCTGTTCTTTAGCTTGGAAATCGCTGCGTCTGAGAACAGGGGAGGTCACGCCACATGGTCTGCCACCCCACAGCTGCAAGAGTGTGTAAATCATTATTCTTAAGACTCAGAATTTTGTTTCTTATGAAAATGAATATAATCTCTGTAGTCTTTGTAAAAATTAAACCCCTATGATTTTTATATCTTATTTCTATAAATTCCATGAAATAAAATTTGTAGCGGTTTTTTGGTAAAATTGTCAAAGAGACCAGTTTTCTTTCTTGTTGTCTAGAAACTTTCAAAACGAGCAAGATTTTGATTCAAAACAGAAGTATTTAAAATCCTAATGAATTAAGTCCTCTTAAAGGATATCTCATTTGCCAATAATGGAAACATCACCGTATGACTTGTTGAATATAAACCTGTGATCATTATGGTGGCAAACTTCAACCACACTTGTAGTACTAACTTTAGCAGGGTAAATTTCGATTTACCTTTATGGTCAGTGATATTCCAGCAGCATAAAATGCAATTTTTGGAAGGCTGTTCCTAAAACTCATTCCCTTTTCACTAAGAACTGTGGATAACAGACTCAAATGTGGTTCAGGGTGGTTGCAGATGGACACTGGGAGGCAGAGGTGAGAGAGCAGAATATTCGATTACCCCACAGGAAGAAAGCTGCCTAGTGAATGGAAGACAGTTGGTTTTGTTCCTTAACCTGCCCATGAGCAGTCATTATCCCATTGACAAAACTAGATTCTCTTTTGTTGGATATAGGATACAAGGACACGTTCCTCGTAGTGAACTAATCATGCTTGCTAGCTAGAGCCTACAACAATTACATCTCACGATTCTGAGGACAGATGGCTGGAGGATAATTTTGAAATTGTTCATGTCACATCTATTGTGCAAAGCTTCTTGGTACAATATTGATAGCTTCACGTCCAGCTGTAGCTGCTGGTTTCAGATCTTCCTATTTTTATCTTATTGTTTAAATGAATAATGTCATTACTACTTTAAAAGCCACTGAAAAATTTAAATTAGATTAAATTGTCAAAGTGCATAACTGATGTTTGTATCTCTCTGTCCTTGTGTTAATTAAGGATTTGTAGGAAGTGCTGTGGATGAATTTAACCCGTGAGTGGTTGTAAATCTGACTAGACTACTTGTTTGATGCTAAGTCAAACCTGTGTAAAAAGAAAATGCCGCCAAAGGACTCAACTTTTCTTAAGGTTTAAAACTATTTCAGAAATGACTTGGCGGTTTAAATGTTTATAATATTGGTAATCACAGTATGTTAAGCACACATGCATATGTATATATTTTAATATTTTAATGTAAAATAGTCTCGTTAGTCTCCATTCTTTACCATTATTTTTGAAGTGAACATTTATTTTGACATTGTTTTTAAAAAATTGTATAGTGGATTAGCATTTATTTTTAGAACACATGCAGAATCAGTCCATCGCATAATACAAATATAAATGTTGATATCAGTACTTTGTTCAGTATCATTTTCTCTATTGCACATCACCTAGCAATCCTCCTTTTAGGAATGGTTGGCTCAACAAGATCTCATTAACCTTGTGTTTTCTTTGAGTGGTGCACTATACTAACAGCTATAAAGTGCATTTCCTGTTATTTGTTTCCTATGTGGCAGTCTTTCTTAACTTGTCAATACTTTATTTCCAAGTCTTTATAGAGGAAGTGACTATAGTCAAAGAAGTTAAATGTTATCTTAAAATACACTTAAAAAAATCCTGGAAGTACCTGAACCATTTTAGAAATATTCTTGTCATTTTTACTCTTTAAAATAGTACATTCAAAAAAAGAGTGTTAATAATAACACTTAAAGATATATTCTTATCTTTAAGCAATATTGGCTTCAACAGCAGTCACATCAGTGTCTTGTGCTTTATTTGGCCTGATGTGGGAATGGATGGTGCCAATTGTAAAAAAAACTTTGGTTAATTTATTTAGTCAGTATCTAGATAGAACTCTATAAGACTATGATGGGGCTTTTGTGTAATATTTTCTATTGTAAAAGCAAAAGAACACATTTCTTGTGCATTTAGGTAAGAGAAAAAACTCACATATTTAAAACCTGCTTTTTTGCGGGAGGGTGGAGATAATACACAGGTAAATTTTTATTTTGGTTTGTTTTGCACCACCTTCTTTCCATTTTTGGTCAGCTGTTCAGGCTGCATTTCCGGGATAATGTATTTACCATGCATTTTAGTCATTGTACCTCTCAGCCTCCAGCTGGCCTTCCCCCAGGGTATCTTTGCACTTGCAGGTCAGAAAAGACCAAGTTATGAATGTGATCTCATTTTCAAGGGTTTTAATCTGTTTTTGGAATTAGTCAAAATCTGTGTTTTGCTGTAAGATTAAGCTTGTGAAAGGCTGCAAGGCTTTCCTCTTTGCAGATGCTTTGAATGACTTGTATAGAAATGTCCCACAGAGGTGCTTCCTGTTGTTTTCACATCCCTTTCAGGAATACACAAGCCCCCCTGTTTGTCCATCTCTGAGAAAGACAAAATAGCTCAATACTTCTTGCAAAATAGAAAATGTCATTTGTTGGTTGTGGTGGTAACAGGGCCGGACATTATTCCTCATTCCCATCCCAAAACATTGTTGACTCAGCTCCAGACCTCATGTAGTAAGAACAGCCGTCCTCCTGTGTTATCACTGGGGTGGCTCCAGGATCGATGGAATGTATTGAGTTGGATCATCAGTGCCAGTTCACTGGACTGTATTTAATCATTGAAAAATGAAGATGTGTATTTTCCTTTTGACACAATGGAAAATCAGTTGAATCACGACTTTTTGTTCCTTGAATTTGAAAAATGGAACAAATTATGAAAAGCCAATTATCACCATCATTTGAATTCCACATTTTTTGAAGCTTTCCTCCCCTCAAAAATAACCTGGTGATCTGATTAGTGTTGTCAATTTCCACAGGATCTTAAGGGAAGGGGCCACTGTCTTTCCACATCTGAAAAGTGAATGCCATAAAGATAAAACAGCTTATCAAGCCATGGTGTGAGGCACACTGTGCATCAAAATCACTTCTTAAAAACGAGGATTTTAAGAACCAGGAACACAAAGTTGTTAAAGAGCAAGTTATTTACAGAGTTAAGATAAAAGTGTCCCGGCTGGGTACGGTGGCTCACATCTCTAATCCCAGCACTTGGGAGGCCGAGGCGGGCGGATCACTTGAGGTCAGGAGTTCGAGACCAGTATGGCCAACATGGTGAAACCCTGTCTCTACTAAAAATACAAAGGTAGCTGGTTGTGGTATCTCACGCCTGTAATCCCAGCTACTCGAGAGGCCAAGGCAAGAGAATCGCTTGAACCCAGGAGGCAGAGGCTGCAGTGAGCTGAGATTGCGCCACCGCACTCCAGCCTGGGTGACAGAGCGAGACTGTCTCAAAAAAAAAAAAAAAAAAAAAAAAAAAGCCTTGCTCCTTTGTCTTTTATCTGACCATCTGGTCTTCTGTAGTGACCAGACGAAGAACTGTCTTAATATAATTAAACTAGCTTTCATGATGAAGTATACTTGGCTACTAGATGATCTTAGATTTCTGGCCAGCAATTAATATCACTGATGGTCTAAAGTTATTTTAATGTTATTCATTTTATAGACAGTATTGCTCAGCATAGTGAGTATGGGCTTGAGAGCCAATCTGCCTGATCTTGGCTCCAGAAGTTAATTAGTTCTGTGCACTTGGGCAAGTTTCTTGGCTTTTCTGGGCCTCAGTTTACCCATCTCTAAAATGAAGATAAGAGATGTACCTACATTGTAAAGTTGTTATAAGAATTAAATGAGTTGCATGAACATTGGAGATGTGTTGATTATTGTATTTCATACATACATTAAAATTATATTAATGGCTTGCAATTGTAGACAGATCATCAAATGTGGTTACTATTTTCACAAAACAAGAACATCCTAAGTGTCTACTCATTCAACTTGTATGCAAGTAACAGAAAATCCATCCGAAAGAGATTTAAACAATAAAGGATCTGTATGTTGCATAATCACAAAATAGGTTGACTGTGAATTAACTGCATAATGCAGTAATGTTAGCAAGGACCCAACTCTTTCTCTTTCCTCTCTGCCTCTTCGCTAGCTCTTTTCCGAATCACAGAGGCTACAGCAGCTCCATCACACACATTCCAGCTACCTGAGCTGGAAACCTACCCTCAAAACCCTCCGAAGATTGCTGATGACTTGTGAGCAAGACCTGTGTCTTTTGCCTTTTTCTAAGCAAATCCTGAAATGGAATGAAATTTACTGTGAGTTACCTGGTCAACCAGAGAAAAGTAGATCCCTGATAAAATCAGGGTTCTGTTAGTGAAGAAGGAAGGTTGGATGGATAGTGAGTTAGCCAGCCTTGTCTTGTTGCATCATATACTTTTTTATATAAACAATATTCATGTATAAATTAAAAGGCTAACATTGGATGACACACTACTTCTCTGTCAGGAGATGGTTAATTGATATTTTATGAGACATAAATTTTATATGCACATGTAACATTTTTACTTCTCATAAAAAATGCTTTGGGGTTGAAATTAACTTCATTTCATGCATAGAGAAGGTCAGTATTCGAAGGTGCTAGAACAAGTAACTGCTAGCAGGTATGTGATCCTCCAAAGGTTTATGCTTTTCCCATTATGACATGTAAGTTTTTATTTGCATTAAGTGTCAGGATATTAGATGTACCATTAATCTTATTTTATCATCAACACTGATTTACCTTAGTTATTTTTGAAAACAGGTATGAATTTTATCTATGAAAAGATTATATATACAAGACACGGTGTTTTATATTGTCATACTAGCAAAATTTTTTCTAATGAATTAGCTCTTTTTAAATATACATGGATTCGGTGTGGTATCTCACACCTGTAATCCCAACACTTTGGGAGGCCAAGGCGGGCGGATCACGAGGTCAAGAGATCGAGACCATCCTGGCCAATATGGTGAAACCTCATCTCTACTAAAAATACGAAAATTAGCTGGACTTGGTGGCACATGCCTGTAATCCCAGCTGCTCAGGAGGCTAAGGCAGAAGAATCACTTGAACCCAGGAGACAGAGGTTGCACTGAGCCAATATCATACCATTGCACTCCATCCTGGGTGACATAGCAAGACTCCATCTCAAAAAAAAAAAAAAAATTAGCAGGCGTGGTGGCGTGCACCTATATTCACAGCTACTTGGGAGGCTGAGGCAGGAGAATCGCTTGAACCCGGGAGGTGGAGGTTGCAGTGAGCCGAGATCGTGCCACTGCAGTCCAGCCTGGTGAGAGTGCGAGACTCTGTCTTAAAACAAATAAACAGACAAACATGGGATATAGGATTCATGAAATGTTTCATTAGCTCTTATGCAGTGATATGTACATACTTCTTTTCAGCCTGTGACTTCAACCTTATTTTCAGGCTTTTAGATAATCAAAAAAAGTATTCATTTTTGCCCACATTCAAAATATTACATTTATAATCCGAGTAACTGAAAGAATGATGATACAAAATATGGTTGTATGTAGAAGAATGAATGATTGTAGTGTTATGGTTAGTATAGAGTTAACTGATATTCATGGAATTAGAAAAATGGATTTGTTTTTTAAAATCAATAAATAAGGTCAGGTGGGGTGGCTTATGCTTGTAATCCCAGCACTTTGGGAGATCAAGGTTGAAGAATTGCTTAAAGGCGGGAGTTTGAGACCAGTCTAGGCAACAAAGGTAGACACCTGTCACTACAAAATATAAAAATTAGCCAGGCGTGGTGACACATGCCTGTAGTCCCAGCTACTTGGGAGGCTGTTGTGGGAATATGGTTTGAGGCCACGAGTTTGAGGCTGCAGTGATCTGTACTGCATCTGTGATGGAGCCACTGTACTCCAGCCCAGGTGACAGAGTGAGACACTGTACTTAGAATTAAAAAAAAAAAATTAAAATAATCAGTTTTAATAAGTTAAAAAGGCCATATTTCTCTCTTCCTCTCCTCTCTCCAGATAATGATGGTGTATCATTTGGTTGACACTATGTTTTGCTTGGTTTTAAAAAAAAGTTTTTAACATTTATATAAATGATAGACTAAGAAAATAAAAGTGGGAATTGTCCCATGAAATTTCTGACACGAAGCTTGGAAGATGGAAAAGCAGATTGGGCCTGTAGAGTAACCCTGCATGTGAGCTCGGTGCTGCTGATGCCACTTGGTGGGGAAATGTGGTAGATGGGAGCTGACAGTTTTTTTGTTTGTTTGTTTTGTTTTTGAGACAGAGTCTTACTCTGTCGCCAGGCTGGAGTGCAGTTGTGTGATCTTGGCTCACTGCAACCTCTGACTCCCTGGTTCAAGTGATTCTCCTGCCTCAGCCTCCTGAGTAGCAGGGATTACAGGCACATGCCACCACGCCCAGCTGATTTTTGTATTTTTAGTAGAGATGGGGTTTCACCATGTTGACCAGGCTGGTCTCAAACTCCTGACTTCAGGTAATCCGCCCGCCTCAGCCTCCCAAAGTGCCGGGATTATAGGCATGAGCCACCCCCCAACAAGCCTTTTTTTTTTTTTTTTTTTTTTTTTTTTTGAGACAGTCAGGCTCCGTCACCCAGGCTGGAGTGTAGTGGCGTGATCTCGGTTCACCCCCCCTCCCAGGTTCAAGTGATTCTCTCCCTCAGCATTCCAAGTAGCTGGAACTACAGGCGCCTGCCACCATACCCAGCTAATTTTTTTGTATTTTTAGTAGAGATGGGGTTTCACCATGTTGGCCAGGCCAGTCTTGAACCCCTGACCTCAAGTGATCCACACACCTTGGCCTCCCAAAGTGCTAGGATTACAGGTTTCAGCCCACCATACTGGGCTGAGAGTTGATAGTTTTAAATGTGCGTTACAGGGCCGGGCGCAGTGGCTCATGCCTGTAATCCCAGCACTTTGGGAGGCCGAGGTGGGCGGATCACCTGAGATTGGGAGTTCGAGACCAGCCTGACCAACGTGGAGAAACCCCATCTCTACTAAAAATACAAGATCAGCCAGGCATGGTGGCGCACGCCTGTAATCCCAGCTACTCGGGAGGCTAAGGCAGGAGAATTGCTTGAACCCAGGAGGCAGAGGTTGCAGTGAGCCGAGATCGCGCCATTGCACTCCAGCCTGGGCAACAGAATGAAACTCCATCTCAAAAAAAAATAAATAAATTAAAAAAAAATAAATGTGCGTTACAGCTTCCTAAGACATCTGTTGTGGAAAATGACATTTTAACATGGCTTTCCTGCTGTACCCAGTTTTAATGAATATGACTTTGTATAAAGATAAATGGAAACTGGAACTGACAAATGAAATACTGGTTTGGGATTGAGAGCAAAAATTCAAAGCAGTTGGTAAACCTTTAACAAGATAAGATTCCCATCATTTCACCTTTACAATTGTCATGATGAAAAATGTATTTTAAGGCTGGAGTCATTTCATTCCCTGGAGAAGAAAAAGGTTCGGGGATGGTGGCCAAAGGATTTCAGAGACCTCTTGATTTTCTTATTCCTCCTCCCACCTCACACCCCTCAAGATTAGAGTCGGTATAATTTGCATCACACGTTTGGAGTATTCAGAATAATATTTCCTGGGCCCTTCTCCCCTTCTCAAGATTAGAATGTCAGCAACTGCACACTTGACGCTGAGTAGCAGGGCTGCCTGTTTTTACCACCAGGATTTCTTTTTGCTTTAAAAGCTTATCCCAAATAGTGGTTTGAGGGAGTCCTCACCTGCGCACATGCCCAGAGGGAAGGTCTGAGAGCAGTTTGAAATACAGTTCTGACATTTTTGCATGGAAATGTTGAGTTCCAAATACCTCATCAGATTCAGATGAGGTGCTGACATTTATTCCCCTAGCTATCCTTTGCACCTCATGAAAACGTGATCATAATTTATTTAACACCATTGTCTCAAAAGAAAAAGACTTAAAATGAACGCAGTGGACACGCCATGGTTTCTGCTGTTCCGGAACCACCCCATCTCCCCAAATTACAGGAGACAGGCTCCCATTCTTGAAAAGGCTTTGTCTCTCTGGAATTTTAAAAATAAAATTCTTGCATCTGTTGACATTAACTTTCAAATGTAGAAATTGTTGTTAATATTACAGACATTTAGTAAAATAATTGTGAAAATGCATCTCATAGAAGAACCAAAAAACAAATGTGTTTTCACTTAGTAGATTGTTTTGTTTTTTTGTGACATTGTCTGTATTGGCCTTGTGTCCTCTTTTCATCAAGTCCTTCACATGTAACAACCCCCTGAACTCGTCAAATATTAGAATGAGAATTGATGTATATACAAATGTCTGCTTAGACAAGTATCTATGGTATCGTTAACTTTTTCTGCACGGCGGTGTTCTGAACAGCTGTTTTGGGTTTGAGAAATATGATTGATATATGCCAGCACCCCTGTATAGAACCTATTGAAAAAAAATTCAGAGTAAAGTAACATTAGAAGCTGAAGGTCAAGGAAAATTCCCACAAAATAATTGTTTTTGGCTTTAATACCTTCCTTAGGAATTATGGTTAGCTATGGTTTCTCCTGTGAGTCTTAGAAATAATTTCTATTTCCTCGGAAGCCAAAGATTTACCAATATTTTCAATTATTCTGAAATTGTATGTGCAATAAGATTTATTGGTTTTTATGATGCAGATAAATAATTATATGTCCCATCTCAGCCTTCAATTCAAACTTTTAAAATGTTTGGCTTAAAAAAAGAACTCTCAAGCTTCTCTCTTCACTGACTCATTTTAAATGCCCTATATAATGTGAACGATCTCAGTTCATCTCCCGGGATCATTTTAACTAACACACATTGTGCCCTTCTCCATTTTGATGAGTGGTAACAGCCAAAGCCTCAGAAGTGCGTTTTTGTTGTTACAGTCGCTTCTATTCTCATCAAGTAGGTAAGGTCAAATTATATCGCTGTCCTGGGAGTCATCCTTTTCATCACTTATTGCGTGTCTCTTTGTTGGGTGAGTAACTCCATTTATTAAACTCTGGAATAATGATTTATGGAAGAAATTGTGGCATTGATGAGTGGGCATTCACTTCGAGAATCTTGATGTGTTGGGATGTTAAAAAGGTAGCAATCTTGTTTTCTCTTTTGTTGGCATGTCTATTCTTCTGACTGCTAATGCAACTCAGGTAGAATTCACATCTCAGTGTTTAGGTTCTCCTTTAGGAAATACTGTGAAAGGCCTAGTGGCTTGTAGTTTCTTTTCTTTTTTTTTTTTTCATTTTTTTTTAGGAGAAAAATGAAAAACATCTCTGATCACTTCTCTAGTGTTTGTTTATGACCCCTGCCTAAAAATGCATGGCTAATTCTAGGTACTTAACAGTTACAAATAAGAAGCCAAGACATTCCACCGAAGGCATGGGTTTTAGAAAATCACAACAGTTTTGTATCAATTAGCCTACAAGCCTTTGAATCTTGGATCAATGAAAAATACTACTTTGCCAATAAGATCAATTCAATCAAATTGAGCTCTTGTGAGACACGTCCGCAATTAACTAAGATATAAGGCTGAGTATGGTGCCTAAGTTAGAGACTTGTGGAAGTCCAGGTGAATGAGAAAGTCACAGTGCTTTGGCATAGGGGCTCCAGAAAGTGCAAAAGGCCTTAGAGGCTAATTCTGTGGGGGGGAAAAATGAGTTTTCAATTCTAATGAAGATTCTTCTAGAAAAATGTGTGGATTTGAAGGCAGCATTTATTTATTTACTTACTTACTTACTTACTTACAAGACCGGGTCTCACTCTGTCGCCCAGGCTGGAGTGCAGTGGCGCAATCTTGGCTCACTGCAACCTCCGCCTCCCAGGTTAAAGTGATTCTTCTGCCTCAGCCTCCTGAGTAGCTGGCATTACAGGCGTATGCCACGAAGTCCAGCTAATTTTTGTATTTTTAGTGGAGACGGGGTTTGAGATCTGTGGGGTTTCACCATGTTGGCCAGGCTGGTCTTGAATTCCTGACCTCAAGTGATCTGCCCACCTCAGCCTCCCAAAGTGCTGGGATTAGAGGCATGAGCCACCGCACCAGGCCGGCAGTGTGCATTTATGTAATTAATAATTGGAGTAAAGGTAAATGTGTACATTTTCTGGGAAGGGGATATTTGGCAATGGAAGCTGAGGCACACTTTCTCTGGAATAATATAGCTTCAGCCTCTTGCAGATTTAGTATAATTAGAGTCAAGGGGGCTGTCAGAAAGGAGATAGAACTCATTCCCCAATCATGGTTGACTTAACACTTTGAGGAAATGAGGTAGCAAGAATGATAAGTATTTTATCAATTGTTCTGAAGATCAAAGCAATATGATAGTTTATGATTCTTGCTTATAATCCCATATGACTAATACAGTGAAGCAGAAGTCCTATTAAGAACTGTAGCTACTGAAAACTTTGTAACAGCATCCACTCAAATTGGTTTTGGAATAAGTAGATCATACATAAACCTCTGAAATAGCGGTAGTAGATTCATTTGGGTTGCTGCAATGGGGAATATAATTACGTATTCAACTTTTTTTTTTTAGCAAAAAGATGTGCAGTCCACATGCAAAGTGAGAACATGGTGAGAAACGTTCAGTGTATTCTGTAGAGGAGTGTGGGGAGCCATACTTAGCACATACAGCCAGCAACACCAAAGTTGTGGTCATCTTTTGATTGAAAAATAGCCCTGGCAAAATCATAACGAGAATAGTAACAGTTTTGTGATACCTTTTGTACTTTTTTCTTTCTTTCTTTTTTTTTTTTTTTTGAGTCAGGGTCTCACACTGTCACCCAGGCTGGCTGGAGTGCAGTGGCATGATCATAGCTCATTGAAGTCTCAACCTCCTGGACTCAAGCAGTCCTCCCACCTTAGCCTCCCAAGTAGCTGGGACTATAGATGTATACCACCACACCTAGCTAATTTTATGTTTTTACACTAGAGATGGGAGGCCGGGTGCAGTGGCTCATGCCTGTAATCCCAGCACTTTGGGAGGCTAAGGCAGGTGGATCGCTTGAAGTCAGGAGTTTGAGACCAGCCTGGGCAACGTGGTGAAACCCTCTTAGCCAGGCATGGTGGCGGACGCCTGTAATCCCAGCTACTCAGGAGGCTGAGACAAGAGAATCGCTTCAACCTGGGAGGCAGAGGTTACAATGTGCCGAGATTGCACCATTGCACTCTGGCCTGAGCAACAAGAGCGAACTCCATCTCAAAAAAACAAAAAAACGAAACAGTAGGGATGGGACTCTCTCTGTGTTGCCCAGGCTGGTCTCAGACTGCTGGGCTCAAGCGATCCTACTGCCTTGGCCTCCCAAAATGCTGGGATTTTGCTGACCCTGGCTCTTTTGTATTTTCTAGTTATTCTGTTTGATAACTATTTTCTAGGCATATACCATATTCTGTATGATGTGTTGGGTACTGAGGATACAAAAGTGAATAGAGCACACTCCCTCTTGTCAAGTCGCTTGGTTGGTTATAACCTATTTTTCTCCTCAAAACCAACATACTCGGAGATGAGCACACATTCTAACAGGAGGAGTAGCCCACTTTGGCAAGAGTAAAGAAAAAGAGATCATGGAGTCAATATTATCTGGCAGAAAGTCAGCTACATGGTTGACATTCCTCTCTGCAGGGTGGACCCCTGGGTCCATTGAACATTGCTGAGCTATTGGCTGAGGAAGAACATATAACCCCAGCAGTTATACCTTCCTTTACCACCTGTTAGGATTTAAAGGACAGGACATCTCACCTGGCTTGGCTTGGGAGTAGGGTAGAATCAGGTATATCTATGTGTCTAGAAAGGTTTTGTATGACAATACAAAATCTGTGAACAGGAGTATCCCTTTATACATAATGAGGGTGTAGAACATAGCCCAATACAGGAGAGTGGACTAGGGGAAAGGAAACGGTTTGTGTGGTTTTATGTGAGAGGGTTAGGTAACTCTTGAAGTTCATGACTGGAACAGACATGGACAGAAAAAATAATAAACACTACGCTCATCTGAATTCTTTAAGCAAAGGAATTGGGCTGGGCATGGTGACTCACGCTTGTAGTCCCAGCACTTTGGGAGGCTGAGGCGGGCGGATCACGAGGTCAGGAGATTGAAACCATCCTGGCTAACACGGTGAAACCCCGTCTCCACTAAAAATACAAAAAATTAGCCGGGCGTGGTGGTGGGTGCCTGTATTCCCAGCTACTCTGGAGGCTGAGGCGAGAGAATGGCGTGAACCTGGGAGGCGGAGCTTGCAGTGAGCGGAGATCTCGCCACTGCACTCTAGCCTGGGCGACAGAGCAAGACTCTGTCTCAAAAAAAAAAAAAAAGAAAGAAGAAAAGGAATTGGAAGGGTGGTAGCGCAGTTGTGTCTATTAAATTCTTCTTGCACACAGGATGTTACACTATATTCATTTGAGTTTCTTGATGTTTCACTTAACAAAAGCCAGATTAATTTAGCTTTAGTAGAAAAGAAAAACGTTGTTGTAACGGTACTACCGGGTTCTTCATAACCTCAACCAGCATCGAAAGTTAAGGGAAACAAGAACTAGAAAGACATTGAGAACTCCAGCAGTACCTCCATTCAGTCTCTGATTTCTGCTTTCTTCAGGGCTTCTGCTTTATTCTTCTTTCCCATGAGTTGCTTTCTTTAATGCTCTATTTCCTTGTTACAGTTTGTCTGACTAGTGTTGCTAAGTTTTCTTTATCATAGTTCTAGCCACAAGTAGAGATCTCTCTCTCTGTCCTACCTCCAAGTTCTGTGGAGAGATAATCTAGTTGGTTCCACTTAGATCAAAGGGTCCAACCCTGATGTCATCAGTGGTGGCTAGAAGGAGGTGGTGCAGGGTGATGACAATGAAGGTGGCTGTGGCTGTGGGTGATAGGGTGGAGTCATCCAGGACACCTCTGCCTCCCCAGGGCTCACTCCTTTGGATGGGGGTTAGGTAGGTAGGTGTGTGGGCGGGTGATGGTATTTCCCAGAGAATGGAGGGTACCACCAGAGCTTGGATAAACTGGTACCTTATAAGATACATAGGATTAAAAAAGACTAATACATATTGAGGGTGTAAGAAAAATAAGGTCAATTAAATAATGATGTAAAAGATAAGCATACAGCCCATGATCCAGCTTGGTTTAATGTTTCCTAATATTTAAAGCAAAAGTTGAAGTATTACTTATTCTGTGATCCTGTACTTCTTTTGTTTTGTTTTGTTCCTCAATTATTTATGATATAAAATTTTCCTAGGAGACCATTTTCCCATGCAGGCAGTATAAAAGATTTTGTATTCTAAGTGAATTCCAAAACAGAAGAAAAACTTCCCATCATTTTCAAGTAAAAAGTGATTGTATCATTCTGTTGAGATGGAATGGGATCGTAGTTCATGTGTTTAAAGGTAACATTCAAAGGGCCTTAAAAAAAAGGACTTTATTTTTTAGAGCAATGTTAGGTTTACAGAAGAATTGAGTGCAAGGTACAGAAATGTCCTTATATCCCTTTCCCCCACAAACTTGCATAGCCTCCTCATTAACAACATCCCCCACCACAGTGGAACATTTGTTACAGTTGATGAACCTACATGGACACATCATCATCACCCAGAGTCCATAACTGACGTGAGGGTTCACTTTTGGTGTTGTACATTCAATGGGTTTGGACAAATTTATAATGACCCCATTACAGTATCAGACAATATAGTTTCACTGTCCTAAAATCCTCTGTGTTCTGTGCATTCATCCCTCCATCCCCTTGAATTTCTGTACCTAAAAGACTATATCTGCTTACCCTTGATTAAGTAATAGATTCTGAAATGCTAGACTCTGTCATCTCAGTATTTTAGTATTCGATGTCTAGGTATTTCTTCATGAATGAATGCCTTTGGCTGTTTGTCTCATTGTGAAAAGTTGATTTGATTTTAATGTAAATATATCCATTCCTCATCTTAATAATTTTTTTTCCAATTTTAAAGCTTGATAATTTTTTAAAAAATGAGCACCAATACTGTGAGATTTCGATTCCTAACGAAAGGCCGCTGAGTTGTCATTGGCCTTAATTGTAACTAGTATTAAGTTTCTTTGTATTTCTATTACTTATTTGTAACTGCTAGATTTATTTTCCATAGAGTTTAAAGTCTTTGAGTTATGAGAAATCTATATCCTCCCTTTTAAATTACTTAAGAATAAAGCTTGTATTAAAACCATGTGCTAGACATTTTAACTTTTCCTGTTGTTTAAAAAAGGCCTTCATTAAAAGTTGGTACAAAGAAAGATCTTAAGCTACCCTCATTCAGAATCTTTCACATTCTTAATACATTGAAAGCATTTGTCAACACTTCATTACTAACATGGAATATAAGTTAATGATGCACAAAGTTTAAAACCTTATATTCAATTAGAGAACCTATTAGCTTTGAAAGCAGTAAATAATAATTGGCATTTACTGAATTTTAAACAGGATCTACATGTTACATTTTTGTTTTAGAGTGCATATAACATTTTGCATTGTGCTGTGAAAACCTGATGTTTTGAGAATACAGTTGCCTTTTAGCATTTAACCTAAAGTCTCTTCCTGATTTTAATGTGGAATTATTTCCTCCTTTTAATTGCTAACATGTTTTTCAATTATTTACACACAATTTTTAAGGTGCTAATTGGCACTGGAATAGCTGATGGAATGTAAACTGTTGGAATCAACATTAACTTAAAGCACATCCACAGTAAATTTTTGTATCCTGGCCTGGAATTGCTGGCATTTGTGCATTAAATGCATCACTAGTCTAGCAGTAAAATTCATAAAACAGCAGTAGGCGGTTGTAGTATTTACCTTATCAGAGCCTCAAGATGCCAGCCACTGGATCTGCTCAGCAGAATTCCAAAGCATCCTTTTTAGTGTTGTAAGGTTGGGTTAAGTGTCTTAGACCTCTTTTGAACAAAAACATTGCTTATTTATGTGTTGAGCTAATTTGATCCAAGGGGGTTAATAAAATAAAAACCCAAACCATTCTCCTAAAACCCCAACATTCGATTCATGTAAGCTTTTGTATCTCACGCTTGCTTTTTGTTTTGTGCTTCTGTTTTCATCCCGAGTTGTCTTTAGTTGTGATTTGCTCTCCTTAGCATGTTCCATGAGAACCCAACATGCCAGTACCTTGCATGTGCTGTGCTGAGCAAGACAGTTTTCTCATCTGTTTATCCCCTTTTCCCTCTGTGTGGTTTTGCTGAGAATTTGCCATTTATTTATCCCATACCCTAATTTTACAGTTATTCCTCCACTTGGTCATGCAATTTCTATTGTTTGTTATTAATAAAAGACTTTCAAAGGCCTTAACTTCTCTGAATCTAAAACATTGCTGGCAATCACAGTACCCAGGACATATTTTTGTGTGGCTTCTTGGGTTCTGCTCTGTGCACTCAGATTCAGAGACTGGGGAGGAAGCCTTCCTTTAACCAGCCCTTTCCATGGTTCTGACCTAGGAATTGTGTTTGGCAACCACCACAGCACTCAGGTAGTCATTTCCAGTGATTTCCACCACTCTGAACCTGGCTGCTGACCATGGAGGAGACTATTTCCCAGGCTTGGTGGATCGATGGCGATTAACCTCCGTTCTGCTAAGTCTCTGCCAGGATGTCACACAGGATGTGCCTGTCCTTAAGTACAATCACATAGTACGTTGTTTAGTTCATTATGTGGCATCATTTTATAGGGCATTTGAGTATTTGAAGTGGCTGCTTCATCTAAGGACGAAGTCACTTCAAGTTGGCATTGACGTAGTTTCAGTTGGTGTTACTGTTATATTAGGTTGGTGCAAAAGTAATTACAGTTTTAAATGCAAAAACCGTAATTACTTTTGTACCAATGTATTTTGATAGTAATTTTGATATTTTAAGTGTTTTTTTCAGTCCGTTTATTAAAGGTCTCTTCAAACTTAAAATTAGTCATGGTCATAGGCAGTAGTTAAAAATTAGATTCTGGAAGAGTAAATTTAGATTTTTTTTTTTTTTTGAGATGGAGTTTTGTTCTTGTTGCCCAGGCTGGAGTGCAATGGTGAGGCCTCAGCTCACTGTAACCTCCGCTTCCTGGGTTCAACCAATTCTCCTGCTTCAGCCTCCTGAATAGCTGAGATTACAGGCGTGCACCGCCATGCCTGGCTAATTTTTCTTTTCTTATTTTTAGTAGAGATGGTGTTTCACCATGTTGACCAGGCTGGTCTGGAACTCCTGACCTCAGGTGATCCACCTGCCTTGGCCTCCCAAAGTGTTAGGATTACAGGCGTGAGCCACTACTCCCAGCCATAAATTTAGATTTAAATTATTTGTAGGCTGGGTGTGGTGGCTGTCTGCTGTAATCCCAGTCTTTGGGAGGCTGATGTGGGAGGATCACTTGAGGCCATAGTTTAACTCCAGCCTGGATGACATAGCATCTCTACATAAAGATAAAAAAATTTAGCCAAGTATGGTGGCCCATGCCTGTAGTCCTAGCTACTAGGGAGGCTGAGGCAGGAGGATTGCTACAGCCCTAAGTTTGAGGCTGCAGTGCTGTGATTTACCACTGTACTCCAGCTTGGGTGACAGAGTGAGACTCTGTCTCTATAATAAATGATGATTTTTTTTGAAGTTAGATTTATTTTTTGAAGCACTGAGTGGGAAATAGGATTAGAGGTCTTTTTAGAGATGCTACTGCCTAAAACACAATTTTGGACATACACTATTATGTGGAATCTTCCTTTTACCTCAAGTCTTGGGTAGTACTTTTTTGTGTAGGGTCAAGACAGACAACCTTTGGCAGTGACAGTAACACTGTGTTGCTACTCCAGTCTATGAGATTTTTTTTGTCTCTGCAAAATGCATTGACTAATCCTGGTGGCTTCTCCTGTGAGGTCACAGTTCCTCCTACCTGTGGTGTCATCCAATGCTCTGCTTTAAGAGAACCTTTGGGGAACACAGGCTTTGCTCCTCTCTCCTTCCCCATGGCCACCCCCAGTGCCCATCACACGCTGCCCTTACGTCCTGGCCTAACCGCAGCCTGAGCTGGAACCTATGCTTAATTGCTGGGGAAACCTTCTGCCTCTGCCGACACCCCGTTATTGCCCCTGCCTGGATTCTTCTCGCTTAGTTTTGGTCCCAGGCAGGAGTCGGGGTGCAGGAGGCTTTCTGCTTGGGGCAGTTTCTCAGCCCTCTCCATAAACCTCCAGCCCAAGGGCTGTTGCAATTGGAATCAAAGGTGGGGTCAGTGAACTCCTAGGCTCTTTGACCCTGAGGTGGCCTGTTAGAATCTGTTATTTGTGTTCATTTGAGTGAGTGGATGGACTCAGTGGGTAAAGAAGTGACTCTGTATGTTGTATATGACTTTAAGTTGTTGTGATGGATTGGTTGAGCAGTCATGTTGGTTAAAATTGACTGAGTCCACAGGTAGAGCTGGTGATGCTGGTGGCTGGGCTTGCTGCATCCCACCCTGCTTCCTGGAGGGGCTGAACAGGGCACTGCTTCGGGATATGAGCATTTTCTTCTTACCCCTTTGACATACGGATGTGCAAAATTTTGTGACTTTGAACTTTCATATCCAACTATGCATAGCCAAGCAATGTGTCCTATAATTCATATGAGGTTTCATTGATCATTTCGGTTGCTTTGGGTTACTCTTTTTTTGCATACATTTTGCATTTACAGAATTAGTGTATTTTTGTAACTGGACTCAGGAGAGCTGGGTGAATATGAGAGAATGTCTCTACTACTTATGGCATTAAAATGACCTGCGTAAGTGGAGTTCTTGCTCGTGCTTGAAAGTGAAGGGCATATGTAATACGAAACACTGTATCTGTGATGTTTTAGATTGGGATTGTGCAGATGTGTTTTTTTAAAATAATGCATAGGTGAAAAATGAGTAGATTATTAAAATAATGAAAAACATTCTGTTTTTGAAGTGAAGTCTTTTAATATCATGCTTCTGCTGTTTTATTTTTAAACTAATAGTTAAAAGAGCACAACGATTTCTTTTTTTCTGGGTTGGAAGGAAATCCTAATTATCTCCAAATATGGAGTGACTTAAAATAAGTGAGCCCTGAGGAGGGGAACATTTGTTTTTCTTAAGCTTCTGTGAACAATGATTTCCTTGAAAATTTTTATTTTGCATTCTAATGTTTTTTTCAAAAGGAAGGTGTTTTTTTTCTAGGTGGTAAAGGTTCCAATACATTAAAGGTGGCCGGTAGGCCAGGCGAGATGGCTCATGCCTGTAATCCAAGCACTTTTTGGGAGGCCTAGCCAGGAGGATACTTGGGCTTAGGAGTTCGAGACCAGCCTGGGCAACATGGCAAGACCCTGTCTCTACTACAGATATAAAAATTAGCCGGGTGTGGTGGTACACACCTGTAGTCCCAGCTACCTGGGAGGCAGAGGTGGGTGGATCGCTGGAATCCAGGACTTTGAGGCAGTGATCCTACCACTGCACTCCAGCCTGGGTGACAGAGTGAGATCCTGTCTCAAAGATAAAAGGTGGAGGGCACATGGCAGTGACCCGCCTGTCTGTGGTGACGTGCAAGGACGGTGTCCTCCTCACCATGCATGTGTGCATCCAGCCCTACCTCGCACATTCATGTGCTCCGGATGTTTGTGAAAGAATCAACCAGTGGACCGTGATTCACCTCATGGAGCCTGTGAGATTTTCTTTTAACGTAGTCGGCCAGGATGTGAGAAGGTCCAGCAAGGCTCTTGGTGATTAAAGCAGCATGATTCTTGTTGACTGGAGCTTACATTTGTATGCTGGATGGTTTCTGCTTGTCCAGCTCTCTGGGCCTGGTCGTGGAGGAGAATTGGAAATTTTGAAGGGTTTAGATGCTTGTGCTGTCATCAGAACCTTCTTACCTTCTGTGTGCTCAGAGACACACAGACCACCTCAGCCACAGAAGGAGACAGTGGGAGAGTATGCCTCATCTAAAGACAGACATGGTGACTTTACAGTTTGAAATGAAGTTTCAATGAAATTTATTCCTGTTTGAGGATAGTAGCATGAAAATTTTAAAAATAGTGGCAAAACCCCTCCAAATACAACTCTAGCCAATGTGTAATTGAGTGTATTTTAGGGTATGTTATAAATGTTTTGTCACTAAACTGGTAATCAATGTCATGAAAAAATACAACTGCATGGATGGGGTGGGGCTGCAGGGACTGGCTAACTTTTGACAAAGTGCAGAATCTCAATGGAATCAGCAGCCAAAACAAACAAACAAACAAACAAAAACCAGATCCCATTCTTACCTTGTGTTGGTGAATTGTGGGCTACTTTGTAGGACTTCAGAAGAGAAGAGAATCTCATCTCTGTAAAGTGAAAACAGGGACTATGGATAAGAGAATGTTTTTACATATTTTTAATGTTGGACTATGAGGTCCATCAAAATTTAAGACTTTCAAAGGAAAAAATTATTTAAAATAGGGTTTTGTACATTAATTAAATAAGACTGTACTGTGGGTACTCTTTAAAGGCAACCACCCAAGTTCTGTTGAAACACATACCCATAATCCCCACAGAGCTCTTCTTTCAGAGGATTTCTCATGGGAACAAGTTCTACTGCTAGTAGTTGAATTATCTATGTTATCACAATTGTATGAAGAAACATATTGGATCAAGATTTCTACTGTTTGCGAAAATATCGGCTACAAACACACAGAAATGCAACTGTCGAGCTCTGAGTTACCTGTTGGTTGCAGTTTTGTTCTCCTGCTGCAGCCCACTCTCTGGAAATGCTGGGGCAGCCACTGTTTGATTTGTTTGGACCTGGCTGATGTAAGGTCTAAGAATGGATATACCTGGATTATTCCTGTCCAAGTAGTTGAAAGTGGACTGCTTTTTTAGAGTGCTGAACAGGAATTGAATTTGGGACGTGATAGAGACCAAAGAAAGACTTGTAGGAAGTGAATGTCATTTTTGTTCAAAGTATTTGCAAAACTAAAGCCAATAAAAGGCTGCCTTCTCGGTGGCCCTTTTATTTAGTTCCTGGCTTTTTCCTTGGAATCAGAGAAAAGTATGGCAAGTTTCCCCACAGAAGAGAGTGGAATGTCAAGGAAGATTGTTCATAAACCACATTCATTGAGTGACTGCTGTGTTTAGGGTGACATTTTAATGCCAGCTGGTAGTTAATTGCATGCTATTTTATTTTTTTTTCTGTTATCTTAAAATATCCTTCATACGTGACCACGCTATTTTATTTATTAGTTTATTTTATTTTGAGACAGAGTCTTGCTCTGTTGCCCAGGCTGCAGTGCAGTGGTGCAATCTTGGCTCACTGCAACCTCTGCTGCCTGGGTTCAAGTGATTCTTGTGCCTCGACCTCCTGAGTAGCTGGGACTACAGTCATGTACCACCATGCCTGGCTTTTTTTTGTGTGTGTGTGTGTTTTTAGTAGAGTTAGGGTTTTGCCACATTGCCCAGGCTAGTCTCTAACTCCTGGCCTCAAGTGATTCACCTGCCTCAGCCTCCCAATGTGTTGGGATTACAGGCATGAGCCACCACGCCCGCCTGCCCATACTATTTTAAACAGTGGAGAAACTTCTGTAGGAAATGAGACGGACAAATGAAGAGAGAAAGAGCCTGCCTGTGACCTACAGAAAATGGAGTTTCCTGGATTAATTAATGTTATTGCTTACAATGTTTGAAGTATAGCCTAACTGCTATAACCTAAAAAAATCAAATGGAAAGACTGTGTGCTTGATCAGTAGAAGATGAGTGGCCCGAAGGTGTCCATACCTTTGTATAATTTGCTTGTCACCATCTGGTTAGCTTTTAGAGCCCATTGATGTGCAACAATATTTATGACATCATGGGGAATTTTTTATGTTAACACTTCATAATGTAGGCTATTTTTTCAGTAGTTATCAACACGTAGGGCCAGAATTTGCTGGTTAATTTAATGCTTAAATTTTTTAAGCATCATCATTGCCTGAAATATGTTTTTTTCTTTTTTCCATCTGTGCAGTGCATTTTTTGTCATCATTAAGCAATAGCATTTTAATTGGAGTCACCACTTGGTCAATAGATGTCAGGTCATGGCATGGGAAGAAAAGGAAAGCGCACTCAGTGATAACCTGTCCTATCGGGAACTCACCCAAGTACTTACTATCCACTACCCTGCCTTCAGTGATCCTTTCTATGTAATGTTAAAGTTAAACATGTCATTTCCTTACAGAGCATAGGAGCTGTATAACTCAACGTAATAAATCTCGACGAGTTCTTGGCAATGATGCCCATATTTTATGTGTGCTAAGATTATCTCTAGTCATAATTATTTAATACATATGGTATATGTAACATTTATAGCCTTCCCAAAGGGAAAAATGATGTGGCATAATTCTGGCAGATTGTTTATATTGTTCATGTTTAAAATGTATTGTAAAAAATGCTATGCATGTGATTTTGAAACCCCAGTGTTCTATTTTTAAATGCTTGTATGTCTGTAAGAAACTAAGCACAGTAAGTAATCCAGTTTTTAAGTATTTCCTCTTGTAAATTGCTGTTAATTGCTAATGTTCATTGAATTGACCTGCTAATGGGCACAGGCTGACAAAGGGAGTATCCCTCTAGCTTTTTGATGAACTGTTCAATAATGTCAGACAATCCATAAATTTGCATGAATGTTTAAGTTTCATCAGCCGTTGTGGTCTAGGCAAATTTCTGTGTTCTTATTATCAAACATTGAGAAACTAAAGTTTATAAAAAATAACTTGTTAGAGTGAGCTAAACATTTAAGAAGTATTGCTTTTGTGTGTTTGATGGGCTAAACAATTCCTTGTCTTTTCAGATTATTTCATTTGTGTTCTGACAGTAATAACTGTGTTTTATCTGGCTGTCAGGGGTCCTTCTAGAATGGTCCTAAATTCTAATGTGCTCATTCATTGTGTTTAGCCTAAAGAATACATTAAATAGCTAAAAAAATTTATGAAATAATAGGAAAGCCAGTTCGGTTAATTCCAATGAAAATTAAAACTATACATTTGTACCCAGTGAAACCCTGGAACTTATTGATGAGGTGGATATTGGTAATTGCTATGATCTGCAAAGTGCTTTTTTTTTCTTTGTATAAAAGTGTATTCATCTAGTACATTCAGTATTTTGCAGTAGTTATTTAAATTAAAATTTGCCAGGCCAGCCCGGGTGACAGTGAGACTCGGGTCTCAAAAAAAAACAACAACAAAATTCCACTTTTTTTTTTTTGAGACAGAGTCTTGCACTGTTGCCCGGGCTGGTGTGCAGTGGTACAGTCTCGGCTCGCTGCAACCTCTGCCTCCTGGGTTCAAGTGATTCTCCTACCTCAGCCTCCCAAGTAGCTAGGCTTACAGGTGCCAGCCACCATGCCCGGCTAATTTTTTGTATTTTTAGTAGAGGCGGGGTTTCACTATGTTGGACAGACTGGTCTCGAACCCCTGACATTGTGATTCACCCACCTCGGCCTCCCAAAGTGCTGGGATTACAGGTGTGAGCCACTGTGCCCGGCCTAAAATTTGCCACATTTTAACTGTTAACTTCAAAAAAAAGAGTGTTAACTTCAAAATGTAAGACAACTTTTCATCATTTAAAAAATATTAATAGTTACTATATGTTGGTAATTTGTTAGGTTTTAAAAGTATACAACATATATTTTATTTATTGTATTTCTAATTTCATTTTATTATAAGTATACTTTTACGTTAAAGACATGCTTATAGCGCAAGCAATTGAAAAACAAGTGCAAAGCAGAAAATACATCCCTTATAATTCTACAGTGTTAAGTATTTTATATACTATGTTAATGTTTTGGTGCCTAGTTTTGCCTTTCTATGCCTATGGATATATATTTTAATAACTACATAGGTTTTAATTAAAATGGTTATAAAGGCCAGGTGCAGTGGCTCACATCTGTAATCCCAGCACTTGGGGAAGCCGAGGTGGGCAGATTGCCTGAGGTCAGAAGTTCGAGACCAGTCTGGCCAACATGGTGAAACCCCGTCTCTAATAAAAATACAAAAAAAATTAGCCGGGCGTCGTGGCAGGTACCTGTAATCCCAGTTACTCTAGAGGCTGAGGCAGGGGAATTGCTTGAACCAGGGAGGTGGAGATTGCAGTGAGCCGAGATTGTGCCATTGCACTCCAGCCTGGGCGACAGAGCGAGACTCCATCTCAAAAAAAGGATATAAAGTCGTTTGTTTAATTAGTCTCCTCTTCTGTATGTTTAAGGGTGTTTTAAATGATTTTTTTGTAAGGCAGTTATAATATTTTTTCTGTCAATGTCCATGTCAACAAATTTCTTACTGATACCATGTCCAAATGTTTATATCTGTTGACAAGTGCTTTGGGGCAGTGCTGGTGTTTGGCCCTAACACCGGAGTTTGAGGGAGATGTTACTTTGAAAACTCTACTCCCAGGTTATCTGTTAAGTTCTTAACCATCTGACCTTGCTCTTTAGATTTGGAATGTTGAAGTTTTGGTTTGAGATGAACCAGTTGTGGAAATTTGCATGATGCTGGAACAGGTGATCAGGTTGCAAAGATCAGGTAAGGTGGGTTTTGTAGGTTATTGTTGAGTCAGGTAATTAAATAAAAATCTGATGAAAGAGGAATCAAATAGCCATTAACACCCTTCCTATTTTTTGAAGAGGGAACAGCATTATGCATGTTGGGTTTTGAAGCTCATGTGATAGAAGACTGAAATTATGTCTTGACAGAACCCCTTTTTTCCTAAATTCTTTGGCAATTTATTGAGTGCACGAACTCAATACAGGTACTATGAGAGCAGAAAGTGTTCTTGCCTGTGGCTTGTAGTAGTGGTTAGTGGTGGGCTTTATATTACCTTTTAGTGTCTCTGCTTCATGGCTTAACTTCACTAAGCAAGAGGTGCTCCAGTGTAAATGAGAATAATAGTTACTACATCCTAACATTACTGTAAGAATTAAACAAAATGAATTTATGGATGTCACTTGGTACAGCAAGTCTTCATAGATACTGTAGTTTTTCTTTGTTCTTGTCCTTTATTCTCAAATTGTCATCTCTATAAGGTTAGGACAGAGTTTCCCAAACTTGAGTTGGTATTACAGATTTCTGGACTCCAGCCCCAGAGTTTCTGATTCAGCAGGACTGATGGGGCCTGAATATTTACATTTCTAACAGTTCCCAGGTGATGCTGGTGCTACTGGGAGGGACCACACTTTGAGAAACTCTGGGTTAATGTATTATAAAGGCAGGTGTTATTTTGAGCCAATACATTATGTAACCCTTTCTTTTTAAACCCCCTGAGTAAATAGCATTTAAGATGGGCAAACTTGATATTATATAGTGCCATATGCCCCAAGCAGTTAAATTTGAATTGTTTTTTATTATTAAGGAAATTTAGAGCTAGAATGACCTAGTTATTTCAGAAATAGAATGATTTAGATTTTTGAGGATTTTGATAGCATCTAAGTATATACCTATAATATTGGCTTAATTTTAATGAAAGTTGTTAAATAAACATTTTCCTTGAATGTGGACACTACTTATGTTTCTAGTGAATTTTATTCACTTAAACATTTTTTTCCAAAAATTTTAAGTGTTAATAGATGCAGAATTCAAAAAGAAAAGTTAGGCTAGGATCCTTTTAAATTTATTTTATAGCTCCCTGTGAAAGATCTGCAGAAACTGAGCTCCTTTTAACGTCATGATTTTTACCACATGTTGAAGATAACTAGAATTGTCAACCAAGTCTTGTTGTGAGTTGCCAGTGATCTGCCATCATCTGTGAGAATTAAGCTTCACTAATGTAATTTTCTTGATGAGTGCCAGACAGGAGCAGGTACCGAATATATGGTGTTGACATACTTAATTTAGTGCTCTTTCCACAAAGCTATTACATTGACTATTAATTGGCCTTCTGATAAAATTTCAGCTTAATGCAAATGATGACAAAAGGCATCCTAGGATACTGGCTGCTGCTTCTGAAATTATTCACATGCCCTGAGATCTCATTAGTGACAGTGCACATACCCACTTTTCTTTGGAATGTAATTAGGGTTCTTTTAAATATAATGGCTAACATTTAGACTGTGATTTAAAAAAATATTTTTGACAAAACCTCTAACTTAAGACTTTGTAGTTTGTTCTTCTGTTGTATAGTTGCACATCTTCCATAGTTTGAAAAGCAAAGAGGAGCTTATGTTCCATTCTTCACACTCTCTGGTTTTCCATTATATTGGCCTTGCCTGGGAACAGGTTGCACAAGAAAAGTTCAACAAGAACTTTAAGTTGCGTTTTGGTTTATTGAAGTATGCATGGTGAACAGCAAGTAGATTTCTGTCTTTTCATGGTTTGGTCTTTTTTTCTTCTTCTTTTCAGTTTTCAGTCCTCTTCTCATTTATTAGCTTATATTTTAGGATTTTGCAAAATGTTATTCTTTTATTTATGTTAAATAGAAACATGAGAAAATCCTTTGTTTTTTAATTTTTATTTTTTGGAGACAGGGTTTTGCTCTGACGCCCAGGCTAGAGTGCAGTGGGACGATTATGGCTCATGGTAGCCTCAACCTTCTAGGCTCCAGGGTTCCTCCCACCTCAGCCTCCTGAGTAGCTGGGACCCTGATGTCTGGCTAATTGCTTTTTTTTCCCCTAAATTGGAAAAAAAAAAGCCTTTAAAAAAAGTCAGAATATTCCTTATGGATCCAAACCAAGTTCATGGATGCAAATAAATGTTGAGTTATTTGGACACTTTCATATCATCTTAGAATTTTTTAAGTCAATCCTAACATCTAACTCTTGAGCATGTTCTCATGGCCTGAGTGAGAATTGTCTTATCATTAAAGTTCTTGTGTGAAAATAGTGACGTTTAAACAAAAATTCTGGAAAATAGTGAATTTATTCACAATATGTAGATCACAGGAATGTATCATTTTCTGGTAAGTGATGTATAAATGATGATGCCTTGTTCCATCTTTTTAAAATTGTATGACACAATGCTTTATGCTTTTTTTTAGTTTTACAGTTCTCTGCAATGAGCACCTATGATATTTTATAATCAGAAGAAAATTATTTGTAACCATGTTTTAACAATGCCCATTAAGAGGCTACTGTTACACTTACTTTGTAAATATTATCAGATTTTGCTTAAGGCAATGCACATATAAATCCATATATGTTCTACAGGAGTGATCACCAGATGGGATGAAGTATAGGGTCAGTTAGTGGCCTTTAACTTTTTGGTTGTCTCCTATAATGGGGTTTCTCAGCATCTGCATAAATGACATTTTGGACTGGATTATTCTTTGTTGTGTGGGACTGTCCTGTGTATTGAGGATGTTTTGCAGTTTCCCTGACCTATACTGTTTAGAGGTCAATAATATTGACCCCAGTTATGACAACCAAATATGTCTCACACACTGCCAGTGTCCCCTGGGGGCAAAATTGCCCCTCATTGAGAATCACTACGCTAGAGTAAAAAATACATTTCACTTGGCAGCCCAGTGGGTAAATGCAAGCGTGTGTGTGTGTGCACACACACACACACACACACACACACACACACACACCCCAAACAACCTTACTGCTTTGTAAGTGTACATTGATATTTCCTATTTTATTTTGTTCCATTCTATTCATTCCATATCATTTTCTTTAAAAATGTTTGTGAGGATATTTTTCTGAATAGGGTGGTTCCTGTGACAGTTAGTCTTCACTTTAAAATGTGCATAGGCCAGGGGCGGTGTTGCTTGCCTGTGTCTCAGCTACTCGGGAGGCTGAGGCTGGAGGACTGCTTGAGCCCAGGACTTCAAGGCTGCAGGGAGCCATGATCATGCCACTGCACTCCAGCCTGGGCCACAGAGTGAGACCCTGTCCCACCTTCCCACCCAAAAAACGTATGTGGGTTAAAGATGAGCTGTTTTGACTCTATGTGGGTTTGCTTACAGCGAGGCATACCAAGATTAAAGAATACTGCTTATTCTGGGTTCTCTGTGGATGGGATGTGTACTGATGAATACATATAATATTGGCTTAATTTTAATGAAAGTTGTTAAATAAATGTTGTTTTCCTTGGATGTGGACACTGCATTTGTGGACACTTAAAAATTAGCTGCAGTTTAGGCACCAGCACTTCCCAGGGGCCTCCTCCCTATAATCTGACACATCACACACAAGGCAGATTCTCTGAGGTGTGGTCTAAACATGAGCAGGAGACAAAGGTTGTGCTGTTAGCATGAAAAGGTTGTGCCTTCTTGGGCTTCAGGGTTTTGTACAAGGTTGAGATGGAAGGCTGCCTATGAATTCAGAATTCATATACAGAAGATTCATATAGAATGAGAGAGTTTTGTTGTCCCTTCAGGAATATAGATTGTATCTTGGGGCAGATGGCTTTATGTGTCTCATACTGCAGATTCGAGAGATTTAAATTTTCATTTCTCTAAAGGAAACATTTATAGTTCTCAGTTCTTAAGCACACTGGAAGTTCTTCCCTTCTCTTTGCATTTGTGTTTCTTATACAAATACCATGTGTGAAATATCAGTTATACTGCATTTATGTACAGGATGAAGGTTTCTCCCTAGGGAATAAATAAACCATCCTCCATGTGCCTCATTAAAAAGATAGGAAAAGAAACGTGGCTTTGTCTTCTAAAAATCAGTCACAATTTTCTATATTGCATTTCATGGTATGGCTTTATGGAATATTTTTATTATTTAATTTTTTGAATGGCTTTTTGTTTTTGCTTTAAAATTTTACTTATATCTTAAATTAAGGATGCTGGATCTTGAAAAAGTTGCTATGGTGACTATATACTTAAGCTTGATGTCTCCAATTCAGAAATGGGTCATTGTTCTAAAACTTCATTGTAAAATCTGTTACTTGGAACTTTATTTTCTCATGGAAACAATATTGCAAGTAATAGATTCCAGACTCAATAAAAATAACTTATTTAAATCAGAAAGTAAAAAGATTACACCCCCGGTCCCCTCCGAGACAGGATCTCACTCTGTTGCCCAGTCTGGAACACAGTGGCATGGTCATGGCTCACTGTAGCCTCGAGCTTCCCAGGCTCAGGTGATCTTCCCACCTCAGTCTTTCGACTAGTTGAGACTACAGGCAAATGGCCACCACGCCTGGCTAATATTTCTATTTTTGTTTGTTTGTTTGTTTTTGTAGAGACAGTATCTTGCTGTATTGTCCAGACTGGTCTCCTGTCTCCCGGGCCCAAGCCATCTGCTGAGCGGGCAGCTCAGCCTCCCTAAGTCCTGGGATTACAGGTGTGAGCCACAATGCCTGGCCAAGTAAAGGAAACATTGTATACTTATATCTTTGTATTTATACTGGAGTAGTCTCCCCGCCATCCACCTTCCTTCCTTCCATGAATTCTCATGCTAGAACACGAGGTATAGCAGATACTATGTTTGGCATTTTTTTTTTTTTTAATATAGTGTGTTGTGAACCACAGGGAGCTTTGGAGGATTTGTTCATTCCCTGAATAGATATTTACTCTGTACCTACTATGTGCAAGACACTGTTCTAGGTCCTGGGGATGCAGCAGAGCAATCCTGCTCTAATGCGTGCTGTTGTTTGACAGCATAACCTGTAATTGAATGTCCTGGGAAGCAGGAGGCAGGCAGCATGAAGAAGCCTTAGAGCTGCCTGCAGCTGAGGGCCACGACCCTGGGAAAGGACACGGTGGCTCCTGAGGCTTCTGTTCCAGGGACTCTGACTCCCCATTCCGCCCTGCACACTTGGTGTGGTTTTCTAGAACTCCTTTTTGAAATAGGAAGATCTGGAAGGTAGTCGCGTATGGTTTCAAGAGAGCTTAAAGTGACAGTGTGTTAGTAAAATGTTTCACAACCACTCTCAGCTGAGGCTGAAGGAGTGGGGACTGATTTGTAGTGTTTGCCAATTTCTTTGGTGTACACACTCCCGCCCTGGCCTATTTCAGGAAGCCAATGGGATGTCCCTGAGTGTGGAGTTGGAAAACACACCATCATACACTTTTACATAGTGTTTCCACTGTGTAGATACAGCAGACCTAGGACAATCCAAGGCCACACAGAGTAGTAAAATGCAACACAGATGATAGGAAGTTTTACTTTCTTTTTGAGACGGAGTCTCGCTGTGTCACCGAAACTGGAGTGCAGTGTCGTGATCTCGGCTCACTGCAACCTCTGCCTCCCAGGTTCAAGCGATTCTCCCTGCCTAAGCCTTCAGAGTAGCTGGGATTACAGGTGCCCGCCACCACACCTGGCTAATTTTTGTATTTTTAGTAGAGAGGGGGTTTTGCCATGTTGGTCTCAAACTCCTGACCTTAGGTGATCTGCCCGCCTTGGCTTCCCAAAGTGCTGGAAATACAGGCGTGAGCCACTGCGCCTGGCTGAGTTTTACTTATTTATTACTCTGCTTTTTAATTTATTTAACTGTAAGTTTATATATCTTAATTTTTAAATGATGAAGGTGGTAATAACTGGCTTGCAAAATTCCTGAAAACTTAAGAGTCCTCATGAGCTAGTCTTCACTGGCTCCAGCATCTGGGAGCACCACAATACTTTACCTAAAATCATTATGGCTGGATGTTAGAATACTGAGTTGTTCAGATTTTAGGCAGGTAATATGGAATATGTGTCATAAGATGTAACACCTCCTGTGATGTCTGAGGCAGGACCCTGTAGTCAAAATTTTGGTATTTCTGTAGCAAAATGTGAATATTCACCAAGTAAATAAATACTACAAATAATCTTGGATTGGTTCAGAGTTGCTTTTGCCACCAAATGTACTTCTAACAAACTTATGAAAAATTTTTCATTTTGAGAGTCATTTGATTTTGGAATTGTGGACAAGGCATCATGAATCTGTGTCATTGTGTTTGCAAGTCACGGTTGGTGTTCCAGGTCTAGAAGAAACTGTGTGTTTGCTTTCTCACAATGAGAAGGAGAAGAAACTCAGCATGATCTCCTACTTGGATCATTGGTGCCCTGCCGGAGCGGCGCCTCACCCCTGCGTTTCTGCAGCCTCTTCTTCCTAGAAGGCTCCTGTCCCGGTGACTCTTCCTGTACTTCATTCTTTCTGCCCAGCTCGTCTGGCCTCCACTCCTCACCAAGTGCTTCATGCAAGATTGATCTGATTTTTCTTTTCACTCCCTCGGTTGGTGTGCAGCCCCCGAGCACATACTTGAAAGAGTGAAGTGAAACTTACAGCCACCTCTGAATAAACATCCCAGCAGTGGAACTGCATGTCCCAAAGTGCTTGAAATCTTGGCTTCTGTGTCTTGGCAAAGCTTATTTTCTTTCAATTTCTATGATTCAGACAGGTTGCAATCTAGTCAGTCATTACCCACATCTTTCTACACCTATTGTAGCCTGTTTATCAGCGAATGTATCTCTGAAGGATTTCAGCTGGTAAATTTGCATTAGGGACAGAGGCAGTTGAGCCAGTGTCTCCCAGAGTGGTCATACGTGCTAGGTGCTCTGATTTCTTGATGTTCCTGTTGTTTTTAAGATCTCACATGGAATATTTGATGCTAGGAACCCTAACTTACCGAATTCAGAGGTTTTTCTTCAGTATTACTTTTTATGAGTGGGAAACTATAAAGATTACATTTTATTTATTTATTTATTTTTGAGACGGAGTCTCGCTCTTGTCACCCAGGCTGGAGTGCAGTGGCGGATCTCGGCTAAACAATTCACAGTCTTGTGCAATATTCTGTTTTGTTCATTTATTACACTTAGGATGAAGTGTCACACTTTGTGAGGTGATTTTTTTCCCTTGTCATTTGCCACTTGCCTAAGTGTACTTCGCTGTCTGACAGTACTGAATCAGGTCAGTTTTTAGGTGGCAGCAATTTATAAATAACCTTCTCTTTCCAAAGAAGAAGCAACAGCTTATTAGTGGTTTGTTTATGAAGCTTGCTTTTAGTTTTAGGCAGCCTGGATGTTAATTGTCTAATCAGAGTTGTGTTTCACCATAAACACTAATGTGGTCAGTGTTTGAGTTTCTGTTTCTCTTTCTTGGACTGGTATTGAAAGACATAACTGATTTTAGATGTCTAAGCAATGGCTTTTCTTTGTATTTGCTGTCATGTCTCCTTATTACCATGGTCTGTGGGGACTGGTGTATGAAAGTGATTTTATTGTCAGAGTGGCTTCCAGTTCTTGGGGCATTAAGACATTTCCAGTAATTTCTGTGGTTGCAGAGATAAAGTTGTTAGTGGGAAGTGTGGACCCCAGTGTAGTCAAGGTCTGGGTTGGTTGGACTTCGAATCTGTGAACACCCATTGTCTCCTTGGCTTTGGCAGATGCATCCTGGTTGCTCCTTTTGTAGTACTGCTCTTATTTCCTTCTGTGTCATTGGCTCTCTCATTCTTCACCAGAAATTGTTTTTTCATTTTGTTTTTAATTTTCTTTACCCAGAATATAACTCAATTCAGAATTGACTAGGTCTTCAAGAGAAGGAATCAAAAAGTTAGAATACGGGCCAGACGTGGTGGCTCATCCCAGTGCTTTGGGAGGCCAAGGTGGGAGGATCACCTGAAGTCAGGAATTTTGAGATCAGCCTAGGCAATACATTGAGACCCTGTCTCTACAGAAAATTAAAACATAAGCCAGGTGTGGTGACACGCACCTGTAGTCAAAGCTACTCTGGAGGCTGAGGTGAGAGGATCGTTTGAGTCCAGGAGTTTGAGGTTGCAGTGAGCTTAGTTACACCCATTGCACTACAGCCAGGATGACAGAGCAAGACCTTGTGTCTTAACAGAAAAACAAAACTTAGAAGTTGCTTCCTGTTATATTTCTAACTTTGACCCCAATTAAGTTTATCACTGAAGCCCTAATTTTTCTTTCGCTCAGTTACCCACCTAGGGGCCTCATCACTTTTTCTTTCAGTCTTTTGGTCATGAATATCAAAAATTTAATGTTTTAAATTAATTATGTCCCATCCAAGGTGTTGACTGTGTTGACTTCTGCTTAGAAGAGCAGGGTGATGAGTCAAGGCCACTGTGCCAACCCAAAGGGACAGGAGGTACCACTGTAAAGGTTCAACCAAGAATGGTGAGAACCATAATTCAAGACTTCACACTGGTGATTGTATTCTGGTGTGGACACTGTCCACACTAAAGATTGTGAGATGTTTTCAGGACCTTCTACAAGAAAACGTGATGGTTTTTGGGAAATAATGATTCAGTACTTGTAATATCTTTATATAGGTTTTAAATAGTGTTTCCTTGTAATATCTTTATATAGGTTTTAAATAGTGTTTTTAGAAAACTGAGAGATTAAAGATAAGAGCTTAGGCCTTTTCCCACTTGGATACTTGACATGTTGTTTACAGTCTTTGAAACATGTTGGTATTGTAAAGCAGTACTGCTAGCACTGTTACTTCTTTCATAGATGTTTGGGGTGATTATTAATGGAGACTTAGTTTTTCTCCAAATTTTCTTCTGTTCAGTGAAGTCACTGTAGTCACTGTAGATTTGAAGATATAACAACATTAAATGATTTAAGTACTTTTTATATGCATATTTGAGGGAGTGAGTAAAACTATTAGAATATTAAAAATTTTTTTTTTGTTATACTGAAGTCCTACAAGTGGCTCCAATGTGTGGAAGCGTAGGTGTTGAGTAGAGGTCAAGGTGAATGGTGGGAGAGACACCAAAGTCTTTCAACGAGAGTTTTGAATTGGTGATGAATCAGTGGTGAAGAACTTGGGATTATTTTTGGAATGTTTTATCAGCTCTTGATTGACAGAATACACTCTCGTTCTCAGTTTTTTTTAACAACACTATTAATAACAGTACTGACTAGATTTATTACTAAAAACCAGCTCGGGTGTTTGTCCAGTAAGTTTACTGTCTTTGAAGGAAAAGCATTTTTGTACCAACAAAATTTTGAGCATTGACATGGAGTTAATTATAATCAGATTTGGCTTTTTAAAGCCTAACTATTTTTTTTTTTTTAAAGATAATTGTGGGTTAAACATTAATTTAAAACTGTCTTGGCCAGGCAGGGTGGCTCACGCCTGTAATCCCAGCACTTTGGAAGGCTGAGGCTGGTGGACCACCTGATGTCAGGAGTTGAAGACCAGCCTGGCCAACATGGTGAAACCCTGTCTCTACTAAAAATACAAAAATTAGCCAGGTGGTAATGGTGCACGCCTGTAATCCCAGCTGAGGCAGGAGAATCACTTGAGCCTGGGAGATGGAGGTTGCAGTGAGCTAAGATTGCGCCACTGCACTCCAGCCTGGGCGACAGAGTGAGACTATCTCAAAAAAAGAAACAAAACCCCAAAACATATCTTACTTTAATATTGCTCTGTTTTAATTTGTGTTACTGTTCTTCGTCATGGAAGATGCTGAAATACTCTCGTCTCATTGCATGAACTGTCTGGTATCCGTTTTGACTTCCCTGTTTCCCTTTGTGTCTTAGATGGGGGATTTTCAGGCACACCAAGACAGCGTTCTCTGATGGCGATAAGCCCTTTGATCTTTTCCCCAATACTTAACACTTTTTGCTAATGTGTTAGAAGAATTTCTTCTTTCCATTCTCCTAATCTCTTCCTGCTTCTACCCATGCCAATATACTTCCTCAAGACATATGGGGATTAAAACGTAGGAATATTCAAAGCAGCTACTTATACAGAGTTTTATGTAGATTGTTACATAATTTTTTTGTTGCACTTAATATTATTCTTAAACCCTGGGTATCCTGCTCAGGACTACAATTTGTCTGCAAAATAGACAAAATAGGATGATTCATTTTTTGAGACAAGGTCTTGCTCTGTCACCCAGGCTAGAGTGCAGTGGCATGATCTTGGCCCACTGTAACCTCTGCCTCCCAGGTTCAAGCAATTCCCCTGCCTCAGCCTCCTGAGAAGCTGAGATTACAGGCATGCACCATCATGCTTGGCTAATTTTTGTATTTTTTAGTAGAGACATGGTTTTGCCATGTTGGCCAGGCTAGTCTTGAATTCCTGACCTCAAGTGATCCCCCAACCTCGGCCTCCCAAAGTGCTAGGATTACAGGTGTGAGCCACCATGCCTGGCCCTAAATTAGGATGATACTAATGATAGCAACAACAACATCAACCACCGTCCCTACTGTTCTGCAGCCGCTGGACCTTGGGCTCACTTGCTTTGTGCCTGTGATTTTGTTCACTGTCTGCATATACAGGCACATTTGCTCATAATGACCTCAGAAGTTTATGGCAACTTCCTGTGGTTGGCATTGTAGCCCTCTTCATTTATTAGACGAACAGAAACTGAGGCACTGAGAGCTCATGTGACCCATTCAATGTCACCCACTAGTCAGTGAAAATGTGTGGATTTGAATCTTTGTCTTCTGACCTCCAGGGCTGCCCCCTCAAATTTCTCCTGCCGCTCTTCAGCCTGAGAGGCACGCCCGTCCTTTGGAGTGGAACTCACCTCTTTCCATTGACTTGACCCAGACAGACTCCTCCTGTCTGCATTTCCACAGCATTCACATTCCTTCTGGGTCTTTTTTTTTTTTTGAGATGGAGTCTCGCTCTGTCACCCAGGCTGGAGTGCAGTGGCACAATCTCTGCTCACTGCAAGCTCTGCCTCCCAGGTTCATGCCATTCTCCTGCCTCAGCCTCCCGAGTAGCTGGGACTACAGGCGCCCGCCACCATGCCCGGCTAATTTTTTCCTTCTGGGTCTTAAGACCTCCTCACACTGATACTTGTTGCCTTACAAGTAGACCTGCCTCCAAAAGTTAACCCGTTGGCTATGTGGAAATTGAAGTGCAGCCTTTCATGGAAATGGGGGTGTTTATTATCTCTTGCCGACGTACTGAATGCTTTCTAGAGCTGAAATATTTTTGCCAACAGATAGAATTGCAAAGGACTGTTTTGCCATTTCTAGTGGATGTAGATGTTTAGGGCAAATGGTGTTAATCCAAGGAGTAACAGTGTACTTTTGGGTCAATAGTCTGTTTTTTTTTGTTGTTTTTTTAGATGGAGTCTTGCTCTGTCACCCAGGCTGGAGTGCAGTGGTGCGATCTTGGCTCACTGTAACCTCCGCCTCCCAGGTTCAAGCGATTCTTCTCTCAGCCTCCTGAGTAGCTGGGATTACAGGCATGTGTCACCATGCCTGGCTGATTTTTGTATTTTTTAGTAGAGATGGGGTTTCACCATGTTGTCCGGGCTGGTCACAAACTCCTGAGCTCAAGTGATCTGCCTGCCTTGGTCCCCCAAAGTTCTGGGATTATAGGTGTGAGCCACCGCACCCTGCCTGCAATCATATTTTTGGTATTCTCATGTTATAATTCTCTTATAGTTGATATAGAGTGATTGAATATTGCTTTTTTAAAAAAATATTTTCAACTTTTATTTTGGATTCAGGAGATATATGTGCAGGTTTGTTGCATGGATATATTGCGTTATGTTGAGGTTTGGGGTATGGATGATCCCGCAATCCAGGTAGTGAGCATAGTACCCAGTAGGTAGTTCTTCAGCGCATGTCCTTTTCCCTTCCTCCCTCTTCTAGTAGTGTTCAGTGTCTATTGTTCCCATCTTTATGTCCAGGTGTACTTAAAACATTGTTTACTTTTAGGTTCTGCCTTCGTACATTTATATGGTCATTTACTGAATAACAATATTTTGGTCAATATTGCATTGCATATAGGATGATGGTCCCATAAGATTATAATCCCATATTCTTATTGTACTTTTTCTTTGGTTAGATACGTTTAGATATACAAATACTTACCATTGTGTTTCAGTTGCATAGGGCATTCAGTACAGTGACATCTTGTACAGGTTTGTATCCTAGGAGCAAATAGGCTGTAACATAATAGCTTAGGTGTGTAATAGGGTATACCTCCAGGTTTATGTAATATACTCTATGATGTTCACACAACAATGAAATCACCTAACCAGAATGTATCCCTGTTGTTAAGTGACATGACTGTATCATAAAGTAGAAAAATGGAGTAGAACAACTGGAAGAGATCTTTCAGTGTAAAAATAGAGTTAGAAGATATTCAGAAGAAATTCACACTCTGCTAATATGTAACTTTGTAGTGTCAGAGTGATGTCATAGAATTGAGGAAATGCTCATTGATATTTAAGTGAATGTTAGAAAATGTACTTTTTCTTCTAATTTCTCATAGAACAAGGATCTATGAATCTGCCGAAAGTATATCCAGAACGAAACAACTCTGTGCATGTTTTTATGGAGAAAGTTCATTTGTAGCTTTATTAGATTAACAAAGTGTTCTATAAGCAGCACTTCACACAGTTCACACCATGTGGCACATAGCGGGCACATGGTGTGAACAAAAGAATAAATATAAAGAAAACACGTGATGAGCCCAGCCTTATAAGCTGGTGCAAAGTTGTCTACTCAGAAATAATAGTTAAAAAGTATAGTTGACCCTTGAACAACTTGTGTTTGAACTGCTTGGGTGTACATATGCATGGATCTTTTTCAGTAAGTATATTGGAAAAATTTTTGGAGATTTGGCATGTTAAAAATTTTAGATGAACTATGTAGCGAGATAAGGAAAAAAATTTAAAAATATATGTCATGAATGTGTAAAATATATATATAGATACCCTGTCATTTACAACCATAAAATATACAAAAATCTGTTACAAGAAGTTAAAATTTATCAAAACGTCCATATACACAGAGCATACGTGGTGCCATTCACAGTTGAGAGAAATGTAAGTAACCATAAAGATGCAATATTAAATCGCAACTGCATAAAATTAACTGTAGCACAGACTGCACTACTATAGTAATATCATAGCCCCCTCCTGTTGTTACTTGCAGTGAGCTCGAGTGTTGTGCGTGTCTGCTTAAAGTGCAGTGTGATGCTCATCATCTCCTTGTGAGCAATTTGTCTTCCCAGGAAATTGCATATCACAATAAAAAGTAATTGCTCTTGGTTCTCATGCATTTTTCATCATGTTTAATATGAAACTGTAAACCTTGAATAACGCCAAGGGACCCATGTGAAGTGCCACTAGTGATGCTGGAAATGCTCCCAAAAAAGGAGAGAAAAGTCATGACATTAGAACAAAGAGTTGATATGTACCATAGATTGAAGTCTGCAGCTACTGCAGTTGCCCACCATGTCAAGATAAATGAATCCAGTGTAGGGACCATTATAAAAAACAAGAAAGGAAATTCCTGAAGCCGTTGCTGCAGGTATGCCAGCAGGCACAAAAACCTTGTACTTTTGTGAAATACCTTTTCATCTCATATTGAAAATGCGGCTTTTATGTGGATGCAGGATGGTTAAAGGAAAAGCACCTATTGACTAATATGATTTGAGAAAAAGTAATGTCATTACATGGCAAGTTAAAGCAACAAGAAGCTGAAGGATTTAAAGCTGGAGAATTTAATGCCAGCAAAGGATGGTTTGATAATTTTTTAAAGAGGCTTGGCTTAAAAAAATGTTCAGCTAACAGAAGTATTAATAACTTCTGCCAACCAAGAGGCAGCAGACGAGTTTCCAGATGCACAATCATTGAGGAGAAAGAGTGTCTGCCTAAACACGGTTTTAATGCAGACGAAAGTGCTGGAAAAAATGCCAGCAAAAGATATTTATTAGTAAGGAAAAGGATCAAGCACTAGGATTTAAGTCCAGAAGAGATAGGCTAACTCAATTGTATTGAGCAGAGGCAGTCAGGACTGCCCTCATCTACAAAGCTGCTAACCCCTGAGCCTTGAAAGGAAAAGATAAACACCAGCTGCCAATCTTTTGATTGCACAACATAAAGGCCTGGACACTGGGAACACTTTTCCAGATTGTTCTATTGATACTTTGTCCCTGAAGACAGGAAGTACCTTGCCAGTAAGGGACTGTCGCCTTTTAAAGTTCTTTTGATATTGACCAACGCCCCTGGCTACCCAGAGCCCCAGGAGTTCAAGGCGTTGAAGTAGTCTAGTTGCCTCAAACACAATGGCTCTAATTTAGACCTGTAAGGCTCATTACACACAGTACCCTTTGGAAAGGATGGTCGTTACTATGGAAGGGACCACTGATAGAACATTATTATGAAAGTCTGGAAGAATTACCAATGAAGGTGCCTTCCTTGTGATAGAAATATCGTGAAAGCCAGTAAATCCCAAATAACAAATTCTTGCTGGAGACAACTGGGTCCAGATATTGTGAATGACTTCACAAAATTGACAACAAAGCCAGTTAAGGAAATCATTAAAGAGATTGTGGATATGGCCAAAAAAGTGGGGGATGAAGGACTTCAAGATATCAGTCTCAGAGAAATTCAGGAGCTCATAGATACCACAGCTTAGGAATTAATAGAAAATAACTTGATGGAGATGAGTATTTCCGAACCAGTGCCTGATCATGAGGAAGAAGACAGAGACGAAGCAGTGCCAGAAAACCAAAATTACACCATCTGACAGAAGGGTTCTGATTATTCAAGACTATTTTTGACTTCTTTTATAATATGGACCCTTCTGTGATATGTGTACTGTAATTAAATCGAACAGTGGAAGAAGGGTTGGTATTGTATGGAAATATTTTTAGAGAAAAAAAACAGAAAAAGTCAGACATTGTGATGTATTTCTGTAAAGTGACACAGTGGTGCCTGTCTCTCCTGCCTCCCTTTCCACCTTCTCCACTTCTTCTGCCTCTGCCACCCCTGAGACAGCAAGACCAACCCCTCCTCTTCTTCCTCATGAAGATGATGACGATGAAGACCTTTATGATGGTCCACTTCCACTTAATGATTATTAAATATATTTTCTGCCAGGCATGGTGGCTTAGGCCTATAATCCCAGCACTTTGGGAGGCTGAGGCAGGAGGATCACTTGAGGTCAGGAGTTTGAGACCAGCCTGGTCAACACTGTGAAACTCCGTCTCTACTAAAAATACAAAAATTAGCCGGGCTTGGTGGTGCACACCTGTAATCCCAGCTTCACAGGAGGCTGAGGCAGGGGAATTGGCTTGAACCTGGGAGGTGGAGGTTGCAGTGAGCCAAGATTGCACCACTGCACTCCAGCCTGGGTGACAGAACAAGACTCCATCTCAAAAAAAAAAGTAAAGTAAAAAATATATTCTTTGCCTTATGATTTTCTTAATAATATTTTCATTTCTCTAGGTTTACTTTATTATAAGAATTCAGTGTGGAATACATATAACACACAAAATAGGTGTTAACTGTTTCATGATAGTGGCTAGGCTTCCAGTCAACAGTAGGCTTTGGTAGTTAAGTTTTTGGTGAGTCAAAAGTTATACTCAGATTTCGACTGTGTGGGGGGTTTGCATCCCTGCATTGTTCTAGGGTCACCTGTTTAATAGCACTGGGGTGATAATGCACATGTGTCCTTGTTAGAGAAAGAGCTCATGGGCCTCCTTGTGGTGTTGAGTACTGCTGATCCAGCTATTCCATGCTACTTTTCTTTCCCTAGTTTTGTGAAACCCTGTTTCCTTGATTTTATTTATATTCTTTAGTCAGTTCTCAAAATCCTTTGAAAGTGGTTTGGAGGAAGGGAAGAGGAACCTGCAATCTCAGCAGTTACCCAGGTTTGAGTTCTGATTTCCATGGGTGATCCGCATTCAGATTGGATGAAACCTGTGGCTTCAATTGTACCTAAGTGTGGACGGCACCCAATTACAAGTAGTTAGCCTCGAACTCTTTTTTGTACCATGGACTCCCATCTCCAGTTGTGTCCCAGGAACTGGCTGAGAGCATGTGATAGTTTTCCCTGTAACTGAATGCATCATCTTTTGTTTTTGTTTGTCCTTGTGCCTGTCCTCTGCCCAACCACCCAAATGACAAACCTAGACACCTAAAATCTGTCATTTTCCTTCATAATGGCACCCATCCACCACATACCAAGTCCTTTTAAATAAGTCTCCATTCTGCATTTGAATAATTATACATCCTGATTGTCTTTTCACCACCTTTCCATTAGCCTTGGCCCTCATGACTTCTTCATTATTAGACTAATGAGCTACGAGTGTTTACCCTCCTAGTCCTTCTCCATACCCCTTGAAACCTCGTGCAGAATAAATGCAAGTTAAACTGCTGTGTGTTAATGACACCCCGCAGTTTTCAGGATAAAGTCTATATGGCTTAACTTAGTTGTCTTTCATCTTCCCCTCTTGATTACCTCAGTCTCTTGAAACTTTCTCAAATATTAGTAACATTTCTTAAAAACTTGCTACTTACAGGAAACATCCTAAGCAATTTGTCATAATCAAATGAAATTTATGGGGAAAAAACAAAACAAAACAAAACAAAACAAAACCTATCACTACTGAGCCCAGAGGAGTGAAGAAGTTACCTAGGGCCACGCAGCTGGTGAGTTGTTTGAGGCTGACTCATCTTGAGAGCTCATTCATGATTAGCAACCTTGTGGTGGTAGAATGAGTGGAATTCCTGGCAAACCGCAGGATAAAGTGTCTCCATCTCCATTATTCTGGGTCACTTGTGTGGACGTTGTCTTGGGAAGCAAATGAAGGCAAGTAGAGGGTTTGGCTTTCCTTAGAATAGATTTTCTTTAAAACTTAAAATTTTTAAACTCTTTGTGCTTGACTAAGTCCATTAGATGGCACTAGTATTTACCTTCCAGAAGATTGGCATTAAATTTCAGTATTAAAGCAATTTGTGGATTGGGGGAAATATTTAACTTGCAAGTTATTTCTTTTACCTGTCAAATATGGGAGTGAAAAGATGGGCACACAATATTTATTCTGTGTTCAGTTTTTTAAAAACATTGCTAAACAGGTTATACTAATGAAGAGTTGATAAAAAGAATTTTATTATTTAGTTACTTTTTGAATAAACCTGCCAGTTGATTAAAATGAGCCTAATTTAATCAGTATTGTATTGCATACTGAAGATAATTTAGGCTAATGTCAAGGACACCGTTATCTCTCCTTTGTAGAAGGTGTTGAAATAATGAGAGTAGCAAAAAAGGAGTCAGAAAATGAAGTTTTTCATCTTTGCCCCTGGGTGGGTATTTAAAAATCACACCCTTCCTTCTTGCATGCAAATTAAACTGAAAGTCATTTTGTACTGTAATATTAACCTTACATTTTACAAAATAAATTTATTGAACTTTGATCTTTTGCTAATATTGGTTTGTGGTTGTCAGAATGAATTTGAGGTTTTCATTGTGTGTCATTTTCACCTGGACTTTCATTCAGAACTTGAAGTGAACAGAAGTGGTGGGTTTGATATATCTTAATTTGAAAATAAATCACTGTTAAGCAGCAACTCCTAGTTCTACTTTCTTCTTTTTTTCTGAATCACTTTTTTCTTCTCTATCTACCCTCCCCACTCCAGCCCATGTCTTAATAGAATCATCTGAATTCCTTTCTTCCTTTAAAGTAGTTAAACGGCCCTCAGTTTTTCTTGTGATGCTTTTAGATGGAAGCTAAGTCATTGCTGAGGTTCTTGTTCAAATTGTGAAGTCAGCAGGTAAAGGGATTATGAACTCCCAAGTGAGTCCCCTATACAAAGGGCAGGTTGCCTTGGAAACAAGGCTAGTTCTTAGAGTTGGAAATACCATCTTGTCTTTAAATGCCAGGGCTGGTGATGTGCTGACCCCTGCTGCATCATCTCTAGACCTAACATTGTGTGGAGAAGTTTTCCATGACTTTGTGCAAATTGCTTAACTGCTTCCCAGTTCTGATTGATTGGCCAAAGCCACAGCCAAGTTTTCTTTTCTAGTGCTTCTCATTTTAAATATAATTTGCAAAATTTAGGACTAAGGAAGTGATCCTTCAAGTTTCTATTTTAGAATGAAAAGTTTTCCACTACTGATTGCCAAAAAATAAAGTATAGAGTTTACCAGATGGCAAGACATTTTAGTGATGAGTCATTTTTTACAAGTTCAACAATGGAATGAGTGATGCGTTAAGGAAGCCCAACGAGGGAATGTCTCGGTTCTGTGAGATGGTATTACTTGATGGTAGAGACGGAATTACCCTTGTTTCTGACGACACTGGATATGAACTGTAGCAGGGAGCTCAACGGTACAAGTTGGTAGGAGGAGGCAGTTGTAGCTTAAGTGGGACTCCTACTTTCCCTGCATCTAAACATTCGTAACTTGCTGGTGGCACAGCAGGAGGAGGGTTTGAGGGTGGTGTGTGGGTATGGAGACAAGGGCTCCCCACCCGTGGAACCAAGCCCTGGTTTACTATATCCAGCTAGCTGAAGAGGTAAAAAGACTAGAAAGAAAGGGCCTTCCTAACTAAAGATCTCAGCTCTGAAAGACTAGAAAGGAAGGGCCTTCCCACTAAGGATCTCAGCTCTGTTTTTGTGGACTCACCAGTGGATGCAGACATTCAGAGGAGCAGGAGAGCAGGGCATGCTCCTGCCTGGTCGTGACTGTCCTGCTATGTTTCTGGGTTGTGCATTCACATTGGCAGCTTTTCATGCCCTGGGACTATTACAGCGTAGGGACTGGGGGAGATTTCAGGATGTGACTTATGCCTGGGAGTGAAGGGAGTGGTGTTTAGTGGAGATTAGGAAGAAGATGGAAAGTATTTCACCCCCAGTTGCTTGCTCACTAACGTTTAACATTGTGATTGGTGCTGTGGGTTTTGGTGGTGGTTGTCTTTTAATTACAGTTTAGAGAGGCTGTGTGTGTGTCTGTGTATGAGAGAAAGAGAGATTTTGGTTTATCTCGTTAAGACCTATCTATTTCCTACATGGTGTTGGATTTTTTTTTTTTTTTTTTTTTTTTTTGATACGGAGTCTCTCTCTGCCACCAGGCTGAAGTGCAGTGGTGCGATCTTGGCTCACCGCAACCTCCATCTCCCACGTTCAAGCGATTCCCCTTGCCTCAGCCTCCCGAGTAGCTGAGACTGCAGGTGTGTGCCACCACGCCCAGCTAATTTTTGTATTTTTAGTAGAGACGAGGTTTCACCATGTTGGCCAGGATGGTCTCCATCTCTTGACCTCATGATCTACCTACCTCTACCTCCCAAAGTGCTGGAATTACAGGCATGACCCACCATGCCTGGTGGACTTTTGATTAATAAAAATATTTTGGCCGGGCACAGAGGCTCACGCCTCTTAGAAAAAAAAAATCTTTTTTTTTTCTTTTAAGCAAAATCCCTACTGCAGACTGTGTTGTTAATTTAAAGAGTTACTATTGAGGGATTCTCTTATTTATCATTTGTTAATGCAGGCATTTCTGGATACACGTAAACATATGAATTGTCAAGCTAAATTGTTCACAGATTAGAACACTATGCTGTTGACCCCTGTTTCCACGTTACTCCCTCTTAGATATGTTGGAAGGTTGGCAGAGTGGCAAGGCTGGAACATATACCCATAGGTGAGGTACTGCTCTAATATCACAAACCATGGGGCTAGAGCCTGAGACGGGTTTGAGGTCAAGTTTCCTGGTACTGTGTACGAGAAAGTCTATCCACACTTTGCCATTCTTGGCTTAGCCAGTAGGAACATTCGCTAGTCTTTAATGTGCTCATGGTATTTTAGTGTTCTTTTCTAAGTTTTAGGTCTTTTTTATCAGACAGTATATACCCTTCTTAATATGCTGATGAAGCGTGGAATTAATCTCACATGCATAACATTTAAAGTTTTCCAGTGGCAAGCTTAAGATTCTTGTTCTGTAGCGAGTTTTTATTGGTATAGTTTGTATTACTATGATTACAAAACATCATTGGTTCAAATATATCCTTTTGCTTACTCGTCCAGTTAAACACTAGCTCTATTTAAATGAGTTTTTAATGAACCATGCTAGCAAGTAAGGCTCAGAGAATGATTAAGGATTTAGTATTGTCTCTGTGTCATTAAAGTAAATTCAGTCATCAGAAAGCTTACAAATTGATTTTTAGTTCCCTTTTTGTTGTGTCTACGTAATAATTAGTTACTACATCATCGCATTTGCTTCTGAGATTATTCATCTTGCCCATTTGCCAGTCTTACCATGTTCTCTTTGAGGGAACACTGCATGTGTTCATGATAAAATCACAACTCGTGCCACTTCCTCCAGTTTGGAGTCAACCTATCTGTATGTGATTAGCCCATTTCTGAATTATTTTGTTCTGTCTTACTGTGCTATCCTACTTTTTATTAATACTTAAGCAGTAGTGTTATGTAGTTGTAACCTCATGGGTGGATACCAGTGTAACAGTGGCACTCATGATAGAGAGTAGAGCAAGAGGGGTTTATATTATATTTGGCAGGTGGGTCAGTTAGCTGATGGCTATACGAATTTGCATATTTTCATTGTGGTTTGTGGTTGACATACTCAAGGCTATTAGTTGAACATAAGTCTTAAACTGGGAATCTAATTAGTCTGAAGGCTCAGTGGGTGATAGACTATGTCACCCTGAGGGACAACAGAATTAAATTTCAGCTCTGAAATGTAAGCATCAGGGCTAGGGAGTATCATAGGTGAATATCTTTCACTGTGGTTTCCAGATGCAGTGGAATATCTCTATTAGGCATGAGTGTTCAAGAAATACTTTCTTCTTAAAGGATGGCATTAGCTCTTGTCGGACAGGTCTCCCTTTGGCAATTGACAGATAGAAGCTTATGATGATGGTGGTCTCCTGTGTTGTTCAGGAAGCAGCGGGAATGTTCTGCCCTCTCCTGCATGATATTTTGCTGGAAATGGCTTTATTAAAGATTGATCTCATTTAGCTCCCTTTCTTATGTTGGATAATACACTGTGATAATCTACAAAAGCATGTTAGTGTTTGGTTAGTTTTTCTTTTATGTAAGTGCCACAGGTTATCACGTGTGCTTTATGGGAGACAAGTGTAAATGAAATCTTAAAAAAAAATAAGAGATAGAAAAAGGGGAATTCAGAAACTCAAATACTTGATCTAATTTATAATTTTTTTGGACATCCTTGAGTGAAAGGGCAGAAGAATTTAAATGTATTGGTAGGTATGATCCTAATTATAGAAATCTATAATTTATAAACTATGGAGACGAAAAGTGATTTTTGAATTAGTGATAGTTTAGAATTATACATCATGGAACAGCCTGACTTCAAACTTAAAAAATGCATGTATCTCCAACTCCTTTAGTTTTATTGTTAAGTTTTTGAAATTTATTTCATTATGCTCTAGTTCTCCCATATCTGTTGAATTTTCTTTCTATTCTCTTCTGTTACATTCTTCTTTATAGGCACATCTGCCCATGACATCTCCCTGTCATCTCTCAAACACGCACTTTCTGTGTTGTGCTTCTTGTTGACTAAGCCGCTGGATCTGGCTTGACTCATGGAGGCTGCTCATGTTTCTTAGATGAAGAGAGGGTCATGGAGGCATCTTCAAGTTTATTCTTGTTTCTAGTATTCTCCAACATGTTTTGTACTTTATCCAGGGCCAAAATATGATGCCTTTTTAAAAGAATTATAAGTCTTTATTTCATAGGAAAACAATTGCATATATTGACATTGAGTGTCCAATGACACCCATCATAATTGACTTTCCCTGGATATGTCTAGCTTATACATGAAGAAAGCAATGGAAAGTGAGAGATTGCTCACAGGGTGTCACATTAAAATGGCTTCTCAGGGTGTGTGGAGTTTGAACCTAGAGGTCTTTGAGATTTCACTTAGACTTGGCTTAAATCAGCTTTCATTTTCCTGTATGAGGGTAGAATCTGCAAGTTCTTTGATCCTTTTAAGCCCTCTGTTTAAGACTGAGTGATGGCACCAGCAGGATGAATTGTCTGTGATGATCTTCATTACCCTCAGATATGTTCAGAAAAATTTTAAGTGGTGTCATCAAAATTGCATTAATTTGGTAAAGGCAGGTTATTACGTTTGATTAATCAAAAACGAACAGAATCCTATTCAGAGGTCTGCAGATAATCTTAGTTTGTAGCCTGCCAGTGCCCTGTGCTGTGGATATGTTAGATGCTCCAGAGCAGGAAGATTTGGAGAAAATAGGATCTTTGACTTGATTTCCCATCTCAAATTTATTCTGTATTTATTTATATGCTAGTCAGATTCATCTCTCTGAGGCTCGGCTTTGCTTCCTGTTAAGTGAAATAATAAAAACGACTTTGTGTTTCTGTGGGGCCCTCTAGAGGAGGATGTAGAGCGTCTGTGGAAGGTCTTCATTTTGTGCCATATCTATGTTGAACATGCATTTTCTAGCATGCTGTCTTCTTTCCGTGTTCTTTTTCCCATTACTATTCCTGTGTAGATCCAAGACACAGCGATTGAGCTTTGCATCTGTCTTCTTTACTCTTGAAACTATTCTCATATTTACAAAAGTAGAACGTATTTATCATCCATCACAATATAATTTAATAAAAGCTCATAGTAAACATACTTATTGTGTTCTGGAAGTTGTATACCTTATCTCTTTATTTGTCCTACATCTGGCAGAGCAGGCATAAGTGGCTGAAAACAATGCAAATTCATTACCTGGCAATTCTGCTTGGTAGAAGGCTGACATGGGTCAGAATGCCATAAAATCAGTGTGTTAACCGTGCTCCTTTCTCGAGGCTCTAGGGGAGAATCTATATCCTTGCCTTCTAAATGCTGCTCACTTTCCTTGGCTCATGACTCCCTTTGTTTGTCTTCAAGGTGGGCAGTGTAGTATTTCTCTGGCCATCATCACGTTTCTCTCTGGCCGCAGCCAGGCGTGGCTCTCCATTTTTCCAGACTTATGTAATTAGATGGGGCTCTACCTGGATAATGAAGGATAATCTTTCCATTTTAAGGTTCTTAACCTCCATCCTGTCTGCAAAGTCCCTTTTTCATAGAAGGTAACATTCACTGGTTCCAGGAGTTTGGACATGGATAACTTTGGGGAGACCATTATTCTGTCTACCCACAACCACCATCCTCTTTTCCAAATGAGGAGAGTAAGGTCTGGAGGTGTTAGAGAGGCCACTGGATTTACCAACAGCTACCCAAAAAATAAGGTCAGAGCTGGCTTTGAATGTAGCTTTTTCTGATTCTCCATTGCTGTTAGCCACTTTGCTACATGCAGTTGTGGGCTTTCAGGTCTTAATTTTACCTATTAAAGGGACTTCCCTAGATCCAAGGGTTTTATAAGCATTTCTGTGTGATGTTTCTATAAGAGGTTTTCTGTTGGGGGGTTCTGATGTTTCATAGTTAAAGTGACTTGTCCTGAGGTAGGGGAAAGTGGGTGACAATGTTTAGAGTTTATTTCTACTTGGGCTATTGTAGGTGTTATCCAAATTCTGCCTGTCTTTTCTCATGGAGACTTGATAGATGAATGGAACAGAAGAGAGATTAATAATTATTGCAAGGAAAAAAATGAACATTCAAAATGATCTACTTTGTGGACAGCAGTGAAGATTCCATCTGTTAAATTAGAATTTGAGTAACATTTCACAAATTTAAAAGACTTTTCCTTTACTTTTTGAAGGGCATGATGGAGATTTTTAATACGCAGTTTTTTGTGAAGGTTCCCCCCACCTTTTTTTTTTTTTTTTTTTGCTGTGTTACTATATGCATTCTTATAGAGTAGATTTTCTAAAATTATATATCTTTCCCAGTTTAACACAAAATTATTTCATATTGGGACCTGGCACTTAAATTTTGGTTTAAAAGAAAGCTGTGCAATTGTATGTTATTGGCATATTGCAAATCACCAACTGTGGTTCTATAATGTTTTCTAAAAATGCTGGAGATAATTATTGAAACTAATATATATGTATAAGCTCTTCCATCATGTGGCATTTAAAGACTTATTCTTTGTAATTTTCAATCTCCATTTTCAGTTTGCAGAAAGGACTCGATTCTTGAGAGAACACATCATTGTGAAAAGTTAATAACAAAACATGAATTTCATTTGCTTCCAATTAAGCACCAAAATGTCAAAACTTAATATCTTCAAAATGCATATTAAGCCACACACCTTATGAAAAGTATGATGATATTAAAATCAAGTATAGCAATCCAAAATCTTCATGCAGAGCTTGAAATGAGTATTTTAGTTTTTTGAGGCTACAAAGGTACCTTGACTTTTAGTTTTATTGCTCAAACTGAAACTAAAATTGCATGTTACTAGAAAGATGGGCTGGGTTGTCAAACTAGGGACCATGGGCCAAATTTGGCCTGTTTATTTTATAAATAAAGTTTTATTCAAATGTAGTCACAGTCATTTGTTTTTGTATTGTCTATGGGTGCTCTTTCATACTATAATTAGTGAGTAGAGTAGTTATGAAAGAGACGGTATGGGCCACAGCTCCAAAAATATTTACTGTCTTATTCTTTTCGAGAAAGTTTGCCCATTGACCCCTAATCTAGTGGAATGTCTGTGTCTCTAATACAGGCAGACACTTGCAAGTCACTGTCAGATAAACTGATTTTACTATATATGGATGTTTTGGTGTATACGTATGCATACCTTTCCCTTTTTTTTGTAACTATTAAGGACTTCTTTTCTGATTTATGTTGTTCATTATAAGGTTGAGTGGCCCAATTATTCATCCTACTGTGATTTCTTCATACCAATTACCGTGGTATGGTATGAACCCTGGTACTGGTTCTTCCAGATTGTTTAATCAGCTGATTCTATCTATACGTCAGCAGGTTTCTGAGCTTCCTGTCTCTTTGTGACTGTACAATGGTTTTCTTTGTTGTGTCGATGATAAATGGATTGATGATATATAAATGTTCATGGAAATAGCATTTGTTCCAAACGACAAAGCCATTTATAAAATGAGGACTGTAATTATGAGTCCTACTCATATTCTGTACATTCGCGTTTCTGTTTTTGACCTGAGACAAGTGTTGGCCTTGAAAAAGCTTGGATTGGAGGCAGGAGAGGGGTTTATTTTGGTTCCAGTCATGGTTCTTTTCTTGGAAGGCTAAGCTGAGTTGCTAGGTGTGGGATTGAAGGGTGAAGCTCCAAGGTGGCAGCCAGTGTGGATCCTTAGAAGTTTTTTACTCTTTGGGATTTATTTTCTATTTTTATGTTATGTTATGTTATGTTATGTTATGTTATGTTATGTTATGTTATGTTATGTTATGTTATTTATTTTGAGATGGAGTCTCGCTCTGTTTCCCAGGCTGGAGTGCAGTGGCAGGATCTTGGCTCACTGCACCCTCCGCCTTCTGGGTTCAAGCAGTTCTCCTGCCTCAGTCTCCCGAGTAGCTGGGATTACAGAAGCGTGCCACCACACCTGGCTAATTTTTTATGTTTTTGGTAGAGATGGGTTTCATCATGTTGGCCAGGCTGGTCTTGAACTCCTGAACTCAAATGATCCGCCCGCCTAGGCCTCCCAAAGTGCTGGGATTACAGGCGTGAGCCACCGCGCCTGGCCTACGCTTTGGGATTTATAAGAAGTATATTAGCATTTTAAGAACTGTATTAGTTATAAGAAGACATAGAGTACTTTTTTATTTTTATAGCTTTTTAAAAATATTATAACATTTAAAATTTTTAATTTGAAATAATTTTATACTTCAGAAAACTTGGAATAATAGTTACAGAGTATTTCCATATACACTTCATCTATCCCTAATGTTAACATTTTACATAATCATAGAACAATTATCAAAAGAAAGAAACTCACACTGAGTCAGTACTGTCAACTAATCAGATCTCATTAGAATTCTGCCTATTTTTTCACTAATGCCCTTTTTCTATCCTCCCACTCCATGTAGTTCTCATTCTTCCTCAGACTCCTCCAATTTGCACAATTTCCTCGTTCTCCTTGTTCTTTCTTTTACTTTCATGACCCTTGATACTTTTGGAGAGCCTTATTTATGTTTCAGAATATCCCTCAATTTGGGTTTGTCTGATGTTTCCTCACGATTAGATGGACGTTATACATTTTTGGCAAGAATACCACAAAAGTAATGTTATATACTTCCCAGTGCATTTTATCAGATGGTACTTGATATTGCTGCATCTTACTATGAATGACGTTAACCTGGGTACAGCAGTGGCTGCCAAGTTTCTCCACTTCAACAATATTACTGTTTTGCTTTTTAGTCAAAATGACTCTTCTGGGGAGACATTTTGAGCTATGCAAATATCCTGTTATTATCATATTCACACCCATTAATGTTAGTATCCATTAGTAGATTTTACCTGAACGATTTTTATGGTGGAGGTTGCCTAATGATGATTTCTGTTGCCATCATTCCTTCTATTTATTATTTGGAATGCTACAGCAGGGAACAGCTGTTTATTCTCTACCATTTATTTGTTCAATTATTTATATCATTATGGACTCATGGATTTTAGTTTATTCTTTGGATAATGATCCAATGCCAGTATGATTTCTTTAGTTTGTAAGTTGTCTCCGCTTTGTCCATTGGGAGCCCCTTCAGGTTGACACCTGCTTCCATTTGATGTGCCTTCATCATTTTTGAGTACCCCTTTTTGACATCACAAGGCATTCCAGGCTTACCATGTGTTTCCCTGACCACAGCCCTGAAATCAACCATTTTTCAAGGAGCCCTTGTTCATTAACTGGAGAATGGTATTAGAAACCACGATCTGGGTACTAGGCATGCTCAGTGGCACTGGGGATGCCATTGTTTCTAGGATCTCTGTGTGGACAGAGCTGGGAACTCTTTATACTCACACATTCATTAACATTTATTGATATACTTACCCATTTGTCGGTGTATTTACTTAACTATGTACTTATAAAAACTGTGAGTTTGGCCGGGAGCAGTGGCTCACGCCTGTAATCCCAGCACTTTGGGAGGCTGAGGCGGGCAGAACAGTTGAGGTCAGAAGTTTGAGACTGGCCTGGCCAATATGATGAAACCCTGTCTCTACCAAAAATACAAAAATTATCTGGGTGTGGTGGCATACGCCTGTAATCCCCGCTACTTGGGAGGCTGAGGCAGGAGAATCACTTGAACCCAGGAAGTGGAGGTTGCAGTGAGCCGAAATCGTGCCATTGCATTCCAGCCTGGGCGTCTCAGTGAGTCTCCATCTCAAAACAAAACAAAACAAACAAACAAACAAAAACTGAGCTCATACTGATGTCCTGGATTCCATTCTGAGCACCAGTTTATTCTAGCTTTTTCTTCTCTGTAACTTCTGTTTCTGACTGTGAAAACATCTGCTTTTATTATCAAACATATTTGCACTCTTTTGTTCATTCTTGGTGTGTGTGTGTTTGTGTGTGTGTGGGGGGCGTGTAGTAGAGTAAGAATTGCTAAAGAGAAACAAATTTACTAACTGGAATATTTGTATGACAGGTTTGTCTTTAGCATGTATCTTATGCACAAATGAGAAGATACATGTTTAGTTTTTAATATCCCCTTTTTATGTGAATAGTAGTTCATACCATGTGTGTATACACACACACAGATATATATGTATACTCATATATATACACACTTTTGCATTTTTCTTTTCCATTTAAATATCCTATATTTTTAAGAAGATTTATATCTGTCCCTGACTTAGCATGCTGTGATAGCAAACAATTTTATTATTTTTTCACCCATAGACTTTTGAATGTGAAATGTACGACTTAGAATTATACAAGTAAAGCATCAAAATTTAGGGAAACACTGTTTCTTTGAGGTTTTTCTTCGTAAAACTTACCATTCTAGGGTCATTTATATCAGTATTTTTGCACTGTAGAATTATGTCAAAATAGTACAAAATTTTGGTAGTTAATTAAGTGCCTTTATTTATAAGTGCACATTTACCTTTCATTTCTAGCTGGTAGCAGTGTTTGATGAGCAGGATCCACATCACGGAGGTGATGGCACCAGTGCCAGTTCCACGGGTACCCAGAGCCCAGAGATATTTGGTAGTGAGCTTGGCACCAACAATGTCTCAGCCTTTCAGCCTTACCAAGCAACAAGTGAAATTGAGGTCACACCTTCAGTCCTTCGAGCAAGTAAGTGAAAGCTCTTTCTTCTCTTCCATTTCATCTTAATTTACAGGAATACCAACTTTTGTTATTCATCCATGACCCTGTAAATGGAATTAATTATCTGTTTTATTCAAAAATTAAGTTTAGGACCCAGGCAAATGTTCTTTGCAAGAGAAGTAGGCAGTTCTTTACATTGTAATAGATTAGGCTTTCTTTACTTTCGACTAGTAGACTTTCCGTGACTCGCTAACTGTAAATAAGGACAATAGTTCAAGTTAAATTATTTGGATTTTCCTTTCCATATGTTTATCTGAATGCTAGAACAAGTAGAAATGACCAAAGAGCTTTGCACTGAAACAAAACGTAGCATCATTCATTACAGTCAACTCTGTTACAACCGTCATTTATATTATTTGAACTTTATCTGAAGAGCTGGGGAAGAAGAGACCGCCGTGTCAAAGTTATCTTCAGGGATTTGGGAGAGCAGTGATTAGAATACCTCCTTAGGGAAGGGGAATATGGACATAGTGAGTCCTATATGAGGAATCCTAGGACCCTGGGTATTCCAGATCTGGGATACTTGCCTGAAGAGTTCTGTTAGCCATTCTTGGAAGGTACTCATAAAAGTCAGGTATTTTTGCTACAAATATTTAGTGTTTATAGTTGTATAATCTTGTAATTGAGCAGTTGTTAAGAGAAGATCAATTTCAATAAATGTGTAAGGTTAAAAGATTTTTTGGCTGGGCGGGGTGGCTTATGCCTATAATCCCAGCACTTTGGGAGGCTGAGGTGGGCGGATCACCTGAGGTCAGGAGTTTGAGATCAGCCTGGCCGACATGGTGAAACCCCATCTCTACTAAAAATACAAAAATTAGCCAGGCGTGGTGGCGGTTGCCTGTAATCCCAGCTACTTGGGAGGCTGAAACAGGAGAATTGCTTGAACGATTGGAGGTTGGAGATGGAGGTTGCAGTGAACCGAGATTGTGCCACTGCACTCCAGCCTGGGCAACAGAGTGAGAGAAAAAAAAAAGGATTATTTATTTTTTAGGTACATCTATTTGGAAACACTTCAGTTTTTTTCAGGTAGAAAATTTGGGTCTTACGTGTCTTTACTGATTGGTAGTCTTCAGTAGATATTTATAAACAGATGGGTAATAATATGTGTTAATAAAATATATATATAATTAAGATACAGAATATAGGTAGATAATATTTAGAATATATAATTTATTCTTCTAAAAATGCATCCTAATTCCCTTTTTTTGCATTGATAGCAATCTGTAGTAATTTGGCAATTTGCTTCTAGATGTTTACAAACTACTTCTGCTTCTCTTGTCCCTTGAAGGTGTATATAAAGAGAACAAGGAAAGAAGAGCAGTTTAACAGTTAGAGATCTGTTAGCCCATCAGAACCCACAGGACAATGCGCCATACAGAGTGTAGAGAATTTAGAAGGTGTAGTTCAAGATGGGATACGTAAGTGATGCTCTAGAGGATTGCGTGCAGCTACAGACCAGTGCTAACCACTTCCTACAATTGCTTTCTATCATCCAGACAAGATCGGACTCAGATACAATGACAGATGTTTCCAAGGATACTTGGGGTGGAACAGAACCTATAAGTTGTTTTAGTTGAATATTTTTTATATGCAAGAGATTTAGCTTTATTTATGCACATATGCAAGAAACTAATTTTGTGAAAATAATTTTGTTGACTACTAGGATATACTGTTTAAAAATTCTTACATTAGATTTGCTTTGGGCAGTGTTTTTCAAAAGGTGAGGCATGTACCATACAGCGTATACAAAATGATGTGCAGGTGGTACACTAGTTACCCTGGTTGATTTTTTATTAGTTCATTAAGCCTACGACTTAGTGGATATCTGCTTGGAATGATCCTGTGTATACAATGTAGACTGCCTAAATTTGACTCATGGAAAATTTAAATAGTAGTTCAGGTATTCAGATACCAGAAGTTTGGAAAATAGTGTCTTTATTTGAGTAATAACACTGTAATGTGTATACTTAAATACAGAACTTTCTGTTGTGTTACCGTTGTAGTGTTGTACTTGTATCTTTTCTAAAGCAATTTGTAGCTTTAATATAGCCACACCATAAAAAATATTAGAAGAAAGGTTAATTTCTTTATGTTGATTTATGAATTTGATTAACATACTTTCCGTCAATTTTTACCTTTTGACTCCTCTGGACTCAACAAAATTTCTAACACATAACCATCCACATTTGACTGGCCTTATGTGTTAAAATTTAAATGGTGTTTTAAACCCCAAATATCTCTTTTTATCTTGTTTTTATTGAGAAAAAGAAGTTACATTTGAAGCATATGTGTTGTCTTGCAGCCACCAGTGGGAGAATATGCAAATCTTATTTTCTTGTTCTCATTTTGGTATGCTAAGGTTTAGATTTTCAGATCTTGGCAGGCATTGGGTTAAGCATCTACTATACACAGGTCCATAACTATGTGAACGTAATGCATCACACATGAGTCACCTGTCAAGGTGATTTTTGCCACCGCATTAATGACGTTCATTCAGACATAGAAGATGAATTTGTCCATACTGGCCATGCCTTGTGCTAGGTGGTGAGTCCTGGGTTGAGTTAATAAGGCCTGGCGCTTGCTATCAAGGAGCTATAGTTAGTAGTAAATGGTAGTCTAACTATTTACAGATATGAAAAGAAAGAAGCCAACAATATGTAGAGATTTGCTTAATTGAAGATAAATAAATTTCTAATTTTTGCCTTAAAGAAGGAGTGGTCACTTTCCTGTGTTTTCCAATGAATGAATTCACTCATCCCCTTTATTCCATAAAGAATTGGTGGAAGTTGAGAAAAATATATAGAGTATGTATTTTTTTCCATAGAAAAATGGATACGAAGTTTGGGTATTAAGATAAAGCCTAGATGGTTTTCATAGATGGAATTCTCATCTTGAGGTCTTTTTATGTTTCCCTAGAAGCTGCCATTAATTTAGCCCTGAGCTTTTTTTTGTAGAAAATACAGAGAGAACTCTGATTTAGTTAATCATTGCTCCTCAACCTCAGAAGTGTTTTCTCCCCAAGGAACATTTATCAGTGTCTGATGATATTTTTGGTTGTGACAACTGGTGGAGTTGGGCATTGAGTAGAGGTCAAGGACACTGGTACATACCTTACAAGCACAGGACAATCCGACATCAGAGAACTCTGCAGCCCAGATGTCAGTAGTGCCACGGTTAGAAACCCTGAATTAAATACATCATTGTTTGTATAGTCAAAATAGCAGTTAACTTAAAACTTGAGAAACATTTTGTTGATTCCAGTATATTGAACAGTATCCTGAATAACACTCTTAAACTAGAAGACAAACATGTGATTACTAGTTAATAAAAATGTAAGAAATGAGAAAGTTAAGTAAGATAATCCAGGCTGGGTGCGGTGGCTCACACCTGTAATCCCAGCACTTTGGAAGGCCAAGGTGGGCGAATCATGATGTCAGGAGTTCGAGACCAGCCTGGCCAACATGGTGAAACCCTGTCTCTACCAAAAATACAAAAAAATTACCTGGGCGTGGTGGCACACGCCTGTAGTCCCAGCTACTCGGAAGGCTGAGGCATGGAGAATCTCTTGAACCCGGGAGGTGGAGGTTGCAGTGAGCCGAGATCATGCCCTTGCACTCCAGCCTGGGCGGCAGAATGAGACTCTGGCTCCAAACAAACCAACTAACCAACCTATGGAGAAGGGAGAGAATAGGATGGAGGAAGTAAAATAGAAACTAGATGCATACTATTTCCTTCTGTATATTTGAGGTTGGAACTATATTATCTTTTACACAATTATAAAATGATCAATTTTTAATTTTTACAGTAAACATTTCAAATGAATATTAATATTCATACACTTAATAAATTTTAATTTTAAAGACAAAAAATGAGTATGAAATATCTGACCATAAATATATTTTTTTGGTAGCCTAAACATAACAAGAGTAACTATTTCAATTAACTTTAAATCAAAGGAATTTGTACAAAGGGAGATGTATCCTAAGGAAAAAAAGAACTGCCTAATGACAAGGACCCGGAAACTGTTTGTCGTTGGTATTGTTAATCTTAGATTTTTGGGTGGGTATTACAGGATGAAAGAGATGGGAAATTATAATATTCTAATTTTGTCATTCCTGGTGTCATTGAGTACCCAGTATTCTTAGTATAGAAGAAAAAGTGTACAGATATAAGTTAAAGGAGAATGAACAAAAAATGGATAGTCCTCAGTTTAGACATGTCATAGTTAATTCCTGATATGTTTTAGTTTTTAAAAAAGGAACGTGGAGGGAAGAAAAACTCCTGTGTATATTCACAGAAAAGGTCTAGAATCAATGACCAACCCAGTAACTCAGCATTTCTCAATCCAGACTATGCTCTGGAAATAGCATTTTTCATTTGAGGGGATCAGAGCTTCTTAGAGAAATGCCTGAATGCAAGCCTGTACAGGAAATGTATGGGATCATCCTGGATCATCCTGTCATATCAGAAAATAGGGCAGTTATGAAAGATTACTAGGGTGGGCCAGAGGGCCTAGGAGACAACACGATGCTCCTGCTGGCCAAAGACGGGACAGTGGGAGCATCAATACAGATAGCAACAGCAATACATGCATGAGTGTATAATGATAATAAAGAAGCCAGCAAGCAAGGAGAAGGCTACCAGTGAGCCATCTTATTATTTGGAAACCTTATAAAGGAAAGCAGGAATAAGTCATCTATTCTGCGTTTCCTTGTAGTGTGGTTTCACGGGATATCCAAATACTTGCTTTTTATGTAAGTATTTCAGCTAATAAATGAAGACATAATGGTAGCATTGGAATATTACTATTCTGCAACTTCTGATGACATAATGGATCTAGGTACTGATCATTGCTAGGCTCTTAATGTGTCCCCCCAAATTTACATGTTGGAAATGTAATCCCTAGTACAACAGTGTTGGGAGGTGTGGCCTAATGGGAGGTGTTCAGGTCATAAAGTTGCTTATTATTTGGAAAACTGTTCAAAGAAAGATAAAATTAACAGCCCGGGCTGGTAATTTATAAAGGACCTTGTCTCTATTAAAAATCAAAATATTAGGTGGGCATGGTGGTGTGTGACTGCACTCGCTGTGGCTCGGGAGGCTGAGGCAGGAGGATTTCTTGAGCCTGGGAGATCAAGGTTACAGTGAACTGTGATTGTCCACTGCACACCAGACTGAGTGACAGAGGGAGAGTCTGTCACAAAGAAAAAAAGAAATCTATTCTGTGTATCCTTTGTATGAGTGGTATCACTGTATAACCAAATAGTAGATGAAGAGGAAATCACTTTGTATATATGTATTAAAAATTACTTCTTAGTATAAAAAGAAGAGTTTAGCATAAAAATAGCTTAGTATAAAAAGAGCTTGAAGTACTGGGGTTACTCTGTCGCTTTGTCATGTGAGGATGCTGCATTCATTCTCTTTCCCTTCCACCTTCCTACATGTGAGGATGCAGTAAGAAGGTCCTCTCCAGATGCCAGCCCCTTGATCTTGGACCTCTTGGGCTCCGGGACTGTGAGAGAGTACATTTCTGTTCTTTATAAATTACCAGTGTCAGGTACTCTGTTAGAGCAGGACAAAATGAACTAAGACAGTCACCATTAAAAAATAATAATCAAGGAGAGACAACCAAACATTGTATGCCTCCTGATGAAAAAAACACAACATCTCCTATAAGGTAGTCTTGACAAAAGAAATTAATCATGAATCTGATCAGACTTCTAAATCCAAGTGCCTATTTACAGGAAATACAGAACCCTGAGAAGCATGTGAACACGATAGGGGTGCAATCAGCCTAGTCAAGATGGTGGGAAACTGTGTAAGACAAATGGCCCACGTTCTTCAATAAAATCAACTGCAGGGGCAGAAAGAGATGGAGAGGGAATTTATAAGTTATTAGAAACTTTTAAGAGATGTAACATCCAATCATAATGTCTGGATCTTATTTAAATCCTGATTTAAATGAGGCTTAATACAAAGAATGACATTTGTATGCTGATGAATAAAACACAAATTGGGCATTTAATAGTAAGGAATTATTTAGATGCAATAAGGTTATTGAAATTATTTTTAAAAGAACCTTTACCTTTTAGTAGTATGTAATGAGTTATTTATGATTAATACAATATCTCTAGAATTTTCTTCAGAATAGTACAGGCTAGGGGATGGGTTACCTAAAGATTCAGTATACTATTCTGTCTACTTCTATATGTTGGTTCAAAATTATCCTTAATAAAGGTACTTTAAAAAAAAATAAAGGAAACACACACTCAAGGCACTTCTTAGTAGTTTGAAGGTTTATTTAATTACTTTTCTCTTTGAACTTTTTTCCCCCACTCCATATAGCACCGAATTTTAACCTAATCTTTTTTAGGCTTGAATATTTTTATTGGTCATCTTATTTCTTTGCAACAAACAAAGTACATTAAAATTTTAAATATAGTACTGTGTGATTATTAATATATAATAGATCAAAATAGCACAAATATACAAATATGTAACGTTTTGCTTTTTAATGTGGAAATAAGTGAAGACCATCCAAATGAGAACAGGTGAAGGCTATTTATTCAGAGCTTGCTGTAGTTAGGGGGCAGCTATCATGGCTTGCCTTTGACGGAGGCTCCCAGGCAGGCTGAGGAGTGGGAATGCTTTTGCATGGAGAAATGGGAAGGCTTGAGTGTGCTCTGATTGGAAACTGCTGGCATGAGGTAGCTGCAGGTGGGCTACCTAGAAGAGGGGCATATATGGTGTGATTGCTTAGAATTTCATATTTGGCTTTCTCTGGTTGTTCCTACGTTGGAAGGAGAGTCAGAACTTAGGGAGTAAATGGAGTTTTGTTACATCAGTATTACTCAATTCTTCTAATTCCCTCCAAGTTAAATGCTAAACACCAATTAGTGATCCTTTGTCAGAAATTATTTTTATAGATATATCAATGAGCTGAAAACTGGCTTATGATATCCTTCTTTTTTGTTGAAAGGAGGGATCTAGAAACTAGTTGAGTGGCAAAAGTGTTTGTTATCCAGAGGGATTTATGTTCTCAGCCTTGTGGCTGCTGTATTAAACTGTGCTTTGTCATCCTGGAAGTTTTTATGCACAGTTGTACATCAATTGTAAGATTCAGGACAGGTGATGCTTTTTTTTTGTTGTTTTGTCATTTTTTCGATGCGTGTGTTTGTTGTTTGTTTTTTAATTTTGCAAAGCAGAAGAGCTATTCAGGACACTATCATGACTTTCCTGGACTCTGGGCGCTTTGGCCATCATGGGCCGCCCTCACCATAGTAATATCAGTCATAAAATTATATTTTATTTAACTTTAAATATTTCAGTATTGTACTTTTTCCATTTTATGCATCATTGAATTGATTTTCATGGTTCCTAAGAGTATCATTTTCTTCTGATATGAGAAAAAAGTGAAAACATTTTCTTTGACTCTAAAAATTTGTTTTTCTGTTTTGATTTTAAAGGAAAATAAAACACTATCCTGGGCTTCTAAACTTATTGTGGCCCTGGACACTGCCTCATGGACATACTGGCTTTGGGGCTGTTGACCATGGAGAATTGGATGGGAAGAAACCACATTACACCTTGACCCCCTTGTTTTCAGGCTCGTAGAACCTTTTTAGGGAATGATGCATATTGAACACGAAGAGCTTGACATGGGATACCTTAAAATGTATCTCTCGGAAGGTCTTTGCATGCTCCCAGGTAGATGCATGTTCTGCTCTGAAGGAAACTGGTTACTAGATATTCTACATAACTGTTGGGGTTTTTTTCCCCACCCAGATTTTGATAAGTTTGAGTGTATATTATACTTTATGGGAGTATATTCTACTTATGCTTTCAACATGAGCTTGTTATGCAGATACTCCTTTGTAATATAGAGTGTTTACATTTCAGAAAGAGTACAGGAAAGAGAGTCACACCATCTTGGACACTGGGCAAGGTTAGTAGGTAATTACACTGGTCGCCTCTTTGAGTACCTGCCTCAGGATGGTTTTGTATAGTAATGAGATAATGTTCACAGTTCTAATGCAGCCTGTGACACAGGAGAAGCACTAGACTAACAGATAGTTGTGGAATGGTGTGCGCGATCATGTCTCCTGAGTGCAGATCCACTTCCTGGGGATGTGTAAAGAGGTTGAGACGTTACTCAGCCCAAGTAACTAGGACATGTATTCTGGAATGGGACACTACTGGCCCCTTAGGTAGATGGAGTGGAACTTTTACAGAGTCAAATTGGAACCATGTCTGTGATATACATTTAACTGTCTTTATTTTCAATATTAACAAATCAGGCTTAGATCTGAAGCTTTCAGGGTCACACAGTTCAGGTGCAAATCATTGAGTCCAAGGCTGGTGATATTTTGTGTATGACTTTTTCACTCTATGATTTTTTTTTTCCTTCAGTTCCCAAGGACTTTTTGTAGAAGTCAGATATTTGAGGGTAGCCCAGGTTTAGGTCATGGCTAGATTCCTTTTACCTCACAATTCAAATTTTTAAATATCTCCTCTGGAAGATCTAGACTGAAGAATGAAGTTTCCTTTGAAAATGATGTAAGCCCGAGGAATGGTGAAATTTCTGGAAATGGTGTTGCTATAAAAATTTGGGGAAACAAAGTATCTGATTTATTTCATTTCTTTTTTTGCTGCCTTTTAAATCTTTTGTTATTTTTAACTTTTTATTAGCTATGTTAATTTTAGTTAATTTTTATCCATTACTTGGGAAATTTGTCTGAAATGATGGTATTTAATTAACTGATAAGATTTTACTATCTTCCTAACATTTAGACCTTAAAGAAATATCAATAATTGTTATAGAAAGCTTGTACCTAAGTTAGTGCCCCCTCCCACTTCTTGATTTCTTAATTTTTTTTCTTAGCAAGCATATACAGATTGATTTTGTCTTTCTAGAATATCCAACACCTTTGGTATAGAGATCTGTCCTTCTAACATTTGCTGGTATCAGAGTACTATTTTCTGGATCTGATGTAAGTACATATTGCAAATAGAAATAATATTCCTATTGTATTTCCTTTTAACTTGTGAAGTGGAGCATGGCATACAAATGGTATTCTCAGTATTTCAAATAATTACCTTCTTACTGTGCAAGTTCTATTCAGCATATAAAACCCATCCAGTTTTGTTGTAGATGCAATCTGATTATTACATGTTGACAAGGTCATATATCTATTAATTGGATTGGAGATGGGATACAAAATTGCTGTAATTATTGTAATTTTCTAGCTAATTGCAGGGTTGGTGGTGAATATTTTACTTCTGCAAAATGAAAAACAGTATTCCATCAGAAGTTGTTTTATGGGGTTTCAGACATTTTGTTTTATATCTTTGGTGCTTTTTGCCCACAAAGTATCTCCTTTTTTGTTTTTTTTTTTTTGTTTTTTTAATTGATCTGAATGTCACAGTGCTCATTGGCAGGGATCGGCAAAATCAGGCACAGGCAGAGAGCTGAGTAGTACTCTCAGCTACCTCTTTGTTCCCGTTGCCACGTTACCTCTATTGTTTATTTATAAATTGGAGTACTCTTTTTTCTGACCTGTAACAAAGGTTGGAGGGGTCAGAGCCAATTGGAAGAGGATCCTCTGCCCTCTTGTCCCCTGCACCCCACTCAGAAATACTCTCTTAAGATGAGCATTTAAGAAATTAAGTTTATATGGTTTATGTGTTCTTTTTTGCATTAAAAAATTAAGTAAATTATTGGTCATCTTAGTATTTGTAATACAGGGCTTACTTTGCATATTCTCCCGTAGTTTTGGTTAGAAAACTGGGAGCTGTATTGGCATTTAAAAATAATGGTGTATATGCAAGATGTGTTTGGAGGGTTGCAGATCAGGGACACTGTGCTACTGTGGGGTGTTGGAAGCTCACTGCAGAAGATGGTAAAAGCAGACTGATGTGTATTCCCTGCTGAAAGATAAACTGGAGGCGCAGGTGAAAATTGCCAAACCTAATGAGCAATTTGGCGGATAAGACAGGCTGTCAGGCGGCGGCAGTGCAGCAGCAGGAGCACTGTGAATCAACTTGTGTGTTCCAGAGAACTATATTTAAATAACACCAATAAAATCTTCTTTTTCACTGATATTTGCAATCACAATGAAATTTACTTTATCCTTCAGATTTCCAATTAAATGGCCATTAACATGGTGATTTTTGTTGTAAAATTATTTTTTAATTTGCCTGTTGACATTTTTCATCCATAAAACACGAACAAGATATATTTTCCATACCTAGAGACATAAGTAATATTAGGTTTTCTAACACATTAATAACATGTAAGTGATCACCTCGGTGGACTGAAACATTTCATCTGTGGACTTGACAGTGGAGCAGACTTAGATAACATTATACTCTCTTCAGTGTATCATGTCATTTATATCTGCTTGCGTTGCCCGGGAATTCTTTGCTCCCATTGGGCTCATGAAAATTGAGACATGTGCATGACTTCTCCCCATTGAGGCCATCAATATATTGTATAGGAGAGACTTAGAAAAGATTTTCATAAATGTGTTGGGTGCAACAGCTCCTTAGGAAACTTCCCAGTTCACCTTCCTGATGTTTACCATTTGGAAATTGAGGCTTGATGTAAAATAATAACATATTCTGTACTCATGGCATAACTGAAGCCCAGGTCTCCAAATTCAGGACAAGCAGAGGTATTGCTGAAAATGTATGAGTACTTATTACCCCTCAAGATCTGTGGCATTTCCAAACTCCTGACTTTGGTGGGGCCCAAGCATCTTTGCAGTTCCTATCTGTTATGTCATCAGTATTTCTTTTTTCTTTTCTCTTTTTTTTCCTTTTTGATGGAGTCTCCCTCTGTTGCCCAGGCTGGAGTGCAGTGGTGCCATCTCGGCTCACCGCGACTTCCACCTCCTGGGTTCAAGTGATTCTCCTGCCTCAGCCTCTCCAGTAGCTGGGATTACAGGCACCTGCCACAATTCCCGGCTGATTTTTGTATTTTTAGTAGCAATGGGCTTTCATGATGTTGGCTAGGCTGGCCTCGAACTCCTGACCTCAAGCCTGCCTCAGCTTCCCAAAGTGCTGGGATTATAAGCGTGAGCTACCACATGCAGCCTGGCATCAGTATTTCTAAGTTGTCTTTAAGCAGAATAAACATTTGGCCCATATATTTAATTGCATCTCTGTGATGCCTGAAATTAAAAATCATTACACATATGTAATATAATATTTTACACTTTATAATAGTAACTGGTGCAGTCCATTGGCCAGGGAAGTATTATTTTTTAGAGATATCCTGCCCCATGTCATCAGATGTAGACATTGGCCTGGCATTCATCTGGAAAGGCTTGCCTGTTGGGGGTCCACAGGGCTGCCTGTAGGGTGTCCACAGAGCCTTGACATGTGGCCCGTTAGGATGGCGTGAGTCACAGATTTCACCAGAATTTGCCTTTGAAATTAGACCCAAACCATGTGCTACTGGACCCCCTGTGCACAAAGCTCTCTGTATCATTCAAAACCTGATGAAATCTTAGGGAAGAACAGGTTTACACATTCATTTTTTCCCACACAAAAGATTTCCCCACTGCCCAATTCTTCCCTCTTCACTTCCTTTTACCCTTGACTATTATATTTGACTTGACTCTGAGGTCTTGCCTGGTACTGTTACCTTTGCATGAGAATAAGCCTTATTTGCCTAATTATGTTACCTGTTTATCGGAAGCAGAAATAGTTACTTACACTTGAAAATTTGTAATGGGAATGTAGCTGTGAATATGTTAAGAAAGCCTGTTTAAATCAAAGCAAGAAATCCCATTTCCAAATGGTAGTAAGACGTGTGTTACATGGAGAAAATAATTGCCTGAAAGTGTTTGTTGTATTTGCCAAGATTAGATTGTACACTGGTCAATAAACAAGAGTTCTTTTTTTTTGTTTTTATCTTTCAATCCAACCAGGTACTTGGGTTCGTTTTTCTGTTGGTGCATGTCACACAGAGACCCATATTGTGGATTATTTTGTCAGCATGAAAGCCTGGCAGATACAATTCTTTCCCCTCTTCTCGCTGCACTTGATATAGATCTCTCCTTTACTTCTTGATAATACGTTTGCTTATTTATTTGTTCGTTGCTTTTAGTGTCAGCAGTGGCTTTGTGTCCTCAGTTCTGTTTGCTCCTGCCTGGCTCCTCTACCCAGCTGGAGAGGTGCCTCATATCTCAGAATTTCTGAGTCACTCCCAATCAGTGACTCCTTTCTTTTTCAGTGACTAAGAGAAAGCTGCCCACAAGCCAGCAAGGTGCTGATAAGTGTGCCTCTGAGATTCTCACCTCTAACTTTTCCATGGAATGGACAGCTGGTAGTCTCTCTCTGGGCTACATTTTAAAGGAAAAAAAGAAGTCTAAATCAGTTTATTAATTCATGGTGTTATTTTGTGTTTACTCAATTTATTTATATTGATTGGTAAATTAGTAATTTACAAACTATTATTTGTCAATTTATTGCCTACATATCAACAAATACTTTTCTTTTTTTTTTTTTTTTAATCTTGGGGACAAGCACATTGGCTCAGCCTGTAATCTCAGCACTGTGGGAGGCAGACGTGGGAGGACCACTTGAGGCCAGGAGTTCAAGACCAGCATGGGCACCATAGTAAGATCCAGTCTCTACAAAAAGAGTAAAAAATACAAATAGCTGTACCTGGTGGCTCACAGCTACTCAGGAGGCCAAGGCAAGTGGCTCGTTTGAACCAAGGAGTTCGGGCTGCAGTGAGCTGTGATCATACCACTGCATTGTAGCCTAGGTGGCAGAGTGAGACCCCATCTCTTAAAAAAAAAAATCTGGGGGCTCCAGTGTGTATACTGCATGGCTTGTGAATGTGGAAGTGCAGTGAGCATGGTTTTGCTCAAGAATGGGTTGATGATAGCACTTTCCCAGAGTAAAGCTCGTTTTTATAAAATCTTCATGTCTCAGAACTGATCCCTGCTTTAACTACTTTTCTCACTGGCATTTGAAAGCAGTTAACCAGATATGAAATGAATGATTTTCATAACTCTATAAAAGGAGCATTATGACATCATCTACTATTTCTCCTTTCTTGTTCTCATAAATCCAAACCATCAACCTGTTTATTCTTGTGTACTGGCACACTGTGTATTCCCAGCATAGAATGCCTTTCTACCTATGTTCTCTCTAAAACTTGTGGAAAGTTTTCTGCACCTTAAATTTTCTACCCTAGGGATTAAACAGCCGCTATAAGTCACTTTCCCACTCCTCCTCACAGAGGAAAGGATGAATATGTAATAGCCATCACAGCAGCCTGTTGTCTATCCTGCGGTGTGTTTCTACCATATCACACAAAGCCTCTTTTTCTTGTCTTTTTAGTAGTACTTTGGTAGTAATTTTTTTAAAAAGTATGTAATGTCTGTATATACAAATACATATATACGTAGGCACACACAGAGCTGATATTTAGTGAGGTTATATATGGAAGGATTATAGGAATAGCATGTAATTTAAGAATAAATTATCTTTTAAAGATAGATCCCATGTTTAAGATGAGAAAATACAGTTAGATCAGTTAGGGATGCCTCTGCCCAACCATAATATGGAAAAAGTGTAAGCAAAGGGCATTTTAGTGAACTGCTAGGGTACTCAACCTATCATCACATTTAATTAAAATGTCATTTTGAGCCATGGCCGACTCATTCGTTAATTTGTTATTTAAAACAGCTTGAGAAGTATTTATTTTAAATACAGAATTTGTGTTAATGAATTGGAAAAGAATATTGTATTGCTTGGCAGAGATGTTATAGCCTAATGATTTGTGGCTTAGAACAAGGAAAACCAGCTGGTGATCAGTTTGTCTAAGTAGTACATGAGTATCTACTAATATTTGATAATAGCCAATTTTTTTTAATAACCAGAATAAGGGAGTTGGGAATGGGAGGCAGAAACAAGGACACTGAGGCATAAAACTGCATTTAATTCTGAGTATGGGTCTGTGATCCATGGTTCAGTTGGATCCCTTATGAGGAGAGGGAGGAAAGCCAGCTGGGCAGAGATATGCATGGGCCTGTGTCTGTGCTTCTGCCAGAAAAGAAGTCACCAGCTCTGCCTTCCTCACTTCTCCCCCTTGTCTAAGATCTGTCCTTCTCTTTTCTTCAAAAGTGGGAAATTAGTTTAATCAAAGTTGTTGTTTTTTGTTTTTGTTTTTTTTGAGATGGGATCCTGCTATGTTGCCCATACTCAAGTAATCCTCTCTCTGAGCCTCCCCAGTAGCTGGGACTATAGGTAGTCACCACCACACCTAGCCAAGTCTAATGTATAGTTTATTTTTTCCAATTTTGGAAAGCAGGGTATATGTAGTTCTGAGTGTCTGTGTGTGTGTGTCTATATATCGCTACACACACAATTAGTACTAGTCTATTCTTGCTATAACAAATCATCATCATGTTAGGGCTTAAGAGTTTATTACAGTCCTGCATGTCAGAGTCTGGTGTGGATCTCACTGGGCTGAAATCCAGGGTTGGCAGTGCTGCCTTCCTGCGGGAGGCTCTAGGTGAGAATCTGTTTTCTTGCCTTCTCCAGATTCTGGAGTCCACTTGCCTTCCTTCGTGTATGGCCCTTCCTCCATCTCTAGCATTATCAACCTTGTACCTTGTGGACCCTTCTTCTATGGTTACATCTCTCTCTGACTCTTCCGTTCTGACCTTCTCTTCCACGTTTAAGACTCATGTGACTACATAGTCTTGAATTGAGTGAGACTCAGGATCATCCAAATGAGCCCACTGTCTAAGTCCATTCAGGCTGCTTCAACAGAATACCTTAGACTGGGTGGCTGATAAACAACCAAACCTCATTTCTCATGTCCTACAGGCTGCGAGTGCAAGATCAAGGTGCCAGCAGTTTTGGTGTCTAGTGAAGGCTTGCCTTCTCATAGATCTTTACTTCTCAATATGTCTTTACATGGTGGGAGGAGCAAACAAGCTCTATTGGGTCATTTTAATAAGGGCACTAATCCAAGTCATGAGGACACAGCTTCCCACAAGGCCCCACATCCTATACCATCACCTTGGGGATTAGGATTTCCACTCTTGAGTTTTGGTAGACACAACATTCATTCCATACCACTAGGGTAATGTCCTGATGCCAAGGTCTTTACCTTAATCACATGTATGATGTAAGGTAACATGGCAGGTTCTAGGGATTAAGATGTAGACATCTTTTTTTTTTTGGCGGGGAGGAGGGTGGGAGGGCATTATTTTGCCTACCACATTTTACATGCATTTAAATATTTACGGTAGTGTGAAAATAACGCACTTTACAAATACATCGTCTTCCATGATAATATGAAATGAGCATCTGACCTAGTGATATTAATGGGCTGATCATTTTGATTTCAGTATTTTGGGAAGGAAAGTAATGAACAGTAATGATCTAGTGAGTGTATTCACCCATTCTTACATTGCTATAAAGAAATACCTGGGACTGGGGTAACTTTCATTGGCTCACTGTTCTGCAGGCTTTCTAGGAAGCATGCCATTGGCATCTGCTTGGCATCTAGGGAAGCCTCTGGAAGCTTATAATCATGGTGAAAGTTGAAGGGGGAGGAGGCACGTCACATGACGAAAGCAGGAGCAAGTCGGGCAGAGGGGGGTGCCACACACACACTTTTAAATGATCAGATATCCTGAGAACTCATTGTCATGAAGACAGCACCAAACCATGAAGGAATCGTCCCCAGGATTCAGACACCTCCCACCAGGCCCCACCTCCAGCATTGGGGATTACAGTTCAACATGAAATTTGGGCAGGGGGCAAGTATCCAAGCCATATCAGTGAGTATTTCTTTGAGACCATTTTTTATTTAGGTGAGCCATATGGGGCAATATTTGTACAAATAAAACTCTAGCCATTATATAATTGTGGTTGCTTGATAAAAAACAAAAATCTGTGGTAACAAATTAGTTATTTTTAACTCTTTTGCACAATTAAAAGTAATATAGTAATTTTTTAGTGCTGTAGATGGGAAATTTTGATGAGAAAAATTATGTACAGGTTGTGAATATTGTGCATGTTAGGAAGTTTCATTCTTTCACTGGTACTCTCTCTTGTTCAAGCTCTCCTCTTTCCTTCTGTATGACTTATTTTACTTTTAGGCATTAAATTATTGTTACACAAGTTACGTTACTGTATTCATTTTATGTTATTATAATTTATGTTATTTTATGTAACTTTTGTTATTGGAACATAACAGACTGGAGTGCAGTGGTGTGATCTTGGCTCACTGCAGCCTCCATGCCCTGGGTTCAAGCTGTTCTCCCACCTCAGCCTCCTGAGTAAGCTAGGATTACAGGCATGAGCCACCACACCCAGCTAATTTTTGTATTTTTGTAGAGATGAGGTTTCACCATGTTGGCCAGGCTGGTCTCAAACTCCTGACCCCAGGTGATCTGCCTGCCTTGACCTCCCAAAGTGCTGGGATTACAGGTGTGAGCCACCGTGCCTGGCCTATTTTAGACAATTTTAATAATTCTGTTTTGGACAGAAACTTTAAAAATGGTGGAAGATTGGTTCTAATGAGTCTTCATGAGCACATTGACCTAAAGGCCATTTTTGTTTTACAACTTACTTTCTTCTTTCGATTTTGAAAAAGTGCATTCTTGGGCATTTACTAATCTTTTAGATAATTAAAATTTTCTTAAGCATAGCACCCTTTTCTAGTTTTATGTGTGTCCTACATTCTGCTTTATTTTGTAGCTTCTTCCAGACCTCTGTAGCACATAAGGTTTTATAAAGTCAGAATCACATCTTCATCATCCCTGTGTGTGTGTAGCACGGGTTTGATGCTTTGCATTCAGCAAGTATGTAGTCAGCCCTCTGTGCCTGTGTGTTCTACATCCATGGCTTCAGCCAACATGGATTGAAAATGTTTGAAAAAAATTGCATCTGTACTGAACATGTACAGACTTTTTTTCTTGTGGATGTTCCCTAAATGATACAGTATAACAACTATTTACATAGCAGTTACATTGTATTAGGTATTATAAATAACGTAGAGATGATTTAATGTGTCCTGGATGGTGTGTGTAGGTTATATGCAAATACTATGCTATGTCATATCCAGGACTGGAGCATTCTCAGGCATCTGGGACCAATCTCCCACAGACACTGAGAGATGGCTGGACTCTCCTTTCTTCTCAGCCCTGTCAAACTAGCAGTGACATCAAAAGGAAGGGCCGCATGGTCTTGGGCAGAGTTGGCTTAGAGAAATAGAGTATGCTTAATTCATTTCAGGTTCTAGATAATGCAGCATGATAAAAGACTATTCATATGTTATAAATATAAAATTTCAACAGATCCATGTTTAAATGTGTACTTCATATCTTAGCAGATTCCTTTAATGGGATTTTTTTTTTTTTACACTGAGGAAATATTTCACACTATTTTCCGCTGGATGCAATTTAAAAAATCTGTTTCAATTTGTATACATTCTCCAAGGTTGTAATTTTATATGGAAACCTCGCAAATAACTTTTTGTGTCTATATCCTCACCTGGTATATGCTTGCTGAGTGTCCAGAGCAATAGTCTATCATCGTAGAAAATGGAGATACCCTTGATTAGAAAACATAGCTACTGAAAGCACATCTGAAACAATAACTATTTGGTTTTTAATTTATCATCCATCTTCACATACTCTTTTTATTGTCAAAGTATTCTAGACTGCTGCATTTTGTTAAAATCTAAGAACAAAGCTTTATTGCTTAAGAGGATGATTTGGCTATAATTTTGTAGTTATATTATTCCTTATCAACTTAAAAAAAAAAGAACATGTACTTAGAGAAAAAAATCTTGAGCTAAACAAATTGAGTAACCATTGGGGGCATACTTTTATTCTCAGGAACTTGGCTGCTGTATGTCTTCCTCTGGACTCATCTACAGTAAATGATGTTTCACCATCTATTGGTAATGAAAATGGTGATATGTGTGTTATACTTTCTTATGCAAGAGTCAGGGCTATTACTTCAGTGCTATTCTAAGTGTCTAAAAAAGGTAGGAGTGTGTGTATGTGTTGCAGTGATTCATTACCTTTATTTTTCTATGTTCACACGTAAGTGATTATCCTTATTTATTGGCTGGAAATTGAGTATTAATGTAGGCTTTTTAATTTTTGTTTATTTTTTATTTCTTTTTGAGGCAGAGTCTTGCTCTTTTGCTCAGGCTGGAGTGCAGTGGTGCAATCTTAGCTTACTGTAACCTCCGCCTCCTGGGTTCAAGAGATTATTGTGTCTCAGCTTCTCAGGTAGCTGGGATTACAGGTGTGCACCACCACACTTGGCTAATTTTTGTATTTTTAGTAGAGACAGGGTTTTGCCGTGTTGGCCAGGCTGGTGTCGAACTCCTGGCCTCATGCAATCCTCCTGCCTTGGCCTCCCAAAGTGCTGAAATTACAGGTGTGAGCAACACTGTGCCCAGGGGATAGTGGCCTTTTTACTTCAAGTATTCATAGCAGGAATAAAGCGTGACATAAATGGCATGTATGAAATGAGAATGATGTGTATAAAACTCATGGGACAGTGACTAATATGTCTTAAATAAATGAAATGTTATATTCCGTGGATTATTTTCTAGATTTATTTTCCTAAACACTGTCTTTGAAATGAATACCTACATACCACACTTATGCATCTCCCTCAGACTTTTAAAAGAATTATTAATCAAATGAAGCTGAGAAATACTGAAGTGTCTCTTTCTACATCTGACTGCTTCTTATAATTTGCTGTCAGTTCCTATGGGTTTCAAGCTTAATTCTATGCTACTCGTATTTGAAATTTTTGTTTTTTTTCTGCCTACTTACCTACAATCTTATTGGTAAATATAATCTTTTTGAACATCTTATAGTAATATATCTTATGGAAATCAAAATAATATAAGAAGTTCTTTGAGGAGGTAGGAGAGGGGGGAAAGCACTTCTTTACATTTCTTTGTCACGGTTTTTGTATATTACTTCGGTGCCCCTTGAATTATTTTCCAAGATCTAAGTATGTGTGGGTAAAATGCAACTGTTTTACATGTGTAACTTTATTATAATTAATTGTGTTTCATCTTTTTTAAAGATGGAAAAAATCACACTGCAATAGTATTTGTTACTTCTTTTCATAGTCAAAGCACATCTAAGTAAATTGAGTTGAGGCCACATCTTGACCCGCTGATCATCTTGTTAAATTTCATGTTGCTTCCTAGCTCATTTAACTTGTGAGGAACAGCATTTTAGGAGGCTTGATTTAGCAATTCTTTTCAGTAAAACCATACCTCTTCTCAATGAATGTTGTATAAAGTCAGCACAACCTGTTCCAAAGAGATTTATTACACTGTAGTGCAGAAAATATTGTAGAAATTATTATGGTGAACGTGTGACTTCAGGCAGCTTTTCTTTAAAAAAATATAACCTTAATTGTGGGGAAAAGCTCTCACTGTCATCCTTCAGTATCGCTTGGGGGTTGGTTCCAGGAACTCCTGCAGATACCAAAATCTGAAGATGCTCAGTTTCTTATTTAAAATTGTGTAATAGTTTGCATATAACCTGCACACATCCTCTTGTACACTTTAAATAATCTCTAGATTACTTATAAGGCCTAACACAATGTAAACGCTATATAAATAGTTGTTATACTATATTGTTTTTATTTGCATTATTTTTAATTTTTGCATTATTTGTTATTTTTATTTTCTTTTTCAAGTATTTTCAATCTGTTGAGATTCAGTCCGTGGATTCAGTTTGAATCCATGAATGTGGAACCAACAGATAGGAAGACCAGTGGTATTTAGTGTTACTACATTGGATATTTTTCACTAGTCTTCTGCATTGCTGGATCACATTATTTCATTTTTTATTACAGAAAATTTTAAACATACAGCTCAACTATCAGCTCTAACAATTATTAATTTATGGCTAGTCTTGCTGCATCTATACTCCTACGAACTCATCCAAACAGGATTATTTTGAAACATATTTCAGACCTCATGTCACTTCTTCTGAAAACATTTTAGTATACATTTTAAAAATAGTATACTATTTTTAAACGTTAAAAATAGTACTGTTTAATAACAAAAATACTTAAGCTATATGTAATAGTGTTATTAAAATATCTGAATGTTTTGTAAATGTTGCTTTATATTTGGCTGGTTTAGAATCCACACGAAATCCACACCTTACATTTGATTGATATATCTCTTCGGATTCTTTTAGTCTATAGGTTGTTCCTCCTGCCTGACCCCTGTGCATGTGTTTCAGTTTCTTCGTTGAAATTGGGCTTGCTTTCTCCTGCAGCTTCCTCCTGTCTTGACTTCGCTGAATCCATCCCTGTGGTATCTACCATGTTCTATAACCTCGGTGTTTCTTATAAACTGATAGGTGGATGTAGAGTCTTAATATAACTCCGATTTCAATTTGTAATAATATTATCTCCAGGCATTGTTGTATGGTTCCATCAGCAGATGGGGACAGTGTGGTTGTTCATCATTTTGTGAGCAGCCCCTGGTAATTATTACCTGGATCTTTTATCTGTCTACCTGTTATTACTGTAATTCCTTTATTTAGTAGGGGAATATTTCTATAAACAGAAACTTTTCCTTCTCAGCTATTCTTGCCAGTTACTCTGAGGTATACAGTTCATATGGAAAGTGTAGGCCAAATGCTTAATTTCATCTGTTTCTTTATCAGTTTTGTTTTTGTTTCTTTTTTTTTTTTCTTCTTCTTCCCTTTTGAGACATGGTTTTACTCTGTCACCTAGGCTGGACACCCAGTGCAGTGATGCAATCTTGGCTCGCTGCCAAGACCTCCTGGGCTCAAGCATCCTCCCATCTTAACCTCCCAAGTAGCTGGGACTACAGGCGCACACCACCATGCCCAGCTAATATTTGTATTTTTGCAGAGACAGGGTTTTGCCATATTGCCCAGGCTGGTCTCAAACTCCTGAGCTCAAGTGATCCACCCACCTTAGCTTCCCAAAGTGCTGGTATTACAGGCATGAGCCACCATGGCTAGCCTCTTCCTTTATTGGTTTCAGAAAAAATAAGTTGGTTTTCTGGGGCCACATCCTCACGGTTCATGTTTACTGTTTTTTTTTTTTTTCTTTTTAAAAGATATCATTAAGAACTCACAAACATCAACATAGTTATTACTGCAGCCGGTTGCATTATTCTTCTTACTGATGTTTCAGTTGCCCCACATTTGAATAACCAGACCCCTCTAAGCTGACTCCTGAGAGCTGTTGGTAGCAGCATCCTCACTTTCTGCTGTGACAGTGTGTTTCATGCTCTTCTAATATATTTTCTGCCCCATACCTGGAATCAGTCATTTCTCAAAGTAGCCTTGCCCCTATTAATGGGAAAGGGTATTCAGAGACCACTATTTGGAATTATTGCTTTTATTTTGCAAATGCTTAAAGTAAGTTAACATCAGGAGCACGCTGGCTCTAAATTCAGTTTTCACAGCTATGTCTGAAAATGTAGTGAGTCTACCCTTGATTATCCGAGTGATTAATCTTTCCAAGGGTACCAATAAATGTGGGTTCTCCTTGCCAATTCAGATTTTCCTTTATTTGGACTCTGATGAACTTCTTACAGAACTGTAGCCTGACGTTTCTGTGGGCACTGTGACTGTGTGTTGGATGAGGTCTTACTTGGCAGGTGTCAGAAGCAATGATGGGCAGATCTGCTTGTCTGCAGTAGGATGCCAGAACACAGTGACCACTGTGCTTGTGTTGAGTTGTGGGTTTTTGTTTGTTTTTTTTTTGCTTTTTTTGTTTATGGGTACAGATAGTTAGGAAGCAATGGTATCTCAATGAGTTTAACATTTTCTTTTGCCCCCTGCGAAATTGAGTGCCAGGAAATTGGGCTCAACCATTGTGTTGTCTTCAGTAGGCAAATTGGGTTGGGGGGCTGGAAATTGGTCACAGTCATGGTGCTAAGTTTTGAAGAGGTTTTTCCTAGTGTGGAATGTCTGAGCATGAGCTTGGTCTTCCCTGACAGTGGAATTGGCTCCAGCTTTGCAGACCTTATCAATCCTGTTACCAGTGCATCCTACATTTCATCTCCCAAAGCTGGCTTCATCAGTGATCTGTGAAGTGTGATGCAGAACCATTGAGGCATGGAAAACAAATGGGGACCTTTGATCAACATGGGGATTAGGGGAACAACAATTATTAAAAAAATATCAGGACTTAACATATCTGTATTTTATTATCTCACATTGTAAAATTTCCTATTCCTTGTATATGTTTAATAATGTTTGTATTAGTGGAATTGAGCATTTAAATGATCATTAAATAAAAGTCCTATACAGCTGCATGCTCAGAAAGATTTTCCTAACAGGGCTATGTTATCAAGAAAGTTTGGAGGCACTGGACCTGCTTTCTGGTCACTTTTTCTGCATCTTTTCTTGGGCAGTCTTTTGATCCATTCTCCAGTTTAGTCAAGTGATCGTTTAGTAATTCACATCTCTCTTCCTTCTACCTCCATGCTTAAAAACCTTCAGCAGCTTCCCAGTACGGTTAAGAATACTGGTATGTTTTGTTCAAGTGTATAAGAATTGTTTTGTGTCTTTGCAGCCTTGTCTCTTCTACCTCATGACTAGCACGCTGGGCCTCTGAATTTCTTGGATGAGTCTTCTTCCTGCTTAACTCTAGGCACTCTCTTTTCCCTTTGTCTGGTAAAACTTCTCTTTGGTGCTCTCCTGTCTAGCCTTACTTATGCCATAGGCATCTGGTCAAGTAACAGTTTCTTCAGTAGGTGTTTCCGGATTCCATAGAGTTGCTACATAATCCTGTAGTGCTGTGTATTTTTGGTGACTACGGGAGAGTAGGGAATTTGTGTGGGTTCTCTAGATCCACTGCTGTGTTGGGAAATGTTTAATAGCCGGCTCTCTGAAAACCGCAGAAACCTGGCTTTGTCACATTTTCCCATTTCCATGGTGTAAATATGAGTATTATGGCCAGATTCAGGCTACCAAATTGATGTCACTGAATGTTGAGTTGGGATGAGATGCATGGTAGCAAACTGTAATATGGTATTTCCATGATAATAGATGGAGAAGGTGCATCATGTGTGTAGATACTAATAAAATATAGTAAAATAATTCGAACGTGAAGATTTTTGAGTATTATCTTTGTTTTAATATAGTTTAGTTGGAAGTTTATGTACTATAATTTTCTTTTCTTTTTTTTCTTTTTTTTTTGAGACAGAGTTTCGCTTTTGTCGCCCAGGTTAGAGTGCAATGGCACTATCTTGGATCACTGCAGTCTCCGCCTCCCAGGTTCAAGTGATTCTACTGCTTCAGCCTCCCGAGTAGCTGGAATTACAGGTGCCTGTCACCACAGCCAGCTAATTTTTGTATTTTTAATAGAGATGGGGTTTTACCATGTTAGCCAGGCTGGTCTGGAACTCCTGACCTCAGGTGATCCGCCTGCCGTGGCCTCCCAAAATGCTGAGATTACAGGCATGAGCCACCATGCCTGGCCTGTATTATAATTTTTAATAATTTTATTTAACCATCAACTCTCAGAAATTCCTGAAAATTTAATAATTCTCTCTCATGCAATGGTAGGAGCCAGGAGTAGAGATCCCCTGTGCCACACGCAGACAGGTCACATTTTTTTGAATTGATTGAAGACATTGGAATAAGGTAATGTATGCATGTGCTTCCATTTTTGGGCATTTACTTTGCTTTGCATTATCAACTTATTCTTTTATAACTTGCATGTCTTGCATTGTACTAGCTTTTATATGAGGAGAAGTATGTATCACAGAGGGAAATATGCACAAATGCAGCCAGATACTCAACACCACTCCAGTAGTGCAACTGATTGACTAAGGCATTAACATTGATCTAATGAAGTTCAGTGGCAGGTGGTTGGCTCAGAAAAATGAATTATAATACATTAATCTTGCTTTGTGGATATACAAGGTAGACAGAAAAAATGGTAAACACTTTCGTTCTTGGAATTCCCATTTTGCTATTCATTCCCTCATTTTCCAATCATTGAGAGGTGAATTATCAGAAAAACGCTTTAGCGATATTTGCCTGCAGCTACTATATTGGTAGTTTTGACTGAATTACTTAATCGATTCGACCTAAGTTTCTAAATTGACTAAGTGTTTGACTGAAAAGATTCTTTGGAAGAAAATACAGATGATTTCACAAGATTATAGTGACATATCGTGTGAAAGTGTAGATTAAGGGTACCCAACACATTTCTGTTAATCCAAGTAAATGTTTCTGATCAGGATATAAGAGTAAATGCCATCAGGGTTACAAAAGCTGGTGTAAAATTTAGACATTTTAATAGCCATGTGGTAGGACATTTCAAATATTATTTTCTAAAGGTTAACTGTCAATATTTAGGTCCTATAAAGAAAAAGTTTTAAAATGCTTTAGAATATAGTATTTATTTTGTAAGCAATCTTTCTAGACAGAACAGCCCTTCTATATTTTATTTCCAAAAATCAAAAGCTGTTAGGGACAGAAGTTTTTAAGATAGAAGGTAAGCCCTTTTTGTTATAGATGAGGAAACTAGAGCCATGCGTGAATGTGGACAGCCTTGTTCTGTTTGAATCGGTGTTTTGAAGTGTGTGGTTTACCCTGTGAATTAAGACCTGAGCAGGTGCGAGCCTGTCTTTGCAGCAGATGATCTTCAGCCACATGCTTCGTCCTGTGCTAGCCCGTCATCCTGGATGACTCTTCTTTTTATGTTGATTCAATGTATGGTAATGTTTGCAGAGAAAACTAACGAGGCATATTAGAAATCCGTACTAATGTAGATACATTTTGTAAAATCAAATAAGATTGATCACCATCCCTACTTAATTCAGAGCAAAGGAAGGGAATCTAATTTTTCTCTTTTTCCACACCTCGTTTGCTGTAATGAAAATGGCATTCTGCTTTGAATCATTTCCAAGGAAATGATTTTCAATATTGTTGTCTGTGACATTTTGACAATTAAAATGCATTTCTTAAGCCTACTGGAAATGCTGCGATGCTTTTTCTTGTTTTCATTTTTTTTCCCCCCAGTGGTTCTATCTGTGCTTGTTGCCTAGGAAACCACGACTGGGTTGAATTCTGTTTGCCTGGTTGTCTGACAGACTGGCAAAGTTATGGATAAAGTTCTTGGCTTTAGAGTTGTAAAAGTGCTACTTAAATAACAGAAACATTTTATCAATATTAAAGTGCTTTATCTCCTCAATTAAAAAGCAGCCAAGCATTTGTTTGGTTTTCTTAAAATGCTAAATAGAGAATTATTGTTTTCCTTGATTATTATTGAAACTTCCTGTTTTGTATACAAATTTGCAATAGGATTTGAATTGTCACAGTGAGCTAGTTCTAAATATAGCACTTTAATAAAAAAATGCTTCTGTAAATTTGTTTACTTCCTTGGGGAGTCATGTGCATGTGTTATCATTCCCAAGAGGGACAAACATAAACATATTTCATGAAAAAATTCAAAGAGGTGTTAGAAAATGCAGATTATTTTGCCCTATGTTTGATAAGTAGAAAAACAATTATTTCTATATAACTTTTTCAAATTAAAGTTAGAAAGAAGTAGTGGAAATCCCTCAGATCTTTTCTGAGTTGATAGAACTGAGAGTATATAGTTAATGGTTATTTAATTATACTTTAGCTAAATTCAGTGTCCTTGCTTAATACTAAAAAATTAATTACATTGCTTAATACTAAAAAAATTTCAGAGAGATGTGTTTTTGGATGATCCTGTGACCACTGACTCCATGAAGCTGTAGAGCCCTTGAAATGAGGCAAGGGTAACTGAGGAGCTGAATCTAAATAGCCGGTGTGGCTAGTGACTCCATCGTCTGGGGACTTGATGGAAATGCAGAGTCTCAGGCCCCATCCAGACCTATTCATTCAGAATCTGTATTTTTCATGAGGTCCCTTAGGGCTGATATGCAATGCTGTCTCTTCTAGAGCAATAATTCTCTTCTAGAGCTGTCTTGGCTGCATGTTACAATGACCTGAAGAGCTTGTGAAAGTAATTCCTGGGCTTCTTCCTAGACCAAATTTTCAGTATTTCTGATGGGGATCCTGGAACCAGCATTTTACAGAGTATTCCCACGTCATTTTAATGACTGGTGAAGTGTTAGAACCACATATATAACTCAAAGAGTATACAAACAAGTGTGACGTTTGGATGGGGAGGTCTTAAGTACTGCCCTGGATTTTCCACTTTTTGTTGAGGTTAGTATAGGAACAGTATATGTAAGAAAGAGTTAGTCTGTACTGAGTGCTAAGTATATTATCTTAAATTGACTAAACATTTGACTGGGAAGACTCTTTTGGTGAAAATACACAAGACTATATTGACAGGCTGGGCGTGGTGGCTCATGCCTGTAATCCCAGCACTTTCGGGAGGCAAAGATGTTAGTGACATACTTTGTGAATGTATAGATTAAGGGCACCCAACGCATTTCTGTTAATCCCAGTAAATGTTCTGACATAGATATGAAGCACGAGCATTTTGTTTTGTGTACACACACCCTCTCCCTCTGTCTCTCTCTCTCTCTCTCTGTAATGTGCCCTTCCTTCAATGTACCACTCCCCATTTCTTCTCACAAATCCCCTAATAATAAAATAAATTGTGATGAATTTTCTGTTTGCTCGTCTTAGCTAAAGGGAACTTATTTCATTCTTAAAATGTTTTTCATGGTCTTTCTTTTTCCCTGTGAAGAATGATTACAAGATCCAAGCATGAGATGAGTCATTGTCTAATGAATAGTGTCTTTTCTTCCAGCTCTGACTTGCAGTGTGGTTGAGTTCAGCTAATGTGCATTTACTGCACTCCTACCGTGTGATGGCAGTGATGGTAGATGTAGGTGAGAAAGGTGCAAATAAACCAGAGAGTCTTTCTTTCAGTTCTTGGTGTTCCTGGATTTCATGCATACTGGATAGGAGCATGTTTTCTGTGGCTTGACGACTGAGGCTTGGATTTTTATCTCCACTAATTATTGTTAGATTAACTTTTGCCAGGATATCTTATCTCTGTAACACCAAGTCTTCATACCTGTAAAATAGGAATACCTATAAAATGGGAATAATAATAGAACCTATTTTATAGCCTTATTCTGAGGATTTGATCAGTCATGACATTAAGGTTCTTAGCATATACATAACCCATAGTGAATGCTCAACAAATGTTAGTGATTACAGACTTAATTGGCTCATTATAAATGATCAAGGCATGTTTACTTTTACATTACTCTTTCCTTAAGGAGGAGAATGAATGGTTTAGATTAGCTATGAAAGATCTCTGCACTTTGAAGGTAATATAAACAGACACGCAGCCATATGTTTCAGAGCCATGAAGTCTTATTGCTGCCTTGGAGCAACCAGTTGGTGCCAAATGGCTTTATTAATCGCCAGTGTGTACAGGGTTGTGTGGTAAGGAATTAATTTGAAACTGGAACAGTTAAGACAGAGAAGTGGATAATGAGCCATTTGAATGTTTTTAAAGTGCTTCCGTCATACTCCCCCTGTAGAAAATAAAGCTTTTCAACTTCCGGCAGCATCCGATCCTTTACTTCATTTTTGTTCCTAGCACTGATCTCTTCGTGGCGTAGTCTGTGTTCACATGTGTATGCTTTGTCCTGTCCTCACCAGAATGGAACATCCTGGAGGGATTATTGGCCTTCCAGTTCAAACGATTCTTCTGCCTCCTGCCTCAGCCTCCCTAGTAGCTGAGACTACAGGCATGCACCACCACGCCCAACTAATTTTTGTATTTTTAGTAGAGACAGGGTTTCACCATCTTGGCCAGGCTGGTCTAGAACTCCTGACATCACATGATCTTCCCACTTCAGCCTCCCAAAGTTCTGAGATTACAGGCTTGAACCATTGCGCCCAGCTGTAGATATTTGTCTTTGGAAGAAAGACTTTGTAAACCTCCTTAGAAAGCTTTTAGTGGGGCGGGCAAGCGGCGGGGCCATGCGCATGGCATGCTGGGCTGTGGGCGCTGGCTGCTGGGAACCCGGCAGAACATGGCCGTGCATGTGTGCTGAAGGGAGAGGTGGCCACAGAGATAGCGTGTTCCTCATGATCAAGTGCCACTGCATCACCATCTTCACAGATGCCAGGGTGTCTAGCATGGTGTTTGAGTTGAAGTGCATCGTCGAGGGCATCCTCAGCAGCTGTACAGGGATGACCAGCTCTTGGATGTTGGCAAGACGCTGGGAGAGTGTAGCTTCACCAGCCAAAGTGCATGGCCACAGCCCCGGCCACAGCGGTGCTGGGCTTCCAGGCGGACGACGGCCTTGAGGCCCTGCACATCCCATGGTTAGGAAGCCCCAGGACACAGGAAGCAGTGCTCACGAGCAAGCCGTGCACAGAGGGCACTCTGCGTGTCCGTGAGAGGCCCACTTCCCCCAGTAAAAGAGATTTAGATGTCGGGGGCAAAAAAAAAAGGGTTTTAGTACCATGAAGATTCATTTGCATCCCAGTGCCTGTGGTCCCAGCTGCTCAGGAGGCAGGGGTGGGAGGATCCCTTCTGCCTGGGAGGTTGAGGCTGCAGTGAGCCCAGATTGCATCACTGCACTCCAGCCTGGGTGACAGAGCGAGACTCTGTCTCAAAAAATAAATAAATAAAAATAAATAAATAAAATAAAAATAAAAAATTCATGTGCAAGATGAAAAGCCCAGCTCTGATAAAAATGAAGTATGGAGATTACAGTGGAAGTTTAACACCTCATAGTTGTAGAGAGGCTTGCTGCTGTGAAGTAATTGTTGATGGTCAACATACACTGGGATAATTATGAAATCTTGTAAAGTGCAGGAGCTTCAAACGCACATCCTGAGGTGACAGAAAACTGGCAAATGAAATTGGCAAATTGCTAGTCCCCAGGTAAGAGAAAAAGATTACGCTTTTATATAGTATTGTGGAGTAAAGGTTATAATAATAAAGAAATGGGGGAATAATGCTTGACAGTTACTGCTGTATTTGAATCCTTAATAAAATAATAGAAGACAAATGTCAAAGGAGAGGGCATTGAGCATTTAGAGAATATCTGCAATGCAATCAATAGTCAATGTCAATTTTTGAAAGACAAATTACTTGTTAGATGAAGTTATAATTTTAAAATTTAATTACATGATTGTTGAACTAAATTGGTAAAATGAAAGTGATATGAGGAATTTGGTGCAGATATACCTATAAAATTATATGTGAAGAATTAATTTAGATTGACTCCCACTCAGATATTCTCATAAGGGAGTCAGCACTGCATGAAGGACCATAGTGCAAAATTAATAGTTAAAAAAAAAAAAAAGTAAAACCTGGATGGGATTTCTAGCCAGGGAGTTTATCACCAATATTTGAAGCGGCAATTCTTTGTCCTTTTCCTGGTAGAAAACCCTTTTTTTTGTTCTCTGGGGCCTTCCAACATCTGTAATTGTTTCTTTGCTACAGAGATTGCCCTTTCAATACTTGAGACAATCAATGTGAAAAGGACAGAGATAGATGGAAGTCCTGTATCTCAAGATGGAAGTCATTCATTTTCTTAATTTATTTATACAGTAACACTTTAACAAACATTTTCTCGGTGTCCTTTGCTGGATTAAAAACTGGGGGTAGAATCACAAAATTTAATGAGGCAGACAGATGAGAAAGTACCAGATCTAAGTGAAGTCAAGCATGATTTCACTTAGTCTGTAGAAACCTTTTAAACTTCTCAGAGATGGCAATGCCTGCCCGGCCGACCTTAGAAAAGAGAGTGAGTGAGAAGAGGCCCAGAAGAGAGAACTTGGAAGCCTCTTTGGCCTTCTGTAGTTGCAGAGTGTTCCAGTTGAGTGTAAGGGTGCAGAGACATTGTTCAGCTCACAGAGGATACAAAAATGGTCTTGTGCCCCAAGCAGACCGAAAATTCTGAGTTATGACGTCTGATTTGTGGTTTACAAAAGGTATCATGAGTGCTTTGTAGAGGATGACTTGGAGACGGCCAGGCCTGGAGAGAGAGAATAAATCAAGCTGAGAAATGATGAGGATCCGTGACTGCCAGTATGAAGTTCACATTTTTAAAAATCACAGCTGAATTATATATGTGTACATATATAATATATTTATTTTATATATAGCAATTATATGTATATAGTATGACATAGCCCTGCTGCTCAGAGTCACAAAAGGGTAATGGTCACTCAGACCAGCAGCACTGATGTCACCAGGACAATGAAATGCAGAATTTCAGATCCTACCCATTCCAGACCTACTGAAGCTCTTTAACAAGATTCCTAGGTGGTTTCTGTGCACATCAACCTTTGACAGTCTCTGACTTAGAAGACACTGAGTTGCCTCATCCAAAGCTACCTTGTTTGCTTTGTCACCTTCTAATCACATTGTTTCCAATCACATCTGGTACAGCCATACTGAATTTCTTGTAGTTTCTTTAATTCTCTTGAATTTCAGTGTCTGGCTTTTGCACATGCAGTTTTCTCTGCTCATGTATTGTCTTCCTTCTGCCCCATTCATCTGGCCAGGCACCACCACCATTGCCCTGAAACAAAACCAAAACAGACTGTAAACAAAAAATAAAATTTTAAGACCCCTAACCAACTGAATGGACCCATTCTTGGCCAAGAACATACCAATGTAAACCTGAAAACTAGTTCGGGCCATGATGGGAAAGGGGGATTGGATGTACCTTTTTATACCCTCCTCCCTTTGGAATTCAGGTATTACTGACCAGCATTAACATTAAAACAGGCTGGCTCGTGCCTCTAATCCCAACACTTTGGGAGGTCATGGCAGGAGGATCACTTGAGCCCAGGATTTTGAGACCAGCCTGGGCAACATGACACTGTATCTACAAAAATAAGAAAATTAGCCACTCATCGTGGCACGCACCTGTAGTCCCAGCTGCTTGGTAAGCTGAGGCAGGAGGATCGTGTGAGCCTGGGAGTTCAAGGATGCAGTGATCTACGATCGTGACACTGCTCTCCAGCCTGGGTGACAAAGTAAAACCCTGTCTCAAAAAAAAAAAAAAAAAAAAAAACCCAAAACGTTTAAACAGCCACATTATAGTCTCTTTGTAGCAATAAAATATATAACAAAATGACAGGTAGCTGGACCTTAAAGAAATCAAAGTATTTTACCCCAAAATATATTTCTGTGATGTATTTTGAAATGGCCCCACAAATCTCTCTCGCAAGGAGTCTGACACCTTTTTAAGTCTGATTAAAAATCATTTACCATCTATTCTCCCTGAAGCCTGCTACCTGGAGGTTTCATCTGCATAGTAAGAACCTTGGGCTCCACAACCCCTTATATTAACCCAGATACTCCTTTCTGTTTATTCCAGATCTTTAGATAATAACTTAACTCTTTCAACCAATTGACAGTCAAAAAGCTCTGAATCTATGACCCGGAATCCCTTGCTTCATTGTCCTACCTTTCCAAACTAAACCAGTGTACACCTTACATGTATTGATTGATGTCTGCTTATAACTTCTGTCCCCTAAAATGTATAAAATCAAGCTGTAACAAATCACCTTGGGCAATTGTTCTCAGGATCTCCTGAGGCTGTGTTGGGGGCATATCTTTAACCTTGGCAAAAATGAACTTTTTTTTTTTTTTGAGACAGAGTCTTGCTCTGTCTCCCAGGCTGGAGTGCAGTGGCATGATCTTGGCTCACTGCCGCCTCTGCCTCCCAGGTTCAAGGGATTCTTGTGCCTCAGCCTCCCGAGTAGCTGGCGTTACAGGTGGGCACCACCACGCCCGGCTAATTTTTGTATTTCTAGTAGAGATGGGGTTGCACCATGTTGGTCACACTGGTCTCGAACTCCTGACCTAAGGTGATCTGCCTGCCTTGGCCTCCCAAAGTGTTGGGATTACAGATGTATGCCACTGTGCCCGGCCTAAACTTCTAAATTGATTGAGACTTGTCTCGGATACTTTTAAGGGCCTGGCCTCTGTGGATATGACAGTGAAAGGTGAGGTTGTCTAGGAGTGGGTTGCCAATGAGGAGGAAGGTCCTAAAACCTAGGAGGGCAGCATGGCAAACACAATGACACGATCTGGCAGCCACGAAAGGAGCTTGTGGAGGAGTGGTCAGAGGCTTTCCACAAGAGGTGGCCTGCAGGAGAATGCAAAAGGTTCATAGGTAAAATTTAGCAGTTATTTTTCACTTGAAGTCTTTGCTAAAGCTCTTAAAGACAGTGCCTCTCTTAGATGTTCCTGTAGTGCTGTGTACTTATGAAGCAGCAGGATCACGCTGAAGTGCTGGATCATGTCTACATTCTCCAGGGCACTGAAAACTTCACGAGGGCAGAGACCAGGTCTATGTTGTATATTATGAGATCCTAGGGACATGGGGCTCAAAAATATGGGTTGATAAAGGGAAAGACATTTATGGCACTCTTGGCAAAACAACAACAACAACAAACAACAACAACAAAAACTATGTTAGTTGAGTACTCGAGAGGAGCAATGAAACAGCACACTCCTGTCAAAAGATTGCCTATGAAGAAAATAAGCACAAGAGCAGTATCTGGAATGGAATCTGACAGAGGGAGTGGTATAGTTCCTTTAAAGATTTATGAGAGTCGTTCATTTAGCAAATATTTACCTAAAATTCTCATGCTTTGTGAAGTCCGTATTTGTGATTTTAGCTGTTTGCTAAAATTTATTTGTAGCTCCTAAATTAATACTCGGGGCACCTTTGTGCTCATTCATGAACATGTGTTGGATGGCAAACAGTTTGAGTCACTTGACTAATATGTTTCCAGTTGAGGCTGAAGAATGGGAAACTGCCTTCTTGCTCTGGTTTTCATATTTTAAAAAAGTGTCCTTTTCATGGGCTATTTGGTGCCATGTTTTTCGTGCTTTTTGCTGGTGATTTTGCTGTTAAAATGGCGCCCAAGCATAATACCAACATGATGTCTAGCATTCCTAAGCACAGTTAGTCTGTGATATACCTTCCGGAGAAAATATATTATTAGGTAAGCTTTGTTCAGGTATGAGTTATAGTCCTGTTAGCCGTGAGTTTAATCAGCAATATATATTAATTAAGATGTCTTTATACAGATCACACCTAAGGCAAGGCTCTGTATTGAATGGTGAACAACAGGGTTGTGGTCAGAGGCTCCACCTAACCTTGTATTTCTCCTAGGAGCAGTGGTTGAGTATTTGCTAATTCAGTGTTTACAGTTACTTTATATAACATAACTATTGTGCAAAACTAGAATCAACTGTATTTAGTTTTCCGGGCACTGTTTTGGGCACTGAGGGTGAGACAGTGAGGAAGAAAGATACGTTCTATCCCCTTGTGGGTCTTACATTCTATCTGGGGCTGTTGGCCATATGGAAATAGAAAGGTAGCACATCTCCTACTCAGCACATATATGAGGAAAAGCAATATTATAAATAACAATAGCATAAGCTTCCCCCCTTTTTTCTGTTTTTTTTTCTCTCTCTTTTTTTTTTTTTTTTTGGTGACAGAGTCTCACTCTGTCGTCCAGGCTTGAGTGCAGTGGCATGAAATGGGCTCACTGCAGCCATGACCTCCCAGGCTCAAGCAATTATCCTGCCTCATCTTCCAGAGTAGCTGGGACCACAGATGCGTGCCACTGTGCCTAGCTAATGTTTGTATTTTTTGTAGAGACGAGGTCTCACTATGTTGCCTAGGCAGGTCTCAAACTCCTGGGCTCAAGTGATCCACCTGCCTCAGCCTCCCAAAGTGTCTTTTTTCTTTCTCATGTTTTGTTCATTTTTGTTTATCATCTGCAAGAGAAACACATTTTTGTTTGTTTGTTTTCTGAGATGGAGTTTCGCTCTTCTTGCCCAGGCTGGGGTGCAGTGGTGCGATCTTGGCTCACCGAAACCTCTGCCTCCCAGATTCAAGCTATTCTCCTGCCTCAACCTCCTGAGTAGCTGGGATTACAGGCATGCACCACCACACCTGGCTAATTTTTTTTTTTTGTATTTTTAGTAGAGACAGGGTTTCTCCATGTTGGTCAGGATGGTCTTGAACTCCCGACCTCAGGTGATCTGCCCGCCTTGGCCTCCCAAAGTGCTGGGATTACAGGCGTGAGCCACTGCACCTTGCATTTTTTTTTTTTAATTTTAAGGAAAATAGCTCACTCTTACCTGTTCACATGCCCCTCTATCCTCCCTCTAACTTGCTTCTTTTTTCTTCTCTCAGTTTCTTTCCACCTTATATTCCCCTGGTCTCAGCTTCAATCTCCTCATTGCTCATTAAGGTATGTTTCTGAAAGTACAAAAAGAATCTAGAAAAATAATTCCATAATATTCTCTCAGTGAAAGTCTCTGGTACCAGGTATGTAAATACCTTTAGTTATTTTCATCTGGGCTTCTCATGGTATTTAGTACTCTTCTAACTGTCCCTGTTGGACATTTACTAACATTTGCCTTTTACCTGTCCTGAGCCAGTCGCTGGGGAGTAGCAATCTGTTAGAGGATTTGTTCCTTTTTGAATGGTCAGAGGCCTGGGGCAGGGGCTCACACCTGTAATCCCAGCGCTTTGGGAGACCGAGACAGCAGGACTGCTTGAGGCCAGGAGTTTGAGACCAGCCTTGGTAATATAGCGAGACCCATTAATTTAAAAAATAGAAACATTAGCCAGGTCGGGCATGATGACTCATGCCTGTACCAGCACTTTGGTAGGCTGAGGCGGGAGGATAACTTGAGGCCAGGAGTTCAAGACCAGCTTAGACAACGAAGTGAGACCCTGTCTCTACAGAACATAAAAAAATTAGCTGGGCATGGTGGGGGGCACCTGTGGGTCCAGCTACATGGGAGGCTGAGGCAGGAGGATTCCCTGAGCTCAGGAGCTCAAGGATGCAGTGAGCAATGATGGTGCCACTGCAGTCCACTCTGGGAGGCAGAGTAAGATGCTGCTTCAAAAAAAAAAAAAAAAAAAAGATAAAAATTAGCAGGGCACAGTGGTGTGTGCCTGTAGCTGAGCATGGTGGGGGGCACCTGTGGTCCCAGCTACATAGGAGGCTGTGGCGGGTGGATTGCTTGAGGCCAGGAGTTAAGGCTGCAGTGAGCTATGATTGTACCACTCTACTCCCATTTGGGAGACAGAGCAAGACCCTGTCTCAAATAAATGAATGAATGGTCAGAATGGGATTCACTTTAGAGTGATTTTTTTTTTCTACTTTTCTACAGTAAATGACTCTCAACATCTTGGCCCCATATTTATTAGTTTTGAAAATCACTAGGATAATGATGTCTAGTTAGATGCTAATCAAATATGTATTGGTTGAAGTAGCTGGATGGTAGCTCTCCCATAGCAAAATAAGGACACCAAAATATATATAAAAGAGGAAAAGTCATTGTTGTGAACTGCTGCTTTCCATTTGCTCTCTGGGTGGCCAGATCACTCCCTGATGTGTCTGGCAGGGGCTCAACTAACTTTTCCCCTGAACTGTACTGGCTTAGCAAAGGACCTGGGGATACCACGTTTTTATGCACAGGATTCAGTAGCCAATGCCTGTTTTGATAAGTAGCTGGTCATTTACATCATTGCCTCAGGCCAGGTCCTTCACTCTCGCCTGAGAGGCAGGAAGAGAGAAGTCAAAGGCTTTTCACCTCTGATGTCCATTTCTTATGCCCCTTAACCACTCTGTTCTACCCTGGGGATGAAAGGAAAGGAGTCCCTGAACACACACTGGGGCCTACATGAGGGTGGAGAGAGGGAGAGGGAAAGGGAGGAGGGTGATGATAAAAATAAATAAATAAATAAATAAATAAAACAACTGTTGGATACTATGCTTATTACTTGGTTGGTGAAATATTCTGTACACCAAACCTGTGACACAAAACTTACCTGTATTAGAAACCTGCAGGGGCTGGGCGTGGTGGCTCACACCTGTAACCCCAGCACTTTGGGAGGCTGAGGCGGGTGGATCACCTGAGGTCAGGAGTTTGAGACCAGCCTGGTCAACATGGTGAAACCCCATCTCTATTAAAATTACAAAAATTATGCAGATGTGGTGGCAGGCACCTGTAATCCCAGCTACTTGGGAGGATGAGGCAGGAGAAGAGCTTGAACCTGAGAAGCGGAGGTTGCAGTGAGCCGATATCGCGCCACTGCACTCCAGGCTGGTGACAGAGCAAGACTCCGTCTCAAAAAAGAAAAAAAAAAAAAAAAAAAGAAAAAGAAACCTGCAGATGTACCCCTGTAGCTAAAATAAAAGTTTAAAATAAAAATAAAATATTGGAATACATCTATTTAAAAAACGAATTGGGAAGTATTTTTGTTCCTGACTGATATATCTTAGCCAACTTTAAAACATTTTGTTCCTACTTTGTTGGGGTGTGTGTCTAGAGTGGATGAGTTGTAAAAATGAATAGAGTCAATACTTGTCCTCTAGTTGAATAACTGGCCGATGCTGTTAAAAGTAGAAACAGGTTGGGCGAGGTGGTTCATGCTGGTAATCTCAAGGCTTTAGGAGGCTGAGATGGGAGTTTCACTTTGAGGCCAGGAGTTTGTGACCAGCCTGGGCCACACTGTGAAATCCTGTTTTTACAAAAAATAAAAAATTAATTAACCGGGAGTAGTGGTGTCCACCTATAGTCTCAGTTACTGGTGCAGCTGAGGCTGGAGGAGCACTAAGCCCAGGAGTTCCAGGCTGCAGTGAGCTGTGATCTTGCACTGCACTCCAGCCTGGGTGACAGAGCAAGACCTTGTCTCTAAAAAGACAAAAAAGGAGAAGCAAGGTGCAGTAGGAGAAAGAGGCAGAGGAATTTTACTAGTACGTCTGAGCTGGATTGTTTCCTTTGATCCTCCACACCTATCTGTGCTCTGCTCCATATGCCAAGAGGCCAGCCCCTCACACTGACTGTCCAGGCTCTATGCCGTCTGCCTTGTGCCTGCAAGGACTGCAGCAGCAGGGCATTGACAGAAGTGGAAAGATGGAAAAGGCAGGCTTATTCAGCCTTCCTGGCTGTGGCTTTTGTGCAGCTGTGGCCCTCTGGGGAATGTCACAGCTCCCCTTGCCTCATGTGAGCAGAGGGCACTATACCCTTTGTTGTCATTCCTTAATCCTGCCATATATTAGAAACAGTCTTTCTGCTAAACTGTCCTCAAAGACCCCTCTCTGAGTCCGCAAAACACTTGGTGCCAGGACACAAATACTAGATCTGATGGGTTGGAGGAGGTGCTGTCATTTGAGGAGGACTTGTAGAGTACAGGACACACTGAAGTGGGTGGAGAGGAGGGCAAAGGTTCCTGATAATGGAAGTTGCAGCACTGGTGCGCCATGCAGTTGTCTACTGTGGTGCATGTTCAGGGAGCTGTCTGTGTGGACAGGCTACAGGGCACCGGCAGTGGCTGTAGGGGCTAAACATTGGGTGATAAGAAGAATATTATCGGAAATAATGTTAGGAAGGTACCCTAAGTCTCGATTGCGGCAGGCCTTGACATTGAGAATTTGCAACTGGGATTTTGTTTAACTCTTTGTGCTTTAAAAAAAATTTAAAGGCTGGGTGCCGTGGCTCACGCGCCCCAAAGTAATCCCAGGACTTTGGGAGGCCGAGGTGGGCGGATCATGAGGTCAGGAGATAGAGTCCATTCTGGCTAACACAGTGAAACCCTGTCTCTACTAAAAATACAAAAAATTAGCCGGGCGTGGTGGCAGGCGCCTGTAGTCCCAGCTACTCGGGAGGCTGAGGCAGGAGAATGGCGTGAACCCGGGAGGTGGAGCTTGCAGTGAGCCAAGATTGTGCCACTGCACTCCAGCCTGGGCGACAGGGCGAGACTCTGTCTCAAAAAAAAAAAAAAAAAAATTAAATTTGAGCTAATCATAGAATCTGATGCAGGTATAAGAAATGATACAGAGAGATTCATTTCAATGATAAGATTTTGAGAAAAGTTCCTGTTCTGTCACAACCACAATATTAACATTTATATAACATTAATATACAGCCTTTATATAAAATGTATACAATCTTATTCAGATTTTTTCTTGTACTCAGGTGAGTGTTTAGAAGATTTTTGATCAGAGTGGTTATATTGTCAGTTTCAGAGTGAGAATTGTAATGGTATAGATTTAATATGCCTCAGAAAAATGCTTGGCTTTTGGATGGAAACATTAATATGTCATTAGAAAATTGCATATATTCACGCCTGTAATCCCAGCACTTTGGGAGGCCCAGGTGGGTGGATCACCTGAGGTCGGGAGTTTGAGACCAGCCTGACCAACATGGAGAAAACCTGTCTCTACTAAATATACAAAATTAGCTGGGCGTGGTGGCACATGCCTGTAATCCCAGCTACTCGGAAGGCTGAGGCAGGATAATTACTTAAACCTGGGAGGCGGAGGTTGCAGTGAGCCGAGATCGCACCATTACACTCCAGCCTGGGCAACGAGAGTGAAACTCCGTCTCGAAAGAAAATTGCATATGTTTTTTTCCCCTTGACTTTATTTTCCCTCCTTATGTGTGTTGGATTCAGTGCAACCATTGAAAACATCCTGTTATCCACAGAAATGTATCTTAAACTTACCATTAAATCACCTGTTGTTTCAAGTGCAACATATAGGCATCTTGTACTTTTGATACGTTTTATTTTTGTCTGGATAGCAATGTGATCAGATCTGAATTGCACAGAGTCAATTACCAAGTACTCCCAATGCAGCTGGGTCTTCTTGGAGTATAGTGATTGACCTAGCCCTTAAACTATGTTTGTGGTGCTCATTGCACTTATCTGTAAAATGTAATATTTCAGTTTATCACTAAGCATCTTCCAACCATAGTATCCTGTATTTATTGCTTATATAGAAAAAAAATTTAATAACAAGGTGATAAGATTCATTTTTATATCCTTCTCTCTGAGTCATTTGTTGCTTTTCAAAGCTTATTTCTTGCCCTGCCTTCCACAAATTTCTTCCAAAGATTCTAGGAAATAAATGAAGTATGGATAAATACCTTTATGAAAAGGAGTAACACATATCTGAAGGTTGGTTTTGCAATCGTGATGACAGGTTTGTATCCCCACAGCATGTGATAATAACTTGGTTCTTCCCATGGTTAGATGTCTCTTTAGGAAATGTATGATTGCCCTGAAGATGGGAGAGAGACAGTTTTCATTTTGCATGAAGAGTAATTTTGCTGTTTGTATCATAAGTTCTAAAAGCACACATGTAACTGCATATTATATTTAGATTCGATTAAATACCTTGATGATTTATGCCTGTCTTCTTGGCAGAGTTTTATTCATTGCCTTAAGTGGTTAAATAGTTGAAAAACGACTTGAAGAATGAAGGAAGAGAGACATTGGGCAAGTTGATGAGAAGAAAGGGTGGGATATTTAACAGTTAAAAATGTATATGTCTGCCCTTTGGTATTTGCTCTAATTCATAATTAGATCACCATTTCTTCCACTTATTTAAAAGGCACCTTACCTAGAGAGAGACATCAATATTTACAGTGCATTAGTGCCATGGAGAATTTCAGATCTTGTGATGAAGGTTTATTGCTGTTTTATCCCCTCTTCAAAGCAGTGTACACATCAAACAGTCTCCACCCTCATTCTGGACCCAGTGACATCGCACCAGTCGCTCTGTGCTTCATGCAGCAGCTTAATTATTGAAGATCCTTGTCTTTGAATTTTCTTTTTAATATTTCAGAGGATATACTTTGAAAATCTATATATTAAATAAATCAGAAGATTATGGGATTAGAAAGTTTTATCATATTTTAAAATGCATCAGTTTTGCTAAAATTTGAGATAAGGAGTGGCCATAATGTGACCAAATTACCTTAAATGAGAAGCTCCTATTATTTCTAATTACTGTAATGAACACAAATTACATCAGATTATTAATAATGCTGAAATAGGCCATGGGCCCCAGAAACGTAGCAAATCATAGGTGAGAAGATCATGTTTTATTCATCCGAGGCCAAAGCAAAATTACCTTCTTTATGCAATGTTATATTAGTCAGGACAGTTAGAGGTGGGGAACCTTTTAGGTGAACTTTTAGATGAATCAGGCAGTTGTGTTTCATGATTCATTTTGTTGATAAGGCCACATATTTATATGAATGTCTTTCCTTAAAATAAGGTGAAACTCGTGAAAAGATCTCATGCCATTTGTGACTACTACTGCACCATTCTCTAGAACTCTGTGTTGCTTGTCGTACTTTGACCTGTTGGGAGTTACCCTGAGCATGGCTGCTGAGACTGCTTTGCAGTGCTTTTATGTTTTTTTCTAGTACATTTTTCATAAATTATTATTCTCTCAGGATGAGGTTTGGTGGATGATCACTGGTTGGGGGTATATGAACATATGTGTACTCGCACCTTTTTGGTATTAAAGGGAACTTCTAAACCCAGCAATGCAGCCTCTGAATTTATAAATTAGGGATGGAGGCCCAGAGAGGTGACTGATGTGCCAGTATCACAGGTCTAGGCCAGTGGTTCTTAGCGTGTGGTCTCTGGGCCCTAAGGGATCACTAAGATCATTTCAGGAAGGCCATAAGTGCAGTACTGTTTTCAGAGTATTATGAAACGCGATTTTGTGTTGTTCACCGAGTTGACATCTACATCAGTGGTGCCCAGGACCTGAGGGGCAAAAATGTAGAGATCACTTGGCACAAATCAAGACGGTGGCACCAAATGTATTCTTTACCCCACACACTCGCAGTGTTTTTAAAAGCCATTTTCACCCACTGTTTTTGATGAAGAAACAAAATTAATTACTTAAAATCTGACACTTTAATATACAATTTAACATTTTGTGTGATGATGTCGGCATAAAACACTTCTCCAACATATGGAAGCTCAGTGGTTCCTTTTTAAATTTTAATTTTATTTTATTTTTGTTGAGGTAAGGTCTCACTGTGTTGCCCAGCTTGGCCTTGAACTCCTGGGCTCAAGTGATCCTTCTGCTTCAGCCTCCTTCAGTAGCTAGTGTTACATTCGTGAGCCACCACGCCCAGCTTCTCAGTGGTTGTCTTGAGAAATACTTTTATGCGAAGGCTTGATTTACATGGTGAGGTTTTCTCATAGAACAGCGTTTTCATTTGAAATACGGACAGAAAAACTGGTTATTCAGACCTGAGTGTCTGGCAGAGAGTTTATTAAAAATGAGTGACACAAGCCTGTCACTGTAAGGCAAAAAATGGGCAATATTTGTTGCTAAAGATAAAATTCAAACTTTCTAGGTAAAATTAGGTTTTGGAAAACTTATGTCCCACTGTGAGCATGACTGCTTCCCAGTACATAAAGATATTTCTGATTAAATTGGCAGAGATATTAACATGTGATTTTCTGAAATAAAGAAATGTATCAACATTTGGAAGATTGGCATAACTCAGTAACTAATATTTTCCAAATGACTAATGTTATGGAATTTCTCGTGGGTAGAAGTTTAATTCAAAATGTGAGACAAATAGATTTTAATGTAACAAAGAAAGAAAACTTCACATTCACATTGTAGCTGACCTTTGAGAAACCACCACTGGTCGAGTTATGGTGTGGTATCACAGAAGAAAATCTAAAATTTTCTGGAAAAGCTATTAAGATATTATTCCCTCTTCCAGCTACATATTTGTGAAGTTCTGTTTTTCCTTTATATACTTTTTCATATGGCAGCTGAGAATGCAGAAGCAGATATGAGAATCCAGATGTCTTCTATTAAGCAAAATGTTAAACATTGCTGCTCTTTCCACTAAATGTGCTTTGTTTTATAAAATACAATTTTCATAAAATTGAGTTGTGTTAACATGTGATGAGTTTTATTATTATTAAAGTGAATTAATACATATTTTAAAGTTGTTCTCATTTTCACTCCTAAAATGGTAAATATCACTAGCTCTACCCTCCCATAAACAAAAACTCTTTGAGGTCATCAATTTTTAGAGTGTGAAAGGGCCCTGAGATCAGAGTTTGGGAATCACTGAATCTAGTTTGTTTCCTTGCAGGCATGCTTTCCTATTTTATATGTAGTACTTCCTCCATTTAATGATAGATTTTTTTCCTTTTCCTATCTTAACATTTCTGAAATTTGGATGTCTCTTACAATATATGTTTATGGCTAATGTAACGTTTCTTCCTCTTCCCAAAATGAAATCGTTCTATGAATTAAAATCAGGATATGATTTCTCAGTGCATAATTCTACTAGGAAAACAACAAAATTCTTCTCTTTTAAAAAACAAACCAACATTTGTATCCACAGGTAGCTAGGAATGGAACTTAATAGATTTGATTTCATAATTTGTGATTTGTGATTGAGCACTGGCTCAGGAGCCTGAAGTCTTGGCTGGAAAACTGACTTTTCATGTCATCTCTCTGAGCCTCAGCTTACTCATCTGTGACGTGGGTCGCATGTTTTTCCATGTGTCTAATGTAGTGCCTTATTTAAATAAAAAAATTTCAGATCCCTCCGTTTAAGTGGTGGGTTCTAGTACACTGTTACTAAACTTTGTGCACGCGTGTGTATGTGTGTGTGAAAACTCCATAAAAATGCCTTATAATTTTCATGCAATCATAAATCCAAGAAGAAATCATAAACCAATACACATCCAGATGTGTAACAGAGATCCATCAGATAGAAGCACATCATTGTGAGAGATGAAGAAGTCTTGCTGAGTCTAAATTGTAGGCTGTATGAACCTATACCTGCCCCGGGGTCTATTTATTTGGACCTGGGTTATGCTGCCTTTATGTACTGTGATGACTCAGGTCTTACAGCACTTCCAACCATAAGAAAACCTTGATTTCAACATCATTATGATGTCATTTGGCCATCCTTTGATGAGAAAATGCTGTTGAGTGACTGACTGACAGGGCCTTGCTCTGTTGCCCAGGCTGGAGTGCAGTAGTATAATCACGGCTCACTGCAGCCTTGAACTCCTGGGCTCAAGTGATCTTCCCACCTAAGGCTCCTGAGTAGCTGGGACTGATGCAGGACATGTGAGCCCCACAGTGGGGCTTAGCCCATAAAGGTCCTTGTGTTTGCCCAGGAAAGAATTCAAGGGCAAGCTGGGGCTAGAAGAAAACAGCTTTGTTGAAGCAACAGTGTCGCAGCTCTGTGACTGCTTCTGCAGAGCAGGGGTGCTCTATGGGCAGAGAGTAGCAGCCCAGGGCAGTTTTGCAATCATATTTATACTCACTTTTAATTACATGCAGATTAAGGGGAAGTTTATACAGAAATTTTTAGGAAAGGAGTAGTAACTGGGACATTAGGTTATTACCACGGAAACAGTAGGTAACACCTAGGTGTTGCCATGGCAGTAGTAAACTGACATGACAGCTGGTGAGTGTGTTTGATGGAAAACTGCTTCTGTCCCAGCCCTGTTTTAGCCAGTCCTCAGTTTGGTCTGGTGTCCAAGCCCTGCCTCTGCAGTCAAGTCCTGCCTCCTACACTAGGACTACAGGAAAGTGCTACCACAGTTGTCTATTTTTTTTTTTTTTATTTTTTGTAGAGACAGGATCTCACTGTGTTGCCCAAGTTGGTCTTGAACTCCTGACCTCAAGCAATTCTCCCACTTTGGCCTCCCAAGGTGCTGGGATTATAGGTGTGAGCCATTGCACCTGGCCTCGTTGACTTGTTTTATTGGGTTTTGTTCTTTCTCATCAGCGTGGTAATCAAATCTAGGACTCCTTCCTGAATTTGACAGTGGACATAAATGTAAACGTGGCACCTGAAATTGCGTGGGAGTACTCAGTGACGAGGTAGTGCAAATAGAAGATCCAGACTGTATTTATTTTAATTTATTTTATAAATATTGCTGAAATGCAAACAAAAAGTTTAATGTTGGAAGAACTAACAAGAAGGGCTGCATGATAGAGCATTCGCTGTAGCAGCCTTCACATTGCAGTTTATGCAAACACCACCCTATCCATGAGCTCCATCACCCACCATAAGAGACATCCCGCAGGGCCTGGAGCTCCCTCTGTTATCTTCCTCTTCTCAAATCCCCTTTCCCCCAGTCCATATTTTATTTCGAGAGCTACAGGTATATAGAGATAAATGCTAATTATTTTTGTCTGTCTGTTGCAGACTAACACATTAACACAATGTTTGTGTCTAATCTTAAGAAGATGGTCTTAATTATTTAATCAAAATCATGTATGCAATGTATTCTCCTGAGGAAAATTTCAAACACAAGTAGGGCAAGCAGTTTTATTGTGTCCAAGCTAATTCAGTCCTTGAATTTATTGGGGGGTTAGAATATACTTTTCTTTGATTATTTTACTATAGATATTGGGTACTGCTTTTGGTCCTATGTTTGTGCTATTTTTTAAAGGCCTCCTCTTCTGAGTTAATAGTGCCTCTTGTAGACTTACATACAGATGGGTGACAGAAGAGGGAGAGAAATGGAGGTGTACAGAGGTACCTAACAACTGAATAACTAACCCTGTAATTGGACAGCAACAGAATCTGTGTCTAAGTAATAACATTGTCTAAAAGTTTTTAGAGTTTTCCTGCCCACCTCTCCCCATTTTGTTGCTTTTTTCCTTACAGTTTTTAATTTGATGATTCTGGAAATTTTGCTTCCTCTTGGTAGAGAACTTTCCTTATAGTAAGGGCATTGTAATATTAATGCATATCAATTTTTAGATGTGTATTTTTGCGACCTTGTTCTAAGAGTGACTATATAGTTCTTATTGGTGTTTATTTTTATTTTGGGGGGTGTAAATTAATAAGCAGCAAAGGTTGTCATGAATGTTTACAGACACTAAAATCCAGAAATTATTAAAATCCTCATGTTTATGTTTCTCTCAGCACATTAAGATAGCCACCAAAGTATTAAATTTGGAGTTGACTAAATTTTTGCCCTAGTAACGTTGCTCAGACTGTGTTGTTATTATTGAATCCTCATGATGTAGAAGTCCATGTTAAATTTGTTATTACTATGTTTCATATGCTTCTGTTTGCTCTGATAAGTTCTAATTTGCTTTCACATTGGAGACTATTGGATTGACAGTGGTTTAAATACAGCTTTCACTGTATATAAATAGCCTGTTTGGTATCCTCAAGGTTTCCATATCTTTACCATTGACCAGTGCACCAGTGTTTCAAAAATATCCCTCCTAGAACAAATGATGAGTTTACTGCTTCATGGTTAAAGCTATGTCATTAGACCGGACGTGGTGGCTCACGCCTGTAATCCCAGCACTTTTTGGGGCCGAGGCGGGTGGATAACCTGAGGTCAGGAGTTCAAGACCAGCCTGGCTAACATGGTGAAACCCCGTCTCTACTAAAAACACAAAAACTAGCTTATCATGGTGGTGCACACTTGTAGTAGCCTGTAGCTACTCGGGAGGCTGAGGCAGGTGAATCACTTGAACCCAGGAGGCGGAGTTTGCTGTGAGCCGAGATTGTGCCACTGCATTCCAGCCTGGGTGACAGAGCCAGACTCTGTCTCAACCAGTCAATCAGTCAGTAAAACTGTATTGTTAGAGGCTTTAAAACAAATACTTACATCCTAGTTTTTAAAAACAGAGTATTCTAAACATAATTTAAATTTTGTCTTATGTTTTTGAGTGATTTCACTCAGTTGCTGAGTGGAACTTTTAGTTCTGATTGCAGCTATTGCAGACTCTTTTCTTCTTCACTTTGCATTTTTAATTCTGTTTCTTCTCTGCTGTGACAGTGATCCTATTTGCCAGGCTGTTCTCATTGTTACTGATAATGATACAAATGTTCACCTGAGTGTATTATTGATACTGTTATAGCAATTGCAAGCAAGCTCTTCTATGCAAATACATTTGCTAAAATACTACCTTTCGTGTAATTGTATATGTGAGTATATGACAGAAACTACCTGCAGATTAACATATTACTTTGAGTATTTTCTGTCTTAAGTATAAATAATATATTTGGGCACTACACTTTCTGACAATACTTTATTGAACAAAAGAAACATTTTATTCAACAAAATTTTTCAGTAGAGCAGCCAAATGTCTAGATTCTATAGATTTTTAAAAATTGATACATAATTTTATGTATTTACGGAGAATATGTGATGTTTTGATACATGCATACCATGTGTTATGGTCAAATCTAGGTAATTAGGATATTCACACCTCAATTATTTATCTTTTTTTGTATTGGAAACATTTCAAATCCTCTCTTCTAGCTACTTTGAAATATACAATAAATTATTTGTTAACTATATAGATTCTGTGTTTTTATTACAGTAGATATGATTAAAAGGTAGGTGAAATTTGTTTACTTGCTTAGATTCATTATTTTTTAAATGATATATGTGATGATTATTTAGAAATATTGGGGTAATGATCACAGTAATGGTTATTATATTACTCTCTACTGAGTACACACTATATGTCTAGCACTGTTTAACCCCTTTATATTATTTAGTCCTTACATTACCCTGATGAAAGAGGTACTGTTTTATTTTCATTTGAGTTGGAAAGGACTAGAGGCAGAGAACAGTTAGGCAACCTGGCCAGGGCCACATAGATAACAAGGAGTGAAGTCCAAGTACAAACCTGGGCCATTTTGCTCGGAGCCGACACTTGACCGCATCTCTTTCACCGTGTAGTATTTTAAAGGACCTAAAGGAATTTGTGTTTAGAATACTGACCCACTTGTCCCCTTTTACAAAAGTGTAATTCTGTTCCTTAATCTTTAGGATTTCCCTACGTTCTCCTAACATGTAGTTTACCAACATTAGTATCTTATTTTTCAGCATAGTGCTTTTGTGTTTACAGATATGCCTCTTCATGTTCGACGCAGTAGTGACCCAGCTCTAATTGGCCTCTCCACTTCTGTCAGTGATAGTAATTTTTCCTCTGAAGAGCCTTCAAGGAAAAATCCCACACGCTGGTCAACAACAGCTGGCTTCCTCAAGCAGAACACTGCTGGGAGTCCTAAAACCTGCGACAGGAAGGTAACCACCTCTGCTTGTTTGCTGCTGTCTCTTGCCCCTCCTGACTTCTTGGTGTCCGTGATGAGTGTCGTGTCTTGGGTAAACCATTGGATTCCAGGGCATCTTCATGATGGCCTTTTGTGAGCGTGGTACCAACTTTCATATCAAAGTTCAGATAGTCTCCTATTTTATATCACACTTGGATTTTCTGATGAAAATCAGTGCCGTGTATGGTGTGCACTTATTAATATATCCATTTTTTGAATAGATTCCATTTCATATCGTTAAAAATGAAAACATTCAACACATTATGTGCCATATAAAGTCCCTTTCTTGCTGTGTCTCCTGGTCTCCTCTCCCATTTCTCCTCACAGGCAACCTCTTTATTTGCTTTTTCTATGTTCTTACAGGGATATTTGACACATTTATAAGCAAATATTTATATTGGTTCATGAGGTACATTAAGGAACTTAGAACATTATGAACTTTTAAGGATGAAAGTGGACTTCATGGTAATTTAGTTTGATTACACAGTTGATCGTTTTATCCTAAGTCTCCTTGTAAATGGAAGTGTGTTGTCTAGTCTTCATAATACTTTCTTCCCTGACCTAATTTATTTTAGTCCTTGACCTAATTTATTTAATCTGAATAAAGAAACTTTATTTTAGCTTGTTTTGTCTGTTTTAAAAAATTTGTTGGCTGGGCGTGGTGGCTCCCACCTATAATCTCAGCACTTTGGGAGTCCAAGGCAGGTGGAACTCCTGGCCAGGAGGTCAAGGCCCGCCTGGCCAACATAGCAAAACCCCATCTCCACTAAAAATACAAAAATTAGCCAGGTGTGCTGGCATGCACCTGTAATTCTAACTACTCAGGATGCTGAGGCACAATAATCGCTTGAACCCAGGAGGCGGAGGTTGCAGTGAGCCGAGATCACGCCGCTGCACTCTAGCCTGGGCGACAGAGTGAGACTCCATCTCAACAACTAAAAAAATGTTGATGCTCTTTGTCAGAACCCTTATTGTTCCTTTTTGTCACGCTTCTCACCTCTTATTTAATGTGCTTTTTGCTGAATCTGTCATTTTCACTTTTGAATCTGTAGATGCTCAATAAACTTCTGTTGAAAGAATTAATAAACATTTTTTCAGTGCAGCCAGTAAGTTAGCACAGTATATATTGAGAAATGTCAAAATAATACTAATCACATAAGATGAAAAAGATGTAGCTTGATATTTGCTTGATTTATTCTTTGCATAGGTATAAAAATACCTGTTTTAAATATTTCTTTCAACTTTGGTTTGCATTTCAGCACACTCCTCTCTGTAGTAATTCTAGTGACAAAAAAAGTACATGGAAAACATAGGTTTAAACTGAGAAGAATCTAGTTGAAAAAAAGAGTATATTTAGTTTCTGGTTTTTTTTTGAATTATGAACTTAACTGTTAGGCTTAGTCTCCTGAAATACTTTGTTTTTATAGATGTGTTGAGGAGCCATATTGGAAGATCTTCTCATTAAGATTAGCTTGTAAGTTTTGAGGACTTTATCTTGCAGTAGACTATCCAAAGAAGCAGAATCCAGTTTATCAGTGGGTCTCATGGCAGTTAATCTTTTTTTAGAACAGACCTAATTTAATTTACATGGATATTCACAAATGTGTAAACAAGTCAAGCTGGCAGTTTAAAAAAATTTTTTTAACTTGGTTTTCAACTGTTTGAAACATACGGAAGTTTCTTTTCAAGTCATTCAACATCTTGGATGTGTGAGTCCGTTTCAGTTGCAGCAAACAGAACGTGTTTTTATCATAAAACATTTTTGAACAAAAGGAATTTATCACTTAGAATGTTTTTCTCACAAAATCACTGGAAGGGTTTGCAGAGCAGGTCCTAGGTGGTCCTGGAGAACCTTTAAAACTATGCAGTAACAAACATGTGGCTTGCCTGTGGAGCTACCCTCTCTGCTTTCGTGGTGAAGGAGGTGCTGCAGTCCAGGGGCCTGAACTCCTCCCACCGGAGCCTGCCTACTACACACTATACACCACCCTGCCTCCAGGTGTACTCAACTTGCTTCTGTCACTTGTGAAGCTGGAGACCCACCCTAGAAATGCTGCCAGTCATCACAGCCCAGGAAAATTCTGTTTCAAACCACTATTAAAATCTCATGCTACTGAATCTGAGTAGGTGGAGTTCAGTTTGTATCTAGACCCTTCTCTGCAGAAGAGCCTGGGAAGTAGAACATTAGCCTTAAAACCTCTGCAGCACAGGAACACGTTAGGAGAGCACTGAGACTCTCACTGCCAATTAACCACATCCACCTAGCTGACGCAGTTTCATTTTTAAATATTTATTTATTTATTTATTTATTTAGAGATGGGGTCTTGCTTTGTCACCCAGGCTGGAGTGCAGTGGTGCAATCTCAGCTCACTACAACTTCTACCTCCCAGGTTCAAGCATTCTCCTGCCTCAGCCTCCCAAGTAGCTGGGTCTACTGGCACTAGCCATCACACCTGGCTGGTTGTTTAATTTTTTTAGAAACGGGGTCTTGCTGTGTTGCCCAGGCCAGTCTCAAACTTTTGGACTTGGGTGTTCCTCCCATCTCAGCGTCCCAAAGGCTGGAATTACAGACATGAGCCACCATGCCCAGCCTGTTGTTTTAAATGACATGCTACTATCATTGTAGAAAATTTGGCGAACTTATAGAACAAAATAAAATTATTCATAACTCCAGAACCCAGCAACAACCAGTATTTACACACACACACACACACACACACACACACACAAGTTGGAGTCATGCTATGTTCATATATTTGCATCCTGATTATTTCAACATTATTTTTCGTACAATAGGGATTTTCCCTGGTGTGAATTTTATTATCAATATTTTAATGAGTGTAAAACATTTCATTGTAGATTGTATTCTGTTTTCTCTCAATTTTGGACATCCATGCTCTTTCTCTTTTTTTCACATTTTAAGTATCAGTGTTGTGAGACATCCTTAAATATAATATTTATCTTAAAAATTGTTAAATATTCAGCAATCTTTTTACTTCCATGGAGCAGTATTTAATGTAACCAGATGCCCATACTTTCCCATAGGAAAAGCCTTGATCTACATACATATTTTTAGATGAAGTGATATTCGCATATGATATACTTAAATAGTAATGTGTAATGAATTAGTATTTTGAATTTTCGTTGGCTTTACTCTTCAAATACTAATCTTGCTGTCTGCGTTTTATGCTGTTTGTATTTTAGTCTGAGAGCTCATATATAAATATGATTAGATGGCATTTTATTTTCAGTTATAAAAAGCCTCCTCATCTTTTCAATATTCAGAAGGAAGGAAAGCATACTTGCTGCTTAGGTACAAAGCATTCAATTTATTTATTTCTGTTAAGCCCAGGAGAGCTTACCTATGGTCTCATGCTTTAAGATGTTATAAATTCTTATGAGTCTGTAGTGGTTCAGGTTTTCTGTATAAAATTGTAGAAATAAATTAGTTGTGCATTCATAGCCCTCTGATTTAGTGATCTCTAGTGGTTAAAATAAGTTAACATTCTTAAATAACTCATCTACATAGTTAAGTGGTTTATATTCTTCCAAGTTAAATGAGCAGAGTAAATTATTTTAGAATAATGTTACCAATCAATTAAAATCTTGTTTCTAAGCAGGAAAGTTGTATTCTGATATGTTAGAGCACCATCATGTCAAACTCTCTCCTTTGGTTCAAAATCACAAACGAGAGGTGGAGTCTTCCTTGTTGAAATAGTGGTCATAATCTCATTCCACTATTAGCTTAGTGGGCAGAGTGTACAGATGATGATGATACTCAGTTGCTTGAGGGCCTGAAGAGGCCGAGGGTCCCATAGGCTTCTGAATTTCTTAAAATATTTCATGTTTTCATTTGGAAGTGAGATGGAGAGGGTAAGGGAGTTGTGGCTTTTTTCAAAGTTATTTGAAATACTCACCTTTGTGTCCAGTATTTTGTGGCTGACTACCTTTTCCAACTGTTTTAGGGAACATTTTGCTCATACTTTGTGTGGAAAGTTTCTTGCTAGAGGCTGTATTTTCATTTGAGAGTTAACATGTGGTTAATATTTTATCCTGAGGAAGAGTATTTCAATCGGTGTGAATACTTAAATCATCTTGCCACCTCTTTGGTCTTCCTTATTAAGTCAGTGTTGCTGTGAATAAAGAGGCCAGCTAGTCTGTGGAGAGCATGTGATTTATCCCATCAAGAAAGATGTAATGAGCTCTTAGAAGAATCTGCTTTCCATGCAGTGCCGGGGATAAGGACTGTGGACTATTTCACTGTGCAGTTGCTACAAGCCATTGTTCCTTCCCTCTAAATAATGAGTGGCATTGTTTTTGTAAATGATATTTCCCCCTAAACAATTAACATAGGTAGACTTAGTATAAAAACCAGGTCCGGACAAGTTTCCAAAAGAGATTCTCACCTGATTAGGGAAAGGGGAAGAAAGTAATAAAGGGAACCTATTGCATTGGCATCATTAGCTTCCTTTTCTTTTGATTTTTTAAATGGAGACCTTGCAATGTTTCTTACCCCTTGGGTTTATTATTTCTGTTTGGTTTAGTTGCTTAGCATGTTTGCTATCTTTCCAATACCCCCGATACACACAACCACTTGTAAGAGATGCTTTCTTAGTTATGTCTTTGTCATCTCGCTTTTCTTTCTATTAGAAGGGTGAGATGTTTTGTCTAAGTTTAGGAAATTATTTTTATAAACATTTTTGAAGTATTTTTCAAGGTTCCCCAACCCCCTTTTTTTTCCCTGATAGTAATACAGCTTGCTCTTTGCATATGTACGGTAATGAAGGGTATATAGAAGCAGGGAAATGCCATCAGGCTTCTGTGTCCATGGGTTCTGCATCCACGGATTCAACCAAGATTAGATTGAAAATATTTGGAACAACAACAAAAAAACAATGGTTGTGTCTGTACTGAACACGTAGAAACTTTTCTTTGTCCTAATTTCCTATATAATGCAGAATAACAACTATTTACACAAAGCATTTTCTTTGTAATAGGTCATATAAGTCATCTAGAGATCATTTAAACTATATGGGAGGATGTGCATGGGTTATGTGCAGTAGTCCACCATTTTATGTAAGAGACTTCAGCATCTATGGATTTTGGTATCTGCAAGGGGTTCTGGAACCAGTCCCCCATGGATACTGAGGGATGATTGTAATTTGAAATTTTGAAGATGAGTAGTAATGACATTTTGATGTATTAACTTCAGGACTTCTGTGGAGCATGGCTCTATACAGATGTTGGCTATTCTTATTACCAGGGGGAACCATCCAAGTATAGTTTAATTTCCTGCAATGTTTCCAATTTCTGCTGTATTGAGAGAATTTTCCTATGCCTCATAAATATGGATAGTTTACATAATGTTATATTATGTGTTGAGTTCTTATAGTTAATGTTTAACTTTATTTGATGGTTTTTTCTGTTGTATGACATTTATATTTTTGCCAATTTTGTTTGCTTTTATAAGTAACCTTTAGAAGTACCCTTCAGAGAATGTCCTTATTTATCAATTTATGTTGGCATCTCTGATTATTTTCTTTGACTAGATTCCTCCAGTAGACTTATTTGGTAAGGAGATGAACATTTTTAAAGCTATTAGTAATTGTTTCACATAAATTCTAGGCTAATAAAGTATGAAGTAGTTAGGATGTATAAAATGCTCTGAGAAGTCCTAGATAAATAGGATAGGAGTGAGGCTTGAGGGTGGTGGTGAAGGAAACAAGCAGCTGGTACTATTCCTGAGTTCCAGAACTTACTGTCTTACTAGATAGCTTAAAGGTTCTACATGGGTGTGCATCAGAATTACCTGTAGACTTCCAAGAGCTGAAACACAGGCATTACTCACACCAACAGATTCCTTTACCCACTCCAGAAAATTTGTGTGCTTCCTTAAAGCTCTTCTGTGGTTTTCAGGGCTCGGTCTTTTTTTTTTTTTTCCCGCAGGACCTCGGGTCTAGCTGAAAACAAAGTATGGTTACATTTTAAGGGAGAGCAAATAGGAATATAGTCATGCCTTGCTTAATGACAGAGATACATCCTGAGAATTGCATTGTTAGGCGATTTCATCCTTGTGTGAACATCATAGAGTGCACTTACACAAACCTAGATGGTGTAGCCTACAACACACCTAGGTTACATGGTATATCCTGTTCTTCTAGGCTGGAAACCTATATAGCATGTAGCTATACTGAATACACAGCTGGGACACAATGCATTCATATTTAGATATTTGTGTATCCAACATATCTAAACATAGAAGAAGTATAGTAAAAATACAGGATTTTAATCTTATGTGATCACCATTATATATGTGGTCCATTGACGTTGTTATGGGGTGCATGACTGTATAATGTTTTTTTTGAGATATCTTTTGTTTAAGCGAATGCAGACTAGAATCTAGTACATTTGCTGTATTTGGGTTTGTGACATTTCACTTCCTCTCATACTTAGATTGCACAAATTTATCATTTTCAAATGAAAAATTAATTTTGAGTCTTTTAAAAGTCCTACAACTCATTTAATATTGGATGTTGACTATCAATACAAAAATATAACTGAAAATATCTTTCTAGATAGAAGCCTTAATGAAAACAATGTTTCTGTCTACTGTTTCTGTGTGTTCCTTCATTCCTTTCAAAACCCCTTTGTTTCTTTTCCTTCCCTTCCTTTTCCCCTTCCCCTCCCCTCCCCTCCCCTCCCCTTCCCCTTCCCCTTCCCATTCCCATTCCTTTCCCTTTCCCCTTCCCTTTCCCCTCCCCTTTCTTGTTCTGTTCCCCTTCCTCTTCCCCCTTCCCCTTCCTCTTCCCTTTCCCTTCCTTTCCCCTTCCCCTTCCCCTTTTCTTTCCCTTCCCCTTTCCTTCCCCTTCTCTTTCCTTTCCCTTTTCCTTCCTCCCCTTCCCCTTTCCCTTCCCCTTCTCTTTCCCTTTTCCTTTCCTTTTCTTCCCCTTCACTTTCCCATTCCTTTCCTCTTCCCTTCCCTTTCCCTCCCCTTCCCCTCCCCCTTCCCTTTCCTCCCCTTCCCCTCCTCGTTCCCTTTCCTACCCTTCCCCTCCCCATTCTCTTTCCTCCCCTTCCCCTTCCCTGCTTCTCCCTTCCCCCCTTCTCTTCCCTCTCCCCTTCCCTCCCATTCCCTCCCCTCTCCCCTCCTCTCCCCCTTTCTCCTCCCTTTCCCTTCCCCTTCTCTTTCCTCTTCCCTTTCCGTTTTCCTTTTCCTTTTCTTTTGCCACTGTCTGGCTCTGCTTTATTGCCCAGGCTGGAGTTCAGTGCATGGCTTACTGCAGTTTCAACTTTATGGGTTCAAGTGATCCTCCCATCTCAGCCCATGAAGTAGCTTGGACTACAAGCATGGGCCACCCCACCCAGCTATTTTTTTTTTAAGAGATGGGGTCTCACTATGTTGCCCAGGCTGATCTTGAACTCCTGGGCTCAAGTGATCCTCCCATCTTGGCCTCCCAATGTGTTTGGATTACAGGCCTGAGCCACTGCGCCTGCACCAGTTTGACTTCTTGATTTCTGCTTCTCCTCATTCATTCTTTCTAATTTACAAGGCCAACTGTCATATTAGTAAATTTGAAAACACTATTTTATTTCTAAATTACGTTTTTAAAAGTTTATTTTATTTTTTTCCCTTTATGTTCTGTTGGATTTGAAGAAGATTATTTTAAACCACAAAATACACTTGACCAGTTGGCTGCTGAGAAGAAGTTGTTTATCGTTTGGTTATTTGTGAGCCAAGCATAGCTTCCAGCATTATGGTAACCATCCAAAAGCTTAAAGGATGAGCTGAGATAGTTCTTTAGAATCACATGTCCTCTGTGACAGACCTGTAGCTCTCTTTAATTTTCTGCGGCATTAGTTTCAAGGGAGATCCAGCTGAGAACAGACTTTAAACTATTCTGCTGCAACATTTTGTATTTCCTGTTAGAGGTCTCTATAACTATAAATTTTACCCTTCTATTTTGCATATTAAAATATCTTATTTGAATGCAGCACATTTTCGAACTTTCAGTCAGTATGGTTATAATCATTTCTACAATAGGCTGGGCTCACTGAGTTATTGATAACCTAGTCTCATCTTTTTCTATGCTACATTAGGAATACAGTCTGCCTTCATATGCTTTAAATATTTTGTGTTCAAAGTGATAAAATCCTAAGGTGTTATTGATAAAATTTTGGAGCTTGGATGCGATATTTTTAGAGTTCACAAACCACTGCAGGAGTATAAATCCTGAATAAAGTCAGAAGCCTTCTTGTGTGCCCTTAAAGTTACATACATCACAGAGGGAAATGAATATGTTATACCTGATTGTCTTGACTTAGGGGAGAGAACCAGGAAGTATCATTGATTAAATTATATAGAACAAAATTTTGCGTAGTCTATATACATTGAAAAAATATTTTAATCTCATTTGATCTCATTTCATCTTTTTATTTATTTATTTATTTTTCTTGAGATGGAGTCTCACTCTGTCGCCCAGGCTGGAATGCAGTGGTGTGATCTCAGCTCACTGCAACCTCTGCCTCCTGGGTTCAAGCGAAACTCCTGCCTCAGCCCCCCCAGTAGCTGGGATTACAGGCGCCCACTACCACACCCGGCTAATTTTTTGTATTTTTAGTAGAGCCAGGGTTTCACCGTGTTGGCCAGGCTGGTCTCGAACTCCTGACTTCAGGTGATCCACCCGCCTCGGCCTCCCAAAGTGCTGGGATTACAGGCATCAGCCACCATGCCTGGCTTCATCTTTTTAAGCTAGTTTCTATTTTTAATTTTTTATAATTCAGCTTATAAGCCTACCTGTTTTGAGTTGTGAAGTTAGATCTAGTCCCTTCAGGTCCTGTTATTAACAAGAAGAGTATCAGATGGATTGCTGCAACTGGAGCACCTGTTTGCATTCTAAGGACTTTAAACATCCTTTCTTTTAATTTTGCATATATTCCTGCTCCTGTTATGATCTGGGCTGCCTTTGGAGAAATGTGTTCCAGTCAGTGTTTCTCGAAATTTGGTAGTAGAAGTGGTTTCCATCTATTTTACCTATAAGCCAAATCTGTTTTCTTGGTTTTAATATTTTCACTAATGATAACAAAGTTGTTTTTGAATACTTGCTATTCCTAGGCATTATGCCATGCTTGGTATGTTACATGTTATATATCATTTAATTATACCTATACCAGAAGTGTAGGTACTGTTGCTGTACCCATTTTATTTTTATTTTTATTTTTATTTTTTTGAGACGAGTCTGGCTGTGTCGCCCAGGCCGGAGTGCAGTGGTGTGATCTTGGCTCACTGCAAGCTCTGCCTCCCAGGTTCATGCCATTCTCCTGCCTCAGCCTCCCGAGTAGCTGGGACTACAGGTGCCTGCCACCACACCCGGCTAATTTTTTGTATTTTTAGTAGAGACGGGGTTTCACCGTGTTAGTCAGGATGGTCTCGATCTCCTGACCTCGTTATCCACCCGCCTCGGCCTCCCAAAGTGCTGGGATTACAGGTGTGAGCCCCCGCGCCCGGCCTTGTACCTATTTTATTGGTGAGCAAGTAGAGCCCTGGAGAGTTTAAATAGCTCACCTAATAGTTCAACCAGCTGTTAAATGTTACACCTAATAGTTCAACCAGCTGTTAAATGATAAAGTTGTGATATAAATGTGCTGAATTCTCTTGGCTGGGTACTTGCACTTTTGTATTTAATTTTTATTGGGGCATCTTGTTGCAATATCTGTTTTATTTCGACTTTAGTTAGATTGTGTTTTTTTGGGGGGAAGGGGAGAGTAAGGTTTCAATAGACGTTACTCAAATTCCCTGAATCACATTTTCTAAAATTGTAGTTTTTAGCCATGAATGGAGGACAGAAATAGTTTCCTTGAATATTAATATCCTTTTTAGAGAACATGCTTTTTCTGCTAATGGGGTGGTAGAGAGGAACTCAGTTCTTTAGAAGTTTGTGCCATCCATTTCTTTACTCTAAATGCTTCCCATGTGGCAATGTAATTCTCCACAAAAGTCATTACTTATGAGAAACAATATGTAGGATAAGATTATGATAAATGAAAATAAGCACTTTCTACATTAAGATAAAAAGTATCTGTGGAGACAGTGTACCTGAGGAGGCACTTTCACAATTAAGGGGAAAGCTAAGGTAGACTGTACCTAGGGACTTTCACAGAAATTACCCAATTCTTCTACGCATCCATCCAGTCCATTGGAGTTTGGATTGTGGGCTGAAAAATGGAAGAAAGTGGTAATTATCTTACATTGTCAGACTAGTTATATGTGATTTAAATCTCTTCATTTTCAAATTGTAGTAATTTATTTAAATATATATGTATATATACATTCGTTTTTAAATTCAGACGAAAAATATTTAGATAAATATAAAATATTTATGATGCACATCTAAATAATGTATAAGACTGTAGGTATTTTGGAATTAGGCAACCACTATAAGTATTTTACTATCTCTCCCTTTCTGTCTAGCATCTGTTCCCTTCTTTTTGTATTGTGCATAGTATTCTTGATGCAAAATGCTATTGTTACTTATAATTTTAGTTTTGGAGCATACATATTTAGAGTGGAGCATTTTTGAAAGAAAATGAGGGCCGGGTGTGGTGGCTCACGCCTGTAATCCCAGCACTTTGGGAGGCCGAGGCGGGCGGATCACGAGGTCAGGAGGTTGAGACCATCCTGGCTAACACGGTGAAACCCCGCCTCTACTAAAAATACAAAAAAAAAAATTAGCTGGGCATGGTGGTGGGCGCCTGTAGTCCCAGCTGTGCTGGAGGCTGAGGCTGGAGGATGGCGTGAACCCGGGATGCGGTGCTTGCAGTGAGCCGAGATCACGCCACTGCACTCCAGCCTGGGCCACAGAGCGAGACTCCGTCTCAAAAAAAAAAGAAAGAAAATGAAATGTTGTTGCGTATTTCTTGCCTTCAAAGTTAAGCACTTTCTAAAATGTTTTTAAATTGTTTCAGTATAAATTTGTTTTTCAGAGTTAAGCAGCTTTTAGTCAAATGTTGCTCCTCATGTTTAGTGTAGTGTAAGAAAGTGAGTCAAGATCTTCAAGATTTAATTGAACCCGAAATATTTATTTATTTATTCTTTCACACACTCACCCTTCTTGTTTTAAGGAGTATAGGTCAAAAATGGTGGTCCCGTGTTCTCCATTCCTGCCCACTGCTGATAGTGGAATGCTGGTGGCTCTAGGGGAATTCAGGGGCCATGTTGGCCCTTATGAAATACTGTGCAGGAAAGCAAGTGGAGGCTGTGGTTCATGCGGCTTTCCTTTAGGCTCTGTCCTTCAGTTCCTCAGAGTCTAAGAGTGGACAACATTTTTGTAATTTTTTATAAACGTTAAACTTCCCTCATCTATTTCCTCCTCACCTCTTTCTGCATGTTTTCCCAGGATAAAGAAGATAATCTAAGTTATACCTGGAAAGAGATTTTCTCTTGTTTTGAGAGAGGATCTCTCTCTGTTGCCCAGACTGGATTGCAGTGGTCCAGCTGTTGCTCACTACAGTCTCAAGCTCCTGGAATTAATCAGATCTTTGTTTTGTAAAATAATTTGAGGCTGGGCACAGTGGCTCACACCTGTAATCTCAGCACTTTGGGAGGCCAAGATGGGAGGATTTCTCGAGGCCAGGAGCTTGAGACCAGCCTGAGCAACATAGTAAGACTCAGTCTCTACAAAAAATTAAAAAATTAGCCATGTGTGGTGATGTGTGCCTATAGTCTCAGCTATTCGGAAGGCTGAGGTGGGAGGATCACTTGAGCTGGGGAGGTTGAGGCTTCAGTGAGCTATGATTGTGCTTCTGCACTCCAGCCTGGGTGACAGAGTGAGACCCTGTCTCCCCAAAAAATAAATAAAAAATTAAAACAAAATTAAAAAATTATTTTAAGAATGAAATGAGACAATTTTAAAGCCAACATTTTACGTATGATTATTCGTAACACTGTATAGTATTTCTTAGTGAACCAACCATCTCTATGAAAATATAATTTGTGATCAAATATATCATCATTTTGAATTCAAGAACTACCTTCCCATGTGATGGGATGCTTGTGTAGCAGTGACTAGATATCAGAAATTTTTGTCATTAGCCACCTAAACTATGGTTCCATGTTAGATTAAGAATGAGAAGTTGGAAATTTTATTACTCAGGATTGAGTAGAGGCTAGGCTGGTGGTGCATACCTATAATTCCATACTTTGGGAGGCTTAGGCAGGAGGATCTTTTGAACCCAGGAGTTTAAGACCAGCCTCGGCAATATAGTGAGACTTTGTCTCTCCAAAAAGTTAAAAAATTAGCTGAGTGTGTTGGCTTGCACCCGTAGTCTTAGGTACTTGGGAGTCTGAGATGGGAGGATCGCTTGAGCCCGGGAGGTGGAGGTTGCAGTGAGCCAAGATTGTGCCATTGCTCTCCAACCTGGATGACAGAGTGAGACCCTGTCTCAAAAAAAGAAAAAGGAAATTGAGTGAGTAGAATTTGGGCATTGAGGTGGGTAGGTGTAACCATGAGAATGGGTTGTCATCCTCATCTCCACAATTTATTTGTTATCACTTCTCCAGATCCCTGTTTCTTCTTTCAGTCAGTAAGAGGTTAACCTAGCTGTTGTCTAGCTTCTTCCTTCCAGCTTTAAAATGCTGTATCCAAAATTTTTCATGGCTTCCTTCTCTGTCAAAGTGGATTAGGAACAGCTGAGAAAATTGGTTCAAACGAGCATCCTGGATGTGGTTGAGTTTTGCTGGTCTTTCTCTTCTCCTTGGATTCCCTGGTTGGCTCTCTGGACAGATCCAGTGGCTTCAGAGAAATCCGCGCCCGTTTTAGTTTGATCAGACCTGCATCTCCAGGAGAGATTTTTGACCAATCCTTTTTCATATTGGATCCCTTTATGTTCATAGCCTGATACAGATCCATACTCCTGTGATTATTTTTCTTGTTTGATAAGACCGTTAACAAGATACTGGCCAGTTACAGGTTATGACTTAAAACTAAAATGTCATGCTTCTGATTTTGTCAGTGTATCAACTTGAAGGGTTTGCTGCCATGACAGGAATTGTATTTGGAAACTTAGTTGTAATTTTCAAATTCTTTCTAATATAGAAATTCTTCTATATTAGAATTCCACTGTGAAAATTTTTTGGCATATTCAGAATTCTTGAGTTCCTCACCAAATTAAATGAATTTTATTATCTAGAAGATACTGAGTATGTATCAGAATGACTAGAAAAGATATTATCAAATGTGAAGAATGATATAGTTCATTTTTCAGGTCAGAATGAGTTTTAAGAACTATGGATAATACCTTTAACATTTCAAAGGAAAAATCCTAGTAAAAATTTGATATATATGTTAGGATATTTTATTTTGTATATTGTTAATTTGTTGGATAGTTAATTTGCTTGGAAAAATTATTTTCAAATTTTTTTACTTACTCCTGTTCAAAACTTTAACTCAGTTGAAAAAGAAAATTGGCCAGGCACGGTGGCTCACGCCTGTAATCCTAGCACTTTGGGAGGCCGAGGTGAGCGGATCGCCTGAGGTCAGGAGTTCAAGACCAGTCTGCCGAACATGGTGAAACCCTGTCTCTACTAAAAATACAAAAAATTAGCCAGGCATGATGGTGGGTGCCTGTAATCCCAGCTACTCGGGAGGCTGAGGCAGGAGAATCGTTTGAACCAGGGAGACGGAGGTTGTGGTGAGCCGAGATTGAGCCACTGCACTCCAGCCTGGGCCACAAGAGCAAAACTTCGTCTCAGAAAAAAAAGAAAATTGACATTTAAAAATGAAATATTACTTAAGTAATTTGAGCTAAAGAGGTGCTGCAATACGTCTTTTGGCATTCAAAATCTCTGGATTCTGACCAGTGTTTCTGGTTGCAGACTCCACCATAGTTTAGCAAACTATTAATTATCACTAATGATCCCGATGTGGTTGTTTTGACAAAAATGTATGGATGTTTGAGTTTCCTCTTTGTCTTGCCATAGTTCTGTTATAAAAACTTTATAAACACATACTCTTTCATTTGTCTTTTCCATACCTCTCATTAATAGTTATTAAGAATGTGGGGGAAACCTGTTAGCAAAAAGGAAAAGTAAGATGTATACATGTACCAGTGCTGATTATGTGCTGGATACTGGCTTAGGAATTACAGATAATATAGGAACAGATTACTTGGCCTCAGTTCTACAACATTAGGCATTACACATAGGAAGTTGGTTTGCATGGATTTCAAATATTGCTTTTTAGTTGGTTCATTATACTTAGGAATAGACATGCACCTAGGGTAAATGATAATGAATACTGTGTTTGGAATAAAATTCTGGGTTTCCTTATTTAAAAAAAAGTCTTAATAGGCATTTAGTTTATTATTCCAATAGGAACTGCCAAAATTTTCTGCCTTCATTTACAAGTTGGTGATTAAGCCTGCGTTTTGTGTGTGTGAGTCATTTTATTTCACCCTTATCTGTCTCTTTTTTCTGTTTTTATTTATTTTTTAGAAGATGAATAAATAAATTGTTGCCGAGGCTCCAGCCTCGGCAACAGAGCGAGACTGTCTCAAAAAAAATCATTCTAAGCCATCATTATTAATTTTACTTCAGTCTCCTAATTTCAGATTAGATATCCTGAAAATAGTTCCCTTTGTTTTTTGTGTATCATTTCCTGGAGAAATAATTAAGCAGAACATTGAATTCTCTTTTACCATAATTGCAGAGCTGAAAAATGTGGGAAATGTAAAATCTTAACATCACACGGGAATATTTGAAACCATATGATGCATAGAGGTTCTGAATGAAATGTATATGCATTGAGTATTTTGTATTTCAAAATATGCTATGATTTCTCATAATTCTTAAAAAAAATGAGATTTTTGCACTGAAACGAGGTGGAAACATAGTTGGGTTTCCTGTGCCAACACAGAAATGTTTATGACTTCTATAATGCTTATGAAACCCCAGTTCTGACTTCTGCAACAGAGGGATATAGTCTTGCCAAGAAATCTGACCATCAGCTAAATAGCTGTTTCTGGGAGATAAAGCTTGGAGTTGCAGCTTAGTATGCCGGGAATGAGCCTCTATCTCAAGGCATTGGGTGGGCTCTATATAGTTTTCCTGAATTGTAATAAGCTTGGGGAGGGCTAAGGTGGGAGAAGACACTTACTTTCCTTACCCTGAAAGAGATTTTCTCCATAGCCAGGATACCGCTACCAGGGAGCAGCAAATTAATATGCATTTCCCAGCCGGAGTGGCTTTTTGACACCTGATGCTGTGGCAGTACATTTAGATGATAAGGAAGATCCCTGATCACAGCAGGAACATCTGTTTTTCCCTGGCAAGAAGGAAAATTTCCCACCTCGCACAAAGCTGAGCAGCTATTTGGGGCAGCCTCATAAGTGGAGGATTAAAGTTATAATTTAAAAACGGGAGAGTAATTTCTTATGGCATTTTTTTTTGTATAATCTTTTAAATAAAGTCATAACTCTAACAAATTAATTTATGCCATTAGTAAGTTTTATAATCATTAGAATTATGTATATTTGATTTAAAATTTTTGATTTATAGTTATAATTTGATTCATAAGTGAGCATATATAGTCTTGAATAGATTGGTTACGAGTGCCATATTTTAACAATTATTTATGCTAAAGCAAATATTTTCAAATTGAAAATAGAGTGCATGATGTATATTTCAGTGGACAGTGGTATCTAGTATAAATTGTGTTGTAGAAAATATTTAATACATTGTATGCTGCGATGTTTATGGATATCTTTCCATCATAAATACAGATACACAGCTTTACAGGCCTACAGTCCTTGTATGCACTTGATACACATTGTATGCAGTAGACGGTGAACTAGATTTGTGGCCAGACTTCAGGACTGGGAGGAAGAAACATGACTGAAACGCTAGTAGGACCTGCATGATGCTGTCAAAAATATAACAAATATGTTGATAGGAATTAATAATGTATTTTAAAAATTCTTCAACTGATTGATAATAATTCAAGATTGCTGTAAATAACTGCACTTTTCATACATTATACATAAGTCAATATATGGATTCATCATTGATTTTACATGAATTAGGAAAATTCCTTTGTTATGAGAGTGAACGTTAGTTTTAGTTTTATTATCCATGAACTCAAAGTTGATTCCACAAATATAAAATTGTAAAATTCTTCAAGTGCAGTGGAAAAGTGCAGACCTTGCCATCTTCAGCCATTCTTTCTCTTAGTCTGATTATTGTATGTTGCTGTGCTGCAGGTACTGCATGTCATAATTGACTTACATGGAGAAACAGTGTACTGTTTTTTCTATGCATTTGGAAATAATCACATTTGCCACAGACATCATATGCTGTAGGTGTGACAGGAAGTTGAAATAGGCATATAACAGTGGTATACATCTTTTAGTATAAATCTAAAAATACAGTGATTACATTTCACTGAAAATACATTTTACTAAAGTTTATCTTAATGCCTCTTTGAAGCATTCCCTAAACAATTTTTAAAACAACTTATCAAAATGTTCTTTTAAAATTCCAGGATTTTGAAACCATGTGAAATAGGGAACATAAAAAATATTCATGAAAAAGTCATCCACATTGGTGTAAGCCACTGTGCTGAGTGCTTGGGTTTAAAGGTGAATGATGATCTGCCCAGGCTTCCCTGTAAGATTAGAAATAGCAATTTTTAAAATTAGCTAAATTATAAGTTAGAACCATAGTTAAAGTAAAATTAGAACAGAGTGGTAACAAAAAGCATGGCATGATTAGTTCTATTGAGAATCAGGGAATGCTTCTTAGAAAATAGCGTTTGAACTGGGCTTTGAAGAATGTTCAGTATTTCTATAGAAGAAATGATGTTGGAAGTACAGGTCTCAAAAAAAGCAAGAATGAAGGTGAAGAAGTTTGTGTGGTACAGTAAGCACCATTGTCTGAAATTCCCTCTGGTCTACCTATAGTGTTTGCTGGAGGTTTGATGTGATCCAACATATGTTTTAGGAAACTCCTGTGCCAGAAAGTGGTGCAGAACATTGTTAGAGAGGATATGGCCAGAGCCTGTGTCCAGTTAGAAGGCCACTGTTAAAATTTCAGGTAAGAGACAAGTTGATCCTGAACTAGGTTTATGGCCGAGGACCAAAATCAGCAAAAATGTTGTATCAATAAGACTTAGAAGCTGTGGAGATCAAAGAGGGAGGAAAGAGAGTAAAGCTAATTCTAAATGTTTTAGGGAATGGTGCCTGAGTCAAAATAGGGAGCTCAGTTTCGAGGTATCTTTGGGACCTCTTGTTGGAAACTGAGATCATGAATTCAGGAAACAGTTTCGTTTTCGTGACTTGTGCTTAAAAGTTGTCAGGGTAGGACGTGGTGAAATTGTGCACTTTTTGAGCTTGTCCAGAGAGATAATAATCAGCAGTCCATAGCGCCAACAAGACCATTTACGGGAAGAGGAAAAATGGCATAGATTCAGGAAGGAGCAGAGGGGTGGGTACCAGTAGCATACTGGACTCCAGACACCAAAAGGTGAGAGTTGTGTGGAGCCTGAGCTCTTCATTTCAAAAGTAGATCTTTTTCTTTTCAAGTGATATTTTGTCACTATGCAAATATCCAGTTATCTATCAACTCTTAACATAATAGTTTTAGTATGATTATCTTTGCCTGAATTATTTCATTAGGAGTTGAAAATGGTCATATTTCTAATTCTGTTATTAGTTCTATTTCCATTATTTGGCATTCTTCTGAAAAGACAGGTTTCCCCTCATGAACTGGTACTGTTGATTTCTCTGAAATACAGTTCCTACTGAAAAGAGAGGGTAGATTTTTAAAAATACTTTTGGGTTAATTATTCATTCTCTAAGTAAGCAGTTGGTGTAATAATCACCTCAAATGGTGGGAAATGAGTATGAAAGCCTGGTCCCTAGTCAATGATAGCCTCAATTTTTATTTTTGACATAAAAGTTATACTTGCATTTCAGTGTACTTTAATTCCTCCTTCTCTTTGTCGACACATAAGGTTCTGTCACTAATAAATAAAGTTCTGTCATTAACAAGTCTACCCTTTATGACTTATCTGAATTTCTTATTAGTATAAGAAAGTCTTATCAGAATAAGCTTATCAATGTATCTATGGACTATCATATGAAACGGTATTTCCTTTCCTTTTTTCTGAAGCTTAAGTTTTAAGGAGAGACTCTTAGTATCTTGAGATACGGTGAACCTTAGTTTCTAGTTTGCTTCCTTAGTTAGTTTTTGTCCATGTCTTCTCCTTACCATTTCTATTAAAAAAAAAAAAAAAACTTGCTGCTAAAGTTTCATCTTGCTACTGAGTTTTTAAAGATTTTGTTTCTTGCAGGTTAATTCTTAAAGTTTATGAAGTTTCATGTCAAAGTTTATGTTGGTAAATGTTTATCAATTTCCTTTTGTTTGAACATATGTCCCAATATTTACATAAACCCAATACTATCAATTCATTTTTAAGTTTTATTCCCTGATGGAACTCATGAAGGAAGAGCAAATAGTATCCTGATCTATAACTAAGTTTTATACATTGCAAACCTATTATATTGCACTTTTTTGTTTCTGTGTTTGTATTGGGTGTTCATATAGTTTAGCACATGAAGAGTAAGTATCAATCACACATGTAATACTTATAGCCAGATTACTCTTAACAGTGTTACTAAGGATAATATGCCAGTACTTCTTCTAACTTGGTGTACTGAGTTAAGTGGATCCAACTGAAGGTAATATTTTACTTTGTTCTTATAGGAGATGATTTAGATTTCGTCTTTGAACTAAAAAGTTTGACTCCCCTAGTTTATCCTAGCTTTCTCATTTCTTTTCAGAACATTGAAATGAGGTTTTACAGCTCATAAGCCAAAGGAAGTTATTATAATTTTTTATCTGAAAGAAATATCACGTAGCATTTGGTTGTTCTGGGGAGTATTAAAAACTTAGTTGATAAATATTTATGTAAAGACATCGCTTGTTATATCCATGTCACAGTGAACAATTACGTATCTGTTATGTAACAAATAATAGTGATAGGCCAGTTTTTTCCCCTGATGTTTGAGTTAATGCTGACTGCTATCTTGTGAAGTAGGTAATAGAAACAGCCTGAATAATCTAAATCTCTTATCCAAAAATCACAAAACCATAAGGCTTTGAAGAAAGGGCAAATTTATTAATCTTCCTTATTTTTAGCATTTCTGATGAATTAAGATGGTACCTCATAATTTAATTATGAGACTGGAAAGAAGGGAAAATGCCACAGTTGAGAGAGAGTGAAAGTCTTGTATAGAAGTACTTTTCACTTTTTGGTGTACGTACTTGGTTTAGGTGATTGATTTGGGTAGGAGTGCAAAGTGTAGTGTTTTGTCTGTTGTGTGCCGTGTGTGTGCCACCCTTCCTGCTGTAATTATTAGACTTGCCTGTCCTCGGCACATGGTTATAATTCCGAGGTCTAATCTGGGTGGAATGTCCTCAATCAGCTATTTTGTATAGGATTGGAAAGATGTTTTAAATATGTAGAATCATTTTTCTGCTACTTTTGAAAAACCAGGTGCATTACTGATTTGCAAGGTCTGGTTTTTTACAAGACACCTTTTTGTTTCTTTTTGAATAGAAAGATGAAAACTACAGAAGCCTCCCGCGGGATACTAGTAACTGGTCTAACCAATTTCAGAGAGACAATGCTCGCTCGTCTCTGAGTGCCAGTCACCCAATGGTGGGCAAGTGGCTGGAGAAACAAGAACAGGTAACATGACAAATCCTTATATGTGCGTCATTGCTGTAACATCCTGTCCCATACCCCAAAGATGTTTCTCCCATCTCAATCACTGGTGATGATTAAAAGTTAATTATTCTAACAAACTTTAGTTAAGTACCAATCTCTATGTCAGAGTTTATCTAACATAAATGCAGGATATTTCTGGCTGGTCTCTGATCACAGATTTATTGTGAGCAGTTATGAATATTTGCAGTACATTCTGAAGGTTCAGGGCTTTAGAGTTTGTAATGCTACAGAGGCACAGATGTTTGGCAGTGAATCATGCTGTTAGTGAGTAGACTTTCAAGACTCTTCTCTTCTTTAATAGGCAGTAAGTCCAAGGATCTGAAGACGCAAATTAAAACTTTCTGTTGTACCTAACTTCACTGTATGAGAGAAATATATCCTATGGTGTTGTTTTAGAATTTAGATTACGGTATTTTGTCATGTTTGGGCACTTATCCCTTCATAAATTTCAAGGACCTATTTTAGGTTTATCAGTCTTTAGAGTTATCTGTTTCACTGTGCAGTGCAGCCACCTACAATTCGTGAAATCAGAATTGTTTACCACTCAGAAATAATTGTTTTCTGCCTTGGGAAGAATGACTATTTACAAAGTTGTTGCATCACTTAGCAAAGTCCTCCTTTCATATGGAAGACTCAGAATGTATCTGATGAGTTACTTTTTTTTTTCCACTTTTTTTTTATACTTTAAGTTTTAGGGTACATGTGCACAATGTGCAGATTTGTTACATATGTATACATGTGCCATGTTGGTGTGCTGCACCCATTAACTCGTCATTTAGCGTTAGGTATATCTCCTAATGCTTTCCCTCCCCCCTCCCCCCACCTCCAATGAGTTAATTATTTCAGTGTTTTTTTTTTAATGCTTCAGTTGTTTTTATTGACTCACAATGGGTTTTTTGTAGTAGGGAATCCCAGTGTTTTATAATTTTAATTGTGCTTTCTTCCAGCTTTATTGAAGTATAATTGACAGATAAAAATAGTATATATTTAAAGGGTACAGTATGAGGTTTTTATATATGTATATATTAATACAATGATTACCACAATCAAGATAATTTATCTGCCGGGTGCGGTGGCCCACTCCTGTAATCCCAGCACTTTGGGAGGCTGAGGTGGGTGGATCACGAGGTCAGGAGATCGAGACCATCCTGGCTAACATGGTGAAACCCTGTCTCAACTAAAAATACAAAAAATAGCCGGGCGTGGTGGCGGGCACCTGTAGTTCCAGCTACTGGGGAGGCTGAGGCAGGAGAATGGCGTGAACCCGGGAGGCAGAGCTTGCAGTGAGCCGAGATCACGCCACTGCACTCTAGCCTGGGCGACAGAGTGAGACTCTCTCTCAAAAAAAAAAAAAAAAAAGATAATTTATCCATCACATTACATAGATATAATTTTGTGTGTATGTGTGGTGAAAACACTTGAGATCTATTCTGTTGGCAAATTTTTTAAAATTTAATTTAATTTAATTTTTTTGAGATAAGGTCTTGCTCTGTCACCCAGGCTGGAGTGCAGTGGTGCAACCATAGCTCACTGCAGCCTCGAACTTCTAGGCTCAAGTGTTCTCTTACCTCATCCTCCCTGGTAGCTAGGACTATACATGTACACCACCATGCCCAGCTAATTAAAAAAAAATGTTTTATTTTGTGGAGACGGTCTCCCTTTGCTATCCAGGCTAGTCTTGAACTCCTGGCCTCAAGCAATCCTACTGTCTTGGCCTCCCAAAGTGTCATGGTTATAGGCATGAGCCACTGTGCCTAGCTTCTTAGCAAATTTCAAGTATAAAATATGTTTATTAGACTCACCTAATGCTATACGTTAGGTCTCCAGAGTTCATTCATCTTACAATTGAAAGTTTTTACCCTATGGCCAATATTTTTCCTTTTTCCACACCCAACTCCCTGTGGTAACTGCCATCGTACTCTGTTAGCATGAGTTCATTTTTTTTTTTTTCCAAGATTCCACTTATAAGTAAAATCGTACAGATTTTGTCTTTCTGTGTTTGGCTTATTTCTTTTAGCATAATGCCCTTTAGGTTCATCCATGTTGTCACAAATGTCAGAATGTCCTTTTTTATTAAAGGCTGAATAATATTCCATTTTATACATTTATGTGTACACACACACACACACACACACACACACACGCAGTGTATATCACATTTTCTTTATCCATTCATCGGTTGCAGGTCACTTAGGTTGTTTCCATATCTTGGCTATTGTGAATTTATGCTTCTGTGTACATGGAATTGCAAATATGTCTTTGATATAGTGATTTTATTTATCATGGATATATATGCAGAAGCAGAATTGCTGGATCATATGGTAGTTCTATTTTTTTAAGTTTTTGAGGAGACTTCTTACTGTTTCATAGAGGCTGTCCTAATTTACATTACCACCAGCAGTATACCAGGGTTTCCTTCTCTTCGCATCCTTGTTATCACTTTCATTTTGACTTTTTTTTCTTTCTTTCTTTTGAGACAGAGTCTTGCTGTGTCGCTCAAGCTGGAGTGCAGTGGTGCGATCTCGGTTCACCACAACCTCTGCCTCCTGGGTTCAAGCAATTCCCCTGCCTCAGCCTCCTGGGTAGCTGGGATTACAGGTGCCCACCACCACGCCCAGCTAATTTTTTTTTGTATTTTTAGTAGAGACGGGGTTTCATCATGTTGGTCAAGGTGGTCTTGATCTATTGACCTCATGATCTGCCCGCCTCGGCCTTTCAAAGTGCTGGGATTGCAGGTGTGAGCCACAGCAACTGGCCCTTTTTTTTTTTTTTTTTTTTTTTTTTTTTTTTTTTTTTTGAGACGCAGTCTTGCTCTGTTGCCCAGGCTAGAGTGCAGTGGCACAATCTCAGCTTACTGCAGCTTCTACCTCCTGGGTTCAAGCAGTTCTGCTGTCTCAGTCTCCAAAGTAACTGGGATTACAGGCACACACCACCATGCCCAGTTAATTTTTTGTGTTTTTAGTACAGATGGGGTTTCACCATGTTGGCCAGGGTGGCCTCAAACTGCTGACCTCAAGTGATACACCTGCCTCAGCCTCCCAAAGTGCTGATCTCAGGCGTGAGCCACTCTACCCGGCTGTATTTTGATGTTTTGATAACAGCCATCCTACCAGTGTGAGGTGATGTCCTACCTTGCTTTTGATTTACATTTCCCTGGTGATGAGTGATGCTGATCATTTTTCAGTGCTTTTAATAAAAAGCCACGTGTTTGTTTAGTTGGTCACTTATTTTCTTTAAAAAGTTTATATGGATAGAAAGCAAGGTGGGTACTCAGAGAGGGTTTAGTTGCTTTATTAATTTTTAAAATTATTAATGATTTTGTTGACTAAATGCTGGAATAAATTGTTTTTCAATTTAGATTAATGACAGCTGTAGAAAGAAATCATAAATGTTTTACATATTTCATCTCAGCCTATGTTTTATGGTATAAAGATCCTAAAGTAATTTCATGGATGTAGGGTATTAAAATATGAAACAGCAAAAAGGGACAGCTTGCCTTGCACACCGTGATGGCACAGGAAATGTCCTAATTTTGTCATATATTAAGTGTTAGCATACAAACATTGTGTGATGGAAATAATTTTAAATAATAAAACAGCCATGGCAGTTCTATGAAGGAAACATAATTTTCTCAACATAATTCGGATTTTTAAACTAATTGATATTAGTATCTTATTATTACTTTGAAATAAATGTTTTTAAGATTTAGATAGTTTCTCATGGACCCAGAAGTCAGACTGACTGGTTACTAGCTGTTTACCATATATGAGATTTGGGCACATTACTCTACTTGTCCATACATCAGTTTACTCATCCAGCAAATAGGGATAATTGTAGACCTTGTCTCAGGGGTTGCCGTGTCAAGTGATACAATACCCGCCAAAGGCTTAGAATCAGGGCTGGTACCTAGAAATACTCAACGTATTAATATAATAGGACAGGTAACAGACAACCTGGAATCTAGAATGAGGAAATGTTTGGCATATATGTAGCAGGAAGTCTGGAGCTAGGGAATATGTGGGAGTTAACTCTGTAGCTTAGCAACCTCACTCACATTTTTTCAGGGAGCCTTCCTGAAGGCCACCTTAGCTCTGTGCTCTAGCTTGTCCTTTTCTTTCAGAGCCACATCCTTGCACAGAGGAAGGGGAACAGGGCCTTTGTCTTCTTTTTGTGGCTCTTTGTAAAAGCAAATACATTTTTCCTAATAACCTCCTGACAGATCCCTGATCATGTTTGTTGGCTGGAATTGCCCTACTCTTCTGCCCATATCAAAATCAAAGGGAGTAAAAGCACCAGTATAGGTTTTGATGGATAGAGCTTGACCCCTGGAACTGGGGCTGCGGTGGGAGCTCCCTTCTTTACCTTCCCTGAAACACAGTTTCCCATCACTTCACACAGTCAGATCTGTTAAGCAAGGGATATGTGGGCAGGGATGGGGAGTGACGACCAGAAGTTGGTTGAGTAAGCTAAATAGGACTTTTTTTTTTTTTAAATACTGCAAAATTGGTAGAAAAAGATTGGTAGCCCAGAGCTTCTAAAATATGATACAGCTTAATTATATCATAAAGATATAACTTTTATGATTCTACTGTCATTGTAGACCTGTTTTTAAGGAAGTAGTATATTCTTTGTAATTTTGTTATAAAATAGTTTCTTTTTAAGCAAAAGGGATGGCATTGAGAAGCCACACACACCAAAGACCGAGCTTTGATTTGCTTCTGTTGAAGTTATTTGAGTTAGTTGTCTATGTGGACTGAGAAGGTACCTAAGTCTAAAAACATCTTCTTTGGCATAAGTGTAAAAAAATGATGTTCCATTCCTGAAATTTGATTTGAGTGAAACTGTATACTAGAAGAGTAGAAGCCACTGATGTTTTCACATCCAGCAGAATAATTGATTAAACTAAAATCTGTTGAAGAGGACAAGAACCACAGAAACAAAACAAAACTCCCTCTCAAATTTTTTCAGAAGTAAGCACTATTGTTTGTGCAGAAGAGGAATCTTAGGTTATGCTTTATACACTAGAAATCTATTCCAATTATTCCCATTTAATTATGGATTTATTCTGTTAACCATTCCCGGAAAGTCATCTGACTTTAATGACCTGATGTCTCTTCTGAGGCTTTCTTTTTCTCTTTAGTTTTTGCTATTAAACATATAATAAAGAGGATTGCATCATGTACATGAAAAAATATTTTGTATGCTTAAAAAAAAAAATCCTCTGCCTTTCCAATTTGGGAACACCAGGGTAGAACTGATGGCCATCTTCCTTTAGTCGTGTGGTCTGGAGTGAGGTCAGCAGAGTTCTAGATTTTATGTGCCTCCAGTGGTTTTGTTTTTGCTCTGTTTTCTACTTAATGCTTATCTCTCATTATCTGTTTCTGAAGGCAGTTATGACCTTATCAGCTTTTCCAGTGGGAATAAGCAGAAGGAATGGAAAGGCAAAAGAGTGCTTTAAAGTGCTAAGCTAGCTGGCCCCTCTAGAAGTCTGGGGTGTCTTATTCTTTGGGTGGTATTGGTCCTACTTACGGGGATAGTGAATCTTCTTTCTATAAGAATATTGGTTAGTTTTACTTCAATAAGAAAAGATAGGTTGTATGTCTTATTAGAAGTCTGTAGCAGCAAGCACAATATGATTTCCAAAAAGAGTAGCCGGGGTTTTCAGTGACTAATCACCTTGTTCAGAATAGCCCATAGCTGAATCCTACATCAGAGTCATCTCACAAGTTATGCTTCTGAAATTTTGACTCTGACACTCAAGAAACAAACGAACAAAAAACAACAGCACTTTTAGTTTTGATGTTTGACAGTGTTTTAAGAAGTTCAAATTCCTTTTTAATGGTAACTGTTTCCCTGACTCAGCATAGAATATAGTTTGATATTGGCAGATAATAGATCATAAGCTGACTTTGTTCTTATATTCCCACACTTTATTGCAACTAATAAATTCCACAGAAGAGGCAGCAGGGACTTTGTGATACATGACTGGAAGAATTTAGGACCAGAAGGTAGAGGGACCTTAAGGAAAACATAAGCTAATTGGGAGCCTGCCATTTTCACAACCTTCTCTTGTTGAATAGGCCTGAGCCCAATTAGCAGAAACAGCAGAGAGGCACAAGGCACATTCCAGCCACTGCTTAAGCTCTGTTATAGGGGAATGACTGCCCTGACCTTTAGAGCAAAATCCATGTTTTTTCCATGTTTTAGGGCTCTCTCCATCAAGAAAAACATCTTTTAATTGGAGATTATACAAACAGGCAAACTGGAGGGAAAACTGACTTAAATGTTTGTTGATGAAGACAAAATGCCGATGTCTACGTCATTTTCATACCTTTGGCAGCTACAAAAGAATCCCACCATCCAGTGTCAAGTCTCAAAGTCTCAGAGGCCAGAGTTTTGGGAGCAATGATGATACCTTTTTTCCTTTTTATTTTATATACCTTTGTCACTTTCTGCAGCTGTGATGCTTTTTCTTTATACTTTTCAGAATATTTATGCATTATAAACAATATTCACATGATACATGTTGTGGTTTGGCTGTGTCCCCACCCAAATCTCATCTTGAATTGTAACTCCCACAATTTCCACGTATTGTGGGAGGGTCCTGGTGGGAGGTAATTGAATCATGGGGGCAGGCAGGTCTTTCCCATGCTGTTCTCATGATAGTAAGTCTCATGAACTCTGATGATTTTAAAAATGGGAATTTCCCTGCTCGAGCTCTTTCTTTGCCTGCCGCCATCCATGTAAGATGTGACTTTCTCCTCCCTGCCTTCCACAATGATTGTGAGGCCTCCCTAGCCGCATGGAACTGTAACATGTCCATTAAACCTCTTCCTTTTGTAAATTGCCCAGTCTCGGGTATGTATTTATCAGCAGCATGAGAACGGACTAATACAATACACAATATATAAGTTATATTCAAAAATTATTTGAGAAGGTAAGTTTCTATGAGTTTAATTTTTTGTTTTCATTATAATTTACAGCCAAATTCTTGAAGATTGAGGGCAAAAGTAAATTTAAAAACTAGTGAAGAAACATTTTTCAGCATATCCAGGTTTTATGGAGGCAGTTTTTTAAAAATGTGTTTTTCTCCAGGCTAGTCAATATAATTGTGGACGCAAGTTTTGCCTAGGTTTTAGCTTGTTCTTATAAAATGGTGGGTGTCTGGGATGATCAACCTGTGGTTCCTGTGTCCACACGACTTACCAGAGTTGTTTTTTTTCCACTGATCTGCCTACATAGAAGAAAATCCCCTTCCTTGCCCAAGTGCTTACTAGCCTTTTCTAAGTGAAAAAAAAAAATCTCATTTCCCTGAGATCTAGAACTATCCAGATGACATAAAGAAGATGTTTTCTGGAGTATGAAATGATAATGTTTTCTTATCTTTTTTCTGTTTTAATCTTTAAGAGGCTGGGTTCTTGCTCTGTTGCCCAGACTGGGGTGCAGTGGTGCAGTCATAGCTCACTTCAGCTTCAAACTTCTGTGCTCAAGCAATCGTCCTGCTTTAGCCTTCTGAGCAGCTGGGACTACTGATGCACACCATCACTCCTGGCTAATTAAAAAAATTTTTTTGTACAGGTGGGGTCCCGCTATGTTTCCCAGACTGGTCTCAAACTCCTGGCTTCAAGTGATTCTCCTGCTTTAGCCTCCCGAAGTACTGGGATTACAGGTGTGAGCCATGATGCCTGTATTTTCTTTCTTTCTTTTTTTTTAACGAATGTGAGGCCTTTTAAATGTTGCCCAGGTTGGCCTCGAATGCGTAGCCTCGCCTCCTTGTGCGCCAGGACAACCGGCCTGAGCCACCGGGGCTCCCCTCAGTGCCTATATTTTCTTAATTACAATAGGAGGTGGTTTATTCAGCAATCTGATTACAACAACTTCAGATCGGTCAGGGAAATGACTGAGGGGTCACAGCATTAAACCGTGGAAGAGCTATAGAAAGTCTGATATAGGAATAGATAGGGCTTCATGGTATCTGCCATCATTGGTGAGACTTAAGGATAGATTCTGATGCTGCCAGATAGTAGTTAAGATGTGGGTTTTTTGGGTTTGTTAATTCTGTAGCGTGAAGTCAATGAGGATCCAAATGACTGTTCATATTATTTGGTTAAAAATAAACTAAGCCCTTTGCCTCCAAATTCTAAAAGTTCTGTGGAAAGGAAGGGATTTATTATTATTTACCAGTTGGCAAACCTTCATAAAATTTGTAGAGAAGCAAAATAGTCGTGTTTATCTCTAGCAACACCAAATGTAGAAACTAAAAACATCAAGATTGTTTTAAAATTAAACTTACTTTTCATTATAAAATACCAGAACTTCTATTTTATAAGATAAATCTGTTATGTCCCCAATAACACCCAAAATAAAACCAAAACAACCTTTTAAGAGACTTGTTACCTGGATATATTAACGCCAGTAGCAGATTATTTTGTTGTGCTTTGATAATAGAATCCCTGGTATTCTAACACGTGTTAAAATTATTTTTTAAAAAAACAATGATCAAAACACCCTATATGTATGGGACACATTATTTTCCATGATCCCTACATATTTTCTGCTTTTATTATCCAAGAATTCTGGACTAGAAACCACAGTGGAAGCACAGGACCGGAGTGTGGGGCTCTGGTGGACGTTCTTCTTAGAAGGACACACACATTTTCTGGGGAGCTTCCAGTCATGTGCAGGGTTACTTTTAGGAGTACCAGATGGCATTCTACTTTTCCATATATTTAACAACAAAAGACATAGTGAATCTGGGAAGCATGTTTCAGGGTTGGAAACCTGTCCCTCCAATGAGTGTGTCCTGTTTCTGACCCCTAAGACTGGTTATATAGAAATAAAGAAAGATAAACTATGCAAACTTCATTTTCATTGTATACAAAATGGGGAAAATCATACCCATTTGGCAGATGTTAACTTTGTGGGCAAAGCTGAAGTGACACAGCACACATTCCAGTGCAGACCCAGTTTCTTGTATATTAAAGACACTCATAAGATGTTTTCTTTCATATCTTTTTAGGTAACATTAGGTTTATTGGTTATACCTCAACAACTCCCTCAAGTATTGGGTATCTCGTTTTCTTAAATTTTGTTTTTCTCCTTGCATATTGGAAGTACCATTAGGTATGCTGGGGTGGTTTATTTTCATCCCTGGTGTATTTCTAATGCCCCCATCGTCATTTCGCAATTTGATTTTTGCTTCCGTGGCATCTTCTCAGAATTAGAATAAAATTTAACCTTTTAAAATCATCTCTGGTTCTTTTCTGAAGAACATAATCTGACACAAAAATGACATCAGTGTTAATCTCTATGTCTGCTTCCATTCCTTATATTCTCTTTTGTTTTTGGCGGGCGTGTGTAGTTTTAATAAGATTAAATGTAAGGATACCATTAAGAATGCTAAGTATCTTCATGAGAGCTTCTGCTTGACCACTTGCTAGGCATCTGGGTCCCTTCGTGATATGAATGGAGTTTGGAGGGCACAGCATCACTCATTTGCTTTTGGACCTGGGGTGTGCAGTTGAATGGGGGTACTCATCAATTTCTCCTTTAAAACAAATTTTACAACTGTCTTTATTTATTGCTTCTTTGGCCTATGGAGCTAAAAGCCTGCAAGCAGCGGGGAAGTAAGTTAGAAATTTTACTGAGTGAAAAATCTTTGGTGGTGTGTGGATTAACCTTCAGGGGAAGTCTGTTAGGAGCTGATGGTTTTCTTACCTGTGAATACTACTGCTAGAACTAGACATTTAGAGCTTGCACTACGGAGAAAGATACATTTTCATTTTTAACTTTGACCTTCAGGTGCCTTTGCATATTTTCATTGCAGGCAGTCTTAAAGATTTTTGTTGTGAGCTGTGTGATTAAATACGACAATGGAAGGAATACATGCTTTATACTATAACTCTCTTTATTCCCACCCATCTGTACGTCATTTGCTTTTGAAATTTTGTTCTTTATTTCTACGTTCCATCTATGTTCCATGAGCTGTGCAACTGCTATTCTTTAAAAAATACTGGTTATGAAATTGCATTAACATTTTCATCCTACAATGTGTTTTTTTCACTGCCTGTGTCCTACAAGCCTGCTTTTAGAAATTGAATCACTTTTATAAGTCATTTTTAATTTTGAAATTTTATGATCTAGCTATTTAATCTATTTCTATCCAGGACTTTCCCAGTTACCTTCAACATGGTCTTGAAATGGCCCTAAAAAATTCCCGTCTTCAGTGTTCAAACATTTTGCCCGGTGGTTGTATGTTTTCTTCCCACCGCTGAGGCCTGGGTATATGTGCCCTATAGTATTTTTGTGACTTCTGTAGATATATGAGCCATGTTTTTCCTTTATTTTTGAATTTTTTTTTCCTGTGCTCTAATGGCGGTAGGAGATTGTGGATTATCTTTTTAAATAGCTGAACAAATTATAAAGAAATTAAAGTACGGTATTGCGGTAGGGTTGGCGTAGGCTTTTGGGTCTCATTTCATGTGTCAGTATTATTACTGTCCTTTATAGTAGGCACGTAATACTTTTGACATGTTATTATTTTTAGTAATCTCAGCACTTTGGGAGGCTGAGGCAGGTGGATTACTTGAGGTCAGGCGTTTGAGACCAGCCTTGCCAACATGATGAAACCCTGTCTCTACTAAAAATAAAAAAATTAGCTGGGTGTGGTGGCACACGCAGTAATCCCAACTACTCAGATGGCTGAGGCAGGATAATCATTTGAACGTGGGAGGCAGAGGTTGCAGTAAGCCAAGATTGCACCACTGCACTCCAGCCTGGGCAACAGAGTGAAACTCTCTCAAGAAAAGAAAAAAAAATTAAAAAATGTTTTTATTTTTAATACATAACTTCACAAGGTTGGAAGACTGAGCTTTTTTTTTTTTCTGCAAGTTACTGTCATTTCCAAATTGTAAGATGGAATTGCAGTCTTGATATGTGTTGGAATTAAGTTTAACCCTTTGAGAAGCACCACCTCTTTTCCTACCTTTAGTAAGCCCTTTAATTCTCCGAAGTAATTCATTAACTCTTCTGACCTAGCTTTTTATTCCATTGAAAAAATGAAAGCCTGGTTCCCACCACCATTTTTACAGCCCTGCCCTTCCTCGCATGCAGAAGCTTCCCTGACCTCTCAAACACCAAAGTTTTCACTCTCATCCTGTCTCCCAACCCTTCCCAGTATTAGGACGTTGCTTTTGTATTAATCTCCTGTCTACGGAGTCATGCACATAATCTCCTGTCTTCACAGTCGTGAATGTCTCTTGTTTTTCTCTCTCTCTTCTAGAACTTTCCTATCAGCAGATAGACTCAACCAACCCCAGTCCTCCCTGGCAAACCCCTGTCTCATTGTGGCACCAGCCTGGCTTGCACTCCCTCACAGTTCACACACTTGGTTCCCACTTAGCTTTCATGCAGTCACCTGTCTTCCCCTCAGGGACTTTCCTCCATCCCCCCATTTGATGGCGGGTGATATCCCTGCAGCCTTCTGTTATTGTCTCTTTGCTCACCATCCTTTTCTCTGTGATATTTATGAATCTAAATTTGTCTTTTGTTTCTTTTTTATTTTTTATCTTTCTGTCTGTTTTGCTGTCCTAAAATGGCCCAGGCATTGTCTTGTTTACTATAGCTCCTAGTGAACCCTTATATACTTTTGGGTAAATAGTCTTTCAATAAATTGAAAGGAAAAAGTTCATAATGTCCCTACTTTTTCTGATATCATGTATTATGGGTGGATCTTTGTTGGGTGAACTATATTGACTCTTTTATAATGCCATATAATGTGATATGGTGATTTTCATTAATTATGGGCTATAAACTGTAGATTATAGGTAAATAAATGAAAACTTGATGAAGACATGTACATTTGTAAACCTCATAAATAGTTGTACTATTTTGATGACATTATTGCTTATAACTTAGCATCTGCATATGACAAAAAGAAAAAAATGATTATAAACTAAAGGACCAAGAAATGGAGGGAAATGTAAGTTCTCTCAAAGTAATGCAATGTTCCTATTTTTTTAAATCTTGATATGATGGAGAGCACAGCCTTTCTTGTGCATAAGTTTAATCGTTTGTGAACTTTCTTCAAGAATGTCTTGTAGTTGAACATGGATTCAGTGTTAGAAGATAAGCCCGCTCAGTCTGTCCCCGCTGGCCTGTATCCAGTGGTGTCTGCTGTATCACCGCTGATCACACTAGCCGTGGGAAAGCCACCTGGCTCTCCAGAGGCTTTGTAGAGGGAGTGAGGGGGCAGAGGGTAAGAGCTGCTATGAGCTACTTATGTGAGATTTTTGTGGGACAAAAGGAAAAGCCAAAAAAGTGTTCTTATAGGCCCAAGATAGTTGTCAACTCTATTAGCTCTAAAAGTATTTAATTAAATATTTAAGATGTTTAATTATCAGGAAATATTAAATAACTCTTCATGTTTATATAACTAAAGTGACATAAGTTTTCTGTTAAATTGGAAAAACAATATTTGAACAAACCATTTGATTATATTGAATAATTTATAAGCAATTGATTTGAACATAACATAGTTAAATATTCCCTCCATAAAATATTACGTATTTTACTTGTTTGCGAGCTGATTTTAGCTGTTTAAAATTTTTTTCTTTAGAGAGTCCAGGGGTTTTTCATTTTTATTCAAATGAAAATAAATTATACTGTTAATTTAAGACCCCAAACTGGCAAATTTTTTTTCTTGGAGATGAATTTTTTTCTTATTCTAGGAACAATGGATGTTTGCTTACATGTTCAATATATAAAACATGGATGTTACAAATTCTGATCTACCATTAATATGTAATACCTAGTATATAGCTTTTGGGGAGTATTTTCCTCAGTTCTCTGAGTAAAGCTTTTTTTGTACATGGATATTTGGTAGAAATTGACATTTGATATGAGAATTATTTTGAGTTTTGGAAATCATTTTCAAATACAGAGGAAATATTCTTCATTATGGTATTGCATAAAAAGTTTCTTAGTCACTGGAGTGTATCCTGGTTTGAGGATACCCCATACAGGCTATAGAGGATTTTTTGTTTTTTTGAGTTGATGATGATAGGTGTCCCAATTCCTTATTATCATTAGGGTTCATTAGACTTCTGTATGAGACACAGGATTCTAATCTTCCCTGTTCCCATGGGATACAGTATAACTCTTCAGACTATAGGGGGATTAATTTGATAACATTCTTTAATTTTTAAAATATTTATTTGAATTTTGCAAAGGTGATACATTCATAGTTCTAAAATCAAACGTTATACATGGAGATGCAAAATAGTAGTCTCCCTCCCCCAACTCTCTATTAGCTAGCTCTCCTCCCCGTATTCAGCCACAGTTATTTGTTTCTTGTGGCTCCTTTCAAATGGTACCATGCTTTTATGAGCAAATACGGAAACATATTCTCTTTTCACCTTTTTATATAAATACTACTACAGTATCCTGTGCTTTGATTTTTTTTTTCTTAATATAGCTTGGCAATCCTTATAGACTGACACATAAAAGGTGTCCATTTTTGAAACACTTTGATAATTTTCCTTTGTATAGCTGGGCCAGTGTTTATTGATGGGCATTAAGGTTATTTACTATCCTTTGCTGTTGCATAAATATACTGCAGTAAATAACCTGTTATAGATAAGTCATTTTGTATTGAGTTTCTCACAGAAGTATGCCTAAAAATGAAATTGTATGTTTACACATTGTACAGGAATATTACATACATTTGTAACTTTGATAGATGTTGTCAACCTGACCTCAGTAGACATCGTACCATGTTGCACTCCACTAGCAATGCCCAAGAGACCCTGTTCACTCTATCACCTCACATTGTGACATGATGTTGTATGCAGTCTATTAAACTGACTTGATCAGTTATACCTTTAAAATATCTCCCTTTACACATTCTCTAAAGCAGAAGGCTGTTGATGGAGTTGGCCAACATACAGGCTGCAAGTGGGCTTCCTATACTGTTTAGGAGCACAGACCATTCAAAACCTTCCCCTTTCCTCCAACAAATAAACAACAGTTAAGGAAAAGGACGTCTTGGGGTGAGAGTTGGGTTCTTCTTGCTCTGTTAGAGCATTGAGTTCAATTCTTTAGCATTTGCTCAGATGTCAGTCACTCTGAAATGCACATAAATCAAATGAGACTTTCTGAAAGTTCTTACCTTTGGCATAACTTGTGTATTCTTTTCATATTCTAAATTTCGTATTTGATTCATATTTTTATATTTTCAACTGGAATTGAGTTATTACCCCTGAGCATTCCTATCTCCTATTTGATAGTTGTTGTTTTTGCATACTTTGCCAGAATGAAAATGAGTAGAATGACGGGGACAGAAAAAGGACAAGATTTTCTTTTTTTAAGATGGGTAGTTCACTAAGTGCTTCTTGAAAAGTAAGAGTTTTATGCTGTGTTCTCAACAGTAACTTTTGCCCATAAATTCTGTCTGAACAGAATCAATAGTGTTTTCTTCCCTTAGTATATCCCAAAGCGGGGTGCTTTGTAATTTACTTCTGTGTTAACTTTTTTCCTGTTATGTCTTAGACTGTATGTTATATGATAGTATAGAAGCCACCTATGTGAAATATTTAAACTTTTGTGAATGAATGTGGTCTTCTTGCCAAACGTAAACATACTATGTTTTTCTCGATTGCTCGGGTTCACTGAAGAAAGCACACCTTCTTAAGATACAAGATTTCTGTTGATGGGATTGGTCTATTTGGGGGCTTAGTCAACAGATATTAGTGTCTCATTTGTAACCTTTCTCATACCATGAAAGGTTGTTGGCAATTTGTATTCTCATTATCTTACTACCTATTTGGATCTGGCAGTCTTTCTCTTTCTTTCATTGTTCCATCATTTATTGGCTTAAATGAGTATTTGGAAGTCCTGGCTGGTAAGAATTCTGTGTCTTTGGATATATTGATTCGTTGACTCTAGGAAGCAACTGATTTTAGATTGTTCTTGATGTTTCCAAACTTTTCCCTTTCTGATGTTTAAGAAGTTGAGATGATGAAGTGTTGCCATCTGCAATTACAACAAAAGTACCAGAGATAGCCACAGTGACTTCCTTTTTTTTTCCTGTTATTTGTAATATCAAAATGTAAACCAGAAACAGCTATGCACACATATACACAGGATAAATAAGTATTAAATTAATATTAGATATCAAATGTGGAATTTCTGAAATTGCATGTAAGTGTTTAGAATGACAGAATGTTTAAATGTCTTTTACCGTTCCCTGATACCTTTATTTATTTTGGTTTTCTATCTCTTATATGTCAACTTGTCCTAATTAATTAAATTAATTTTATGCTTGATCAAAATAAATACAGAATTTGTGCAGCTCATAGCAAAGCCTCGTGTGAATGTGAATATGTGCTGGTGTGTGAATGTGATAGTTATGATGTTATTTTGAGGCTATTTTCACTAAGGAAAAGACAGTCCAGGATCCTGATATTGCACCTTTTATCAGCCATTGATATTTAGAGTGTTCTTTACTTTTTCCTCCTCTTTTCTGTATGCCTCTAATCTTGGCAATTGTATTTTTAAATTCATTCATCCCTCTGCATCTTCATTACTACTTCCAAAGTCCAAGCTGTCAACAGCTCTCACCTGGGTCACTACACAACACTGCAGCCCTCCTCCCTGTTTACATCTCTTTGTCCACTGTGGCTAGACTGATGTGTGGTCAGGAGCACTGCTTGACACACTCTGGGGCTCTGACCATACCCAGGAACACCGTGGGTGAAGTGGTTAACAGCTGCTTGAAGTTGCAGCAACCTGGATTGGAATTGCACAGCATGTCTTATGCTGACCAAGCTGCTGAACTTTCTAAGTGTCAGAGCAAGCTTCATAATCTATTGTGATATATTTCAGAGGATTGTGAGGATGAGATAAGATGAGTCATGGAAAGCTCTTAAGACAGTAGCTAAAACACATGAAATACTCTAAGTGTGAGGGCTGATATTGGTGTTTTTGTCCTTTTTGAGTCTTCCTGATGTTCCTTCACCATGTGGATCGCAGCTGCTTCCAGGGTGCATTCCCAGGTTAGGCAGCCCTGCTGAACTCACTCTAGTCTCCAGATCTACCCTGTTCTTGCATCTCTGGGTCTTTGAACATGCTGGCCAACTCTTCCCTTTTTCCTGCCTAGGATCTGCTGTTCTGATCTCCTGCCACCTGCCTCCTTCAGCTCATTATTCTTAGCCATACCCGATCCCTGCCAAAACCAATGTGAGGCACACATAATAGTGTCTTATTCTTTCCCATCCTTGCACTTTCCAAATTTCATTTTAATTATGTCTTTCTTTTTAAAGAGGGCAGGACCCATATCTGTTCCTCTGAGTTTTTAATTTGCTTTGTTTTCGAGGGAGGCATGACTCAATGTGTGGAGGCATTGGGTCTCTGTCACATACGTTTGCAGCCTAGCGTAACCATGCTTTTATTGAATACATTTGTTATTATAAAGGGCTTTCTGCTTGTAATTTGTATATCTGGAAATGTTCTTCTCTTAAAACATTTTTACAGCAACCATTTTGATAAAAAAATCTTATTCCATAGATAGTATATATTTTCTTACATTGAATGATTAACTTTTCAAGAATCTCCTCTAGATTAAATTGGAGAAAGTTTGAGGGGAGGGCAAGGAATGTTAGTTTGATTATATCAGCAGAAATCTGGGCTTTTTGAATTACTCATATTTTAAGTCCCTTGGGGGACTAATTTTCCTGAGAACTTTGTATTATAATCATAAACAGATCCAGTTCAGTAATACTTTCATAAACTTCTGGCTGAGACTTTGGTATTAATGTCCTGAACTCTTAGAAAGAGAAACATATTTTTGTAGGTTGGCCAAGAAAAATAGGTCTTGATTCAAATAAAATAATGTATTTGTTATTTTTAAAAGGTTTTTCCATTGAGCAATCTGTGAAACTTTTTGGTAATTTAGTTGTCTAATATTGGACATGACTTAGGCAGTGACTTGGTGTATTTTCTGTGGCTCAATATAATGACTATTTGAATTTTTAAGTTTTTGCTTTTGACTTGGGAGTAAGTTATGTTAGATTACACATTATTACAGAACAGTTAACTGTTACTCCTTTGGTTGTAGATTTTAATAAAAGGTAGAATCCTGTGTCTTAGTTCCTTAAATATATTTGAAATGGTAAAATATGCAGAGAAATTTTTTATTGAAAGTAAACATTTTATTTAAGGTACTTTAAATGTACTTTAAGGTACATGTGCAGTTTTCCCCCTGCTGTTAGTAAATGGCTGAAATAGCACTTTGGATCTGTGGCACCCTGGAGAAGCTTTCCTCTTCACTCCTCTGACATTCTGTTTCTAAGCTCATTCATATTATTTATAGAAATTTCTTCTTTTTGCTCTACCTCCCTGAGTGCTGGTCATTTCTCTGGATGGGTTTTTACATGCTCTTCCTTGGTGAACTTTTATGTTACTTTAGTTCCTCTTCCTGTTCCTTCAGACTTGTGCTTACCTGCAAGGATGGGCTGGTCACTACTGTCTAGATATCTTTTTGATCACTCAGATTCAACATGGGTGAAGGTAAACCATCTTTATGTTTTCCCTGAGATGGGAAGTGGTCCCTAATAAAAAGGGCAATGTGACTTGAAACTGCCAGTTCTGAACCTCATTGTCCATGGATCTGGGCCATATATAGCAACCTATGTGTTCAGAATTACCTTACCCCTGTGAAATCATGAGTAGTTAATTTCTGGTGTTTCCTACGCCCAGAAAATTCTATGATTGGCCATTCTTTTCTTGTTTCTTTTAATTTTGCTCTGTGTCTCCCAGGCTTCAAACTTACTCTCTTATTATCTTCTCTCTAATTTTTTATGTCTTACCTAGTGCCAGGTACTATATATTATACCTTTACTCCTCTGTGTGTGTGTGTGTGTGTGTGTGTGTGTGTGTGTGTGTATGTGCACGTGTATATCTTTCTATTTTCACAGCACCTGTTCTCATTTCAGCCATATTCCTTTTGACTAGACCTATGTAATATTTGTCTCCCTCTCCATCTGTTTGTTTTTAAAATCAATTCTGCGTTTTCCTATTTGCTTAGTCTTCCAAATTGCCACTTGGATTTCCTCACCTGCAAGTTTAAAAGCATGCAAAACACTCCCTACTGTATTTTGATTTAAGTTAAATCAAATTTATTATCTTGATATTCTGGGTTCTCTGCATTCTTTTTTTTTTTTTTTTTTTTTTTTTTTTTTGAGACAGAGTCTCACTCTGTAGCCCAGGCTAGAGTGCAGTGGCGTGATCTCGGCTCACTGCAAGCTCTGCCTCTCAGGTTCACGCCATTCTCCTGCCTCAGCCTCCCGAGTAGCTGGGACTACAGGTGCCCGCCACCACGCCCAGCTAATTTTTTTAGTAGATACGGGGTTTCACCGTGTTAGCCAGGATGGTCTCGATCTTCTGACCTAATGATCCACCCGCCTCGGCCTCCCAAACTGCTGGGATTACAGGCATGAGCCACCATACCCGGCATTTTTTTTTTTTTTTTTTTTTTTTTTTGAGACAGAGTTTTGCTCCTGTCACCCAAGCTGGAGTGCAGTGGTGTGATCTTGGCTCACTGCAACTTCTGCCTCCCAGGTTCAAGCAATTCTGTTGCCTCAGCCTCCCAAGTAGCTGGGATTACAGGCACACACCACCATGCCTAGCTAATTTTGTATTTTTAGAAGAGACAGGGTTTCACCATGTTGGCCAGACTGGTCTTGAACTCCTGACATCAGGTGATCACCCGCCTTGGCCTCCCAAAGTGCTGGGATTACAGGCGTGAGCCCCTTGCACCCAGCCTGAGCTACCACACCCGGCACAAATTTCTATTTAACTTTTTTAGGCATCATCTCCTACCATGATCTCATGCATATTTTGTGCTCTGGTGGACTGCTGTGCCTTCCTTTAAAATCAATTCTGTTCCTTCTGACTTCAGATATTCCTACAATGCTAGACTCCCCCTACTTTCTGAATCAGCATTGTGTCATTCATTGTTTAATTCTGTCTTTGATCATGTGTATTGATGCTCACATTAAGATGACACTCTGCTTGAAAATGAAGGGGTAGCATCAGGGGTGTTATTCATGTGCAGAGCCAAGATGGATCTCAGCATCATACTTATTAACTGCAATCTGGAGTAAGCTACTTAATCTGTAGTTTCCTTGAGAGGCCTCAACCTGGGCTAAAATGGTCACTTAATGAAAACTGATATCCAAAAAAGAAAGTGTGTGGTAGAATTTTGTGGAAATCCAAATCATTTATTTCAGTTAATGATCTGTCTAGAAAACGCCAATCAGTTTTTATCACATGACCTACATGTTCCTCTTCATTTCTGTGGAGTAAAAGATGTTGCGGTGCTCCCTCTGTGTCACACCCTGTGAGGAAGTGGTGTAATATGCCCACAATCAGATGGCCTAGATTTGACTTTCTGAGGCATTCATTAGCCTGACCCCTGTGATCCTCCATTTCCTCATCTGGATAATTGGGGAAATTGCCTCTTTCTTCCTTATGCAGTTGTTCAGAAGCTTTAATACCATAGCGGACAGCTTATGGTCTTGACCCAGAAAAAGCTAAAATTTCTGTTTCTTTTAGTTGTGTGACTTTGGCAATATTGATTGTTTCCTATTTTAGTTTTCTTATTTGCAAAATGGTAGATGATAGAACCGATTTCATGGACTTCAGTAAAGATAATGTAAAATAATATGGTTCAATATTAATCAGTGTTAGTTATTTTAGTTACCGTATGCTAGTTCATGCAAGCCTAATATAAAATTTATTTTTCTTCTCGCTGCTTATCCAATCCTAGTGATTGCTACAAATTTTTGATAGTCATATTCTATCATTAGGAAGTCAACTTGCTGCTTAAAATGGAAAGCCTTGTTAGAATAATATAAGTAAATTACGTACAATAGTCTATTCTATTCTAAGATATTCTAGGTTAGGATTTTTAAAATGTAGAAAAAATTTGGAGTGTATGATCAGTATTATCTTTATATTTCTCATATGTGTTAGATGGTTATGTTTTTCATGTAGTCATACATATGGTTAAAATCCTTTGATAACAAAAGAAAAAATACCATATAGCCAATAATTCAAGAACATGCCAGTTGGCATATTCTCAGATTGTACTCAAATGGTAAACACTTTCAATAAGGTGTTTCTTAATATCTTACTAAGAAGTACTAGCATTATGGCTAAGCTGCTTTTTGTAAATAAAACAGATTTTTATAGCCAGGTGCAGTGACTCATTCCTATAATCTTAGCACTTTGGGAGACCAAATCAGGAGGATTGCTTGGGCCTAGGAGTTCGAGATCAGCCTGGGCAGCATAATGAGAATCCATCTCTACAAAAAAAATTAAAAATAACTGGGTTAGGCTGGGTGCAGTGGCTCACGCCTGTAATCCCAGCACTTTGGGAGGCCGAGGCGGGCGGATCACAAGGTCAGGAGTTTGAGATCAACCTGGCCAATATAGTGAAACCGTGTCTCTACTAAAAATACAAAAAATTAGCTGGGCATGTTGATGGGCATCTGTAATCCCAGCTACTAGGGAGGCTGAGGCAGGAGAATTGCTTGAACCCGGGAGGCGGAGGTTGTGGTGAACTGAGATCACATCATTGCACTCCAGCGCGGGCAACAGTGCAAGACTCCGTTTTAAAACAAAACAAAACAAAACAAAACAAAACAAAACAAAACAAAACAAAACTGAGTTAGAGTGGGGCTGTATTCTTAGCTACCCAGAAGGCTGAGGCAGGATTATCCCTTGAGCCCAGGAAGTGGAGGCTGTAGTAACCTATTATCATGCCACTTGTACTCCAGCCTGGGTGACACAGTGAGACCCTGTCTCAAAAAAAGGAAAAAAAAAAAAAAGATTTTTATTTACTTGTGGTTCTAATGCTTCTCATCTAGGTTAAGTTTTGCTTAAATTCAAAGAGGTGTCTAGACAGAAGTAACTTTGTCACTAAAACCTTCATTCATGACTATATAATATATATATACAATGAAATATCATTTCATTTCATGAATATTTTATCCAGCATACATGGGATATAAAAATTCATTTTCCGAGTTTCTGAGATTTTATTTTCTTTTTCTTCTCATAGAAACTAAGTCTTTTTCAAGTTCTGCACTGTACCTACTTTTGGCTTTAAAATATAAAAGGAATTAATTTGTATGATGTTTTCAATGTGAATTCATTTACAACCTGAATTTATAAGCGTTCTACTCTGACTATGACTTCTAAAAAATTTCCATATGCATACTGTGGTTTTAAAAATAATTGTTTATTGTTTATTCTTTTCTTTACTACCTCCAGTCTGAGCAAGAGTTCTTTCTTTCTTTGGTGCACCATTTTGCATTGCTAACAAATTTTCCTTGACTGATTCGTACTTCTATTTTGGATGTGTGTATATATTTGTGTGTTTGTGCAAGCTTACATAAAATTTAGCGTTAGTGTTTCTGCATGATTTCCTTTAGTTTATAATGTAGGAAAAAAATAGTTCTTACAGTCTCTCACCCCACCAGTGATTTGATTTAGCAAAACCACTGGCTTTATAATCCTTCCTGGCCCTTTTGTCCCATTGGCAGGGCTCTAACCTCTTTACTCCAGAGAAAACACAGCTGTTGTCGTCTTCTTTCTGAACAGTGAAGGGGGCTACATCATTTTCAACTGTATTTTGAAGAATTAATTTGTGCACTAATATAAATGAGTTTTCTAAATTTAAATGTTTGAAATAAAGACAATTTATATAATTTTAGGCCTCTTTTTTCTTTTAGAGATGGGATCTCACTATGAGGCCCAGACTGGGTTTGAGTTTCTGGGCTCAAATGATCTTGCTGCCTCAGCCTCCCAACTAGCTGGAACTGCAGGCACACACCACCACACCTGGCTTAAGACATTTTTAGCAATAAAGCAATTTTTGGTAGGTATTTGTGAGTAGATGAAGAGCTTTTAGTTATGTTGGGCTCTTTGCATTGTCTCTTACGACTAGGCTTATTCATAAGAATCCTATAAGTCATACTGCTTTAAAATTTTTATTATCACTAGAGTCAGGGGAATTGGGAGAGATTCTTCCTCAGTTAGTTGTTCTATCTTGAAGATTGGGGAAATGCTGGAGGTTTGTTGATCGGGAGAGATTCTTCCTCAGTTAGTTGTCCTATTTTGAAGATGGGGGAAGTGCTGGAGGTTTGTTGTGGGATGATGTCGTTTTTTGGGAGTTGCTCACCTTGCAAGAGCCTTGGTCTACCGGCCTTCTCTCTCAGGTAGCATTTGCCCATTGCCATCACATATTCCACTTCACTGTCCAGCTCCCCCATTCCTCTACATGGTGATATGGTGTGTTTGTGTCTTTGTGTCTGTGCTATGTAGTTGCCACTTCCCCCTACCCCTTCATCGCCTCCACATATCGGGGGAACCTGTCCCCGATAATTCAACGTAGTTTCTTTTATATTTTCCCTAAGTGTCAGCCAGTCTGAGAAATAAAGAGAAAGAGTACAAAAGAGAGAAATTTTAAAGCTGGGGGAGACATCACATGTCGGCAGGTTCCGTGATGCCCCCTGAGCGGTAAAGCCAGCAAGTTTTTATTAGCAATTTTCAAAGGGGAGGGAGTGTAGGAATAGGGTGTGGGTCACAGAGATCACATGCTTTAAGGGCAACAAAAGATCGCAAGGCAGGAGGTCAGGGCGAGGTCACAAGGTCAGGGCGAAACTAGAATCACTAATGAACTTCCATGTCCCGCTGTGCATGCATTGTCATTGATAAACATCTTAACAGGGTTCAAGAGCAGAGAACCGGTCTGACTAGAATTCGCCAGGCTGGAATTTCCTAATCCTAGCAAGCCTAGGGGCACTGCAGGAGACTAGGGAGTGTTTCATCCCTACCTACGTCTGCATAAGGCAGACACTCCCAGGGTGGCCATTTGAGAGGCCCCGCCTGGGAATGCATTCTTTTCTCAGAGCTGTTAATTATTAATATTCCTTACTGGGGAAAGAATTCCGCAATATTTCTCTTACCCGTTTTCGGTAATAAGAGAAATATGCCCGGCCCACAGGCAGCCAGACTTTCAGGTTATCTCCCTTGTTCCCTGAAAATCGCTGTTATCCTGTTCTTAAGGTGCCCAGATTTCATATTGTTCAAACACACATGCTCTACAATCAATTTGTGCAGTTAACGCAATCATCACAGGGTCCTGAGGCGACATACATCCTCAGCTTACAAAGATGACAGGATTAAGAGATTAAAGTAAAGTCAGGCATAGGAAATCACAAGAGTATTGATTGGGGAAGTGATAAATGTCCATGAAATCTTCACAATTTATGTTCGGAGATTGCAGTAAAGACAGGTGTAAGAAATTATAAAAGTATTAATTTGGGGAACTAATAAATGTCCATGAAATCTTCACAATTTATGTTCTTCTGCCATGGCTTCAGCTGGTCCCTCCGTTTGGGGTCCCTGACTTCCCGTAACATCCACACGCCTGGGATTCTGGGATTGCTCTTCTTCTACTTCCTTTTCTGGTTGTGACTCATCTTTTAACTGTAACTTATTGAAGGTCTCCTACATTTTTAACACTGAGGTACTTGTGAAGAAAAAGGACATTCATTTGAACAAATATTTGCCACTAGATATTAGTCTTAAACTTAAGCCGATATGGTACTATTATTTAGAAATATTTTAACAAGTAAATTTTTTGAAATAATCATGTAATTACTCATTCTTAAGTTGCCTATCTTACTTTTTAATTATAGAAGTGGATTCTATAGCACTGTAACTATTTTGGTTCTCTTTTCCTTATCTCTTTTCTACAAAAAAATACCATTCTCCAAAAGGACATTTTAGCGTGAAGTAAGCCACCAAGCACATGCAAAAAGTGGATGGATTCTGTTTACTGTGTTTTCAGTTGTTTAACATTTATATTGAAAATGCTATGAGTAACGAGGAAACTCAGTTTGCTGAATGTTCACCATGTACCAAGGTTTGTGCTAAATATCAGTGTTCATGATCTTGTAGGTAAAGCAGGCATTACTATTGCCATTTAAAGGTAAGAAAACTCATCCTTTTACTAAACTGTTTGCATGTTACCTACCTAGTAAGTGATAGAGATACAATTTAAAAACCAGTTGATTCTGGTTTTTAAACCTATTACTTGTACGGTTGAAAATATAATACTATATTTGCCATTTTGTTTTTGCTCAGTTAAATATTTCTTTAGTATTGACTCTAGGCTTTGGTGTTCAGTATTGATTAAAAAAAATTCAACTCTGTCCTCAGATACCTGATAGTTTATTGGGTCCACAGAAGATTGGAATCATTGTTGTGTTTATGATGAAGTAATATAGGTGGATGTAAAGCATCTGTGAACGTTTCAGTGACTTTGACAGTTGAATAGAAATTTGGGTACTCTGCCCAAAACACTAAAGCTGCTTTGGGTGAATAAATAGTATTGACTTTAGGCTTTGAAGCACAAGTAAGAGTTAAACTAGAAGGGGATTAAAATCCTTGGCAAAAAGTCAGAGTTTAGGTGAAAATGGATTACAGTAGCATGTCCCCATGCCCAGCGCCACCTATTTTCACAGGGACATGCGCCTGTAATCCCAGCACTTTGGGAGGCCAAGGCAGCAGGATCATTTGAGCCCAGGAGTTCAAGACAAGCCTCAGCAACCTAGGGAGACCCCCATCTCTACAAAGAGTAAAAAAGTTAGCCAGACATAGTGGTGCACACCTGTAGTCCCAGCTGCTAGGAAGGCTGAAGTGAGAGGATCCCTTGAGCCCAGGAGTTCGAGGCTGCAGTGAGCTATGATTGTGCCACAGAGCGAGACCCTATCTCCAAAAAAGAAAAGAAAAGCAAATTGGTGGAATTTTCGTTTGTGAGTAATCTGATGTGTTGAGAGTTGTTTGTTAGTGGCCGGGGTGCATAGAACTTAGATTGGGTTCTGGTTGTGAAAGTATCCAAATGTATAACGTTAAGAGGCAATGTTGGTGAAAGAAGGGGTCTAGAGTGTCACATTGCTTCCAAATGAATGTTTCATTCATTAAAGTATAATGAAAATGGATTTGAGAAGAGAGAGACAAAAGAGAGAACGCTTAGGAGGGTGAGCAAAAATATTCTAAATGCAGGCTATTCCAGTAGAGATGGAAAAAAATTGGAAGATAGGAGGTGGAATAAAAAAAAAAGTGGTCTTGGTCATGATTAAGATGTAATTTTCATATGATTGAGACATTAAAAATGGCTCACAGCAATGTCAGTAGAATGGAGGGACACGCCCCAGGTTTCTAGGAGGCTGTGAAGAAAATGGGAGGTATAAAATGTGGAATGCTAAGAGAAATAGAGGAATCTTCTTTGTTTTAATTTTTTAAATAGTAAAGGAGATTTTTGCCCAGTTGCCTGCTGATAGGAGAGAGCCATTGCTCATGTAATAGGTCTTTTTGCTCAAAATTTAAAGTTAGGCCAGGCATGGTGGCTCACCCCTGTAATCCCAGCACTTTAGGAGGCTGAGGTGGGTGGATCACCTGAGGTCAGGAGTTTGAGACCAGCCTGGGCAACATGACGAAACCCCGTCTCTACTAAAAATACAAAAATTAGTCCGGCGTGGTGGTGCGCGCCTGTAGTCCCAGCCTCTGCTGAGGCTGAGAAATGAGAATCTCTTGAACCCGGGAGACAGAGGTTGCAGTGAGCTGAGACCATGCCATTGCACTCCAGCCTGGGTGACAGAGCAAGACTCTGTCTCAAAATAAATAAATAAATAAATAAAAAATGTAAAGTTAGAATCTTGATTACTTGAATTACTAAGCCCAGTTTCATCATGCTGCATATTTGATTAGTTCCTTCTGGAGTCTTTCAAAGACTTTCTGGTTTCTACTTACCTAAACGGTTTTCTGTTACTCGAATACATCTTGTTGCCTATTTCTTCCAACAGATTATTATGAATGTATTAAATAACATTGGTCTTGATTCTTATCCCAGGGGATTCTGCTACTAAAATCTCTGTTCATCCTAAGAAACTCTTTATGTTTGTTTGTTAGAGAAAATGATGACTGGTGATTTTATTTTTCATCCCCTGCATGCATTGCTGTATGTAAGAAAAGAATGGAAGTGTTCATCAATTTTTAGCTGCTCTTTGACTTTTCTATTATGTTTGTATTATATTATATTAGGTAAGATGTTAATATACAATAACAACACTTGCAAATATAGAAATATTTATGACCTTAAAAATAAAAGGGAATTTAAGGGTTAATCTTCAATCTGTGGTGAGTTGCTTTTTGCTGGAATAATATTGCTTGGGGACTTCCTATGAATAAGTAGATAAAAATTGGACCAGAGTTTCATGATTTCTTTTCAATTCCCCATGTGATTATAAGTTTGCCAGTTTGTTAATATTTGAACTTTAATAACGGTTCTGTGAGTTGAAAAACACCATTATGATTTTAAGGTGGTCTGGAAAACCTAGGTAGTTGTTGCATAATTTGACGTAACTACTTGAAACTCTGGTTCTCTTAAAAACAATTTTGATAATAGTAATAACATTACTAGCTTTTTTTAAACATGCCCAAATTCAGTTGTGTATGTATTTGTGTATATGTGAATCAGTGTGCTGTATTTAGGGTAATTTTTGGTTAATAACAGTAATTACAAGAATTATTCCTTTTCAAATTTTATAAAATGTTTTAATTGACAAAAATGTATATATTGTGCACGACTTGATTTGAAATATATACATTATGGAATGGCTAAATTGAGCTAATTAAGACATGTAATACCTCACGTACTTCGTTTATTTTGTGTGGTGAGAACACTTAAAACATGTTTTCTTAGCAGTTTTCAAGTATACAGTATATTGTTATTAACTACAGTGACTATGTTGTACAGTAGATCTCTTGAACTTTTTCCTCCTAATGGAAATTTTGTATACTTTTACCAACACATCCCCACCCACCATCCCCCTAACCCCAGGTAACCACAATTCCACTCTCTACTTTGATGAGTTCAGTGTTTTTAGATTCCACAATAAGTGAGATCATACAGTATTTGTCTTTCTGTCCCTGGCCTATTTCACTTAACATAATGTCCTCCACTATCATTCATGTTGCCACAGTGATAGATTTCTTTCTTTTTAAAGGCAGAGTAGTATTTTGTTGTGTGTGTGTGTTTGTGTATGTATGTATCTGTGTATTACACATTTTTCTTATTCAGGGTCTATTGATAAACACTGTTGATAAACAACAAGATAGGTTGATTCCATGTCTTCGCTAATGTAAATAGTGCTGTAATAAACATGTGAGTACAGCTATCTCTTCAACATACTGATTGCATTTTCTTTGGATACATGCCCAGTGGTGGGATTGCTAGGTCATATAATAGCACTATTTTTAACTTTTTGAAGAACCCCTATACCCTTTTTCATAATAGCCGTACTAATTTATATTCACACCAACAGAATGCAAGGGTTCCCTTTGTCCACATCCTCTTTAGTACGTTATCGTTCATTTTTTTGATAGTAGCCATTGTAACAGGTGGAAGGTGATATGTCATTCTGGTTTTAATTTGCAATTCCCTGATGATTAGTAATCTTAAGCATTTTTCATATACCTGTTGGCTACTTGTATGTCTTCTTTTGAGAAATGTCTATTCAGATTATTTGCCCATTTTTAAATCGAGTTATTTGTTTTCTTTTTGTTAAGTTGCTTGAGTTTTTTTTTTGTATTTATTTTGGATATTAATCTCTTACCAGATATATAATTTCCAAATATTTCTTCTATTCCATACATTGTGTTTTTACTCTGTTGATTGTTTCCTTGGCTATGCGGAAGCTTTTTAGTTTAGTTTGATGCAATCTTGTTTGCCTATTTTTGCTTTTGTTACCTGTGCTTTGGGTTCATATCTGACAAGAACTAGCATGTCTTGAATTTTACCCTGCTAAGTTTTTTATATACGTTATTCTTAAACAGATCCTATGGGGTAGACGTTAGCATTATTACGTCAGTTTTCTGGTTGAGGAACCTGAGTTATGAATGCCATATTATTTGCTAAAGGTCACACAGTAAATATACCTTGGCTTTAAATCTCAGCCTTTCTAACTTTAAAATCCATGATATTATCTACTAAATTATAACTGCATAGACAAAGGTGGATTATTCATAAACTGAGATTCCTAGGGGTGAGAGTGGGTGTCCCTGGATGTGCTGTGGGAAGTCTGTGAAATCTGTTCCTTCCTTAGGGCCCTTGGTCTGGTCCTCTGCCTGGAAATTGCTTTACCCAGATATCTTCTTGCTTAATTCTCCTGGGTCCTTCAAGTCTTCACTTGAATTTCACCTCCTCACTGAGACCTTCTCTGACCTCTGTTTACAACTTTATCTTGCTGCCTCTGCAACGTCCCCACCTCTCCAAATTTCTGTATTCCCAGGTCTCCTTACCTTACTCATTTTTAATAGCACTAGCATACATACAATTCTTTACATTTATTGTGTATTTTCTTTCCCTGCCTATTAAAATATGAGTTTCAGAAGGGCAGAAATCTTTTCCGTTTTGTTCACTCATCTGTTTTAAGCACCTGGGATGGCACTTAGCATATCATAGGCATTCAATAATTGAATAAATAAGTGAATGATTCAGGGTGGGAATTCTCTCTGAATTCACAAATAAGATTTATTGTTTAATGAGCTTGCAGCTAGGAAAAGAGTTCATGGCTTTTAGCAGATTTTCACTTTAACAGACCGGACCCAAAGTTTACTTCAAGCGGTAGTGATTCCTGTGCTTTTAAGTTGAATGAAAAAAAAACATGGATGCTCATTTTTAGTTGTATATGATGCATAGAAATGTATAATCTAATGTAGATTAATGTAATAACTAGTATAATTATTAATAACTAATATAACTAATTACAAATTATAATTAAATACTTTTATATTTTATATTTACTTTAAATATTATAATTTATTACTTAAATAACTAGTTATAATAATTATTAATAAGTAGTACAATAACTTATATATGTTAATAACTAGTAAATGCTAGTTCAGTTTGCAGTTTTCCTTGGGATCATTTTGGAAAGATAAATTATACTTTGCATTTCATTTTTGTTTTGTTTTGAGATGTGATCTTGCTTTGTTGCCAAGGCTGGAGTGCAGTGGAATGATCATGGCTCACTGCAGCCTTGACCACCCAGGCTCAAGCAGTTCCACCTCAGCCTCTTGAGTAGCTGGAACCATGGGTGCACACCACCATGCTTGGCTGATTTTTTTTATTTGTAGAGATGAGGCCTTGCAATGTTGCCTGGGCTGGTCTCAAACTCCTGGGCTCAAGCAATCCCCCCGACCTTGGCCTCCCAAAGTGTTGGGATTACAGACATGAGTCACTACTCCTGGCCTGTTTTGCAGTTTAAAATTACAGATTGAAGATTATTAAATTTTGTTCTGAACATGTTAACATGCATATATTTTTGAATGTCACCATTTGAGAAAAGAAACCGAACTGTGGGATTTAATGCTTACATATTTGTTATAAATACACAGTACGGATTGCCATCGTAGTCTTTGTCTTCTATTTGTGCATGCAAGTGATGTGTTTTTATTAATTTCTACAAGAATTATTGTACATGTACATGTAAAATATGTAACAAAGTTGATTAGGCAGTGACCATCAAGAGAGAGGACTCCTGTCATCAGTCAATTAAATAGTTGCCCATAAAGCTGCACATTCAGTAAACTTAAAAGCAGGAACACTTGTGTGGATGCAAACATAGTGAGGCGCATTGAATTCCAGGATCATGATCTCTGAGTTATTTGTTTAACTGTTTCATCCTCTTTAAGATCATACACCCTTATCTTGGGCATCTGTCTCCTATGTATAAACTGACTGTTAAAAGTTTGAATGTTGTTGATCAGAGTGAATAATTTACTAAAACAAGTAGGAATAAAGAAATCCCTCTTCACGTATCTACAGAAATATTTGCACGTGAATAAGGATGCTAATTGTAGCAGTAAAAACAGGGTGCTAGAAACAGGCTTAAGTGTCCATTAATGGAGGAGTGACTAAATCAATGATTTTATATTTGCACTGTGGGGATACTCTGCAGCTATTAAAAAATTGATTTAGCCTGGGCAATATAGTGAGCCTTTATCTCTGCAAAAATTTTAAAAATATCAGACGAGTGTGGTGGCATGCATCTGTAGTACTAGCTACTCTGGAGGCTGAGGTGGAAGAATCACTTGAGCCCAGAAGGCAGACGCTGCAGTATGCCAAGATTGTGCCATTGCACTCCAGCCTGGCTGACAGAGCTAAGCAAGACTCTGTCTCAATCAATCAATTAATCAGTCAATACAGTTGAGGTAAAAATAAATTCCTAGGTATTGAAATATTTGCAAGTCATGTTGTTAAGTAAAAAGAACAAGTTTTACGTAATTTGTATGTTTTAATTCTTGTGAAAAATTGCACTTGAGTGTATGGATATGTCCTATGTATAAAATAATAGAGAATTGTTTTCCAAATTGTAATGATGGTTAATTCTTTCTGAAGGGAGAGTTGGAATAGAAATGTAGGGTGAAATATTGTATTTTATATACTTTACCACTAATTAAATATTTTATGAAACTACTTAATAATGGCGAAATACTGCCTAGTAACTACCTAACATTTAAAACATTTTCTAAATAGACATACATACACTCCAAACTGAAATGGATTGGTTTTCCTTGCCTTAAATAATGTTTCTTTGCACATTACTTCTTTTCTTTTCTTTTTTTTTGAGACGGAGTCTTGCTCTGTCACCTAGGCTGGAGTGCAGTGGCACAATCTCTGCTCACTGAAACCTCCGCCTGCTGGGTTCAAGCAATTCTCCTGTCTCAGCCTCCAAAGTAGCTGCGACTACAGGCACATGCCACCATGCCTGGTTAATTTTTGTATTTTTAGTAGAGGCGGGGTTTCACCATATTGGTCAGGCTGGTCTTGAACTCCTGACCTCAGGTGATCGCCTGCCTCAGCTTACCAAAGTGCTGGGATTACAGGCATGAGCCACCGCACCTGGCCTGTTTCTTTGCATTACTTCTTATCCATTCTCCCCTCAACACTGAACCTTTGCTCTTATTTATAATTTACTTGATGACAAATTTTAAGATTTTAATATTCAACAGTTATTCTGTTTTTTAAATTTAATTTTATGAACACATGTCTTTTATTAAAAATTCTAGGCTAGGTGCAGTGGTTCCTGCCTGTAATCCCAGCACTTTGGGAGGCTTAGGTAGTTGGATTGCTTGAGCCCAGGAGTTCGAGACCTGCCTGGGCTGGGCAGCATAGTGAGACCTTTTCCCTGCAGAAAATACAAAAATTAGCCTGTTATGGTGACATGTGCCTGTAGTTCCAGCTATTCAGGAGGCAGAGGCAGGAAGATTGCTTGAGCCCAAGAGGTGGAGGCTGCAGTGAGCTGTGATTATGCCACTGCACTCCAGTCTGAGTGACAGAGAAAGACCCTGTCTCCAAAAAATACAGAAATTCTAAAGCTCTCTCAGGGGACAAGGTTGGAGTTACTTGCCCTCTGAAAATGGAACACACTAGACAAATGTTTTTATGTCAACTACAGTGATTTGAAGTTAGTCACTCAATAAAGACTAGTGAGTTAAACATTTCTGAAACAGATTTAGGTAATTTTCTAAAGATTAATAATCATGAATATTGAAGTAGACCTGTAGTTTATTTGCTCATGTTTGTGAGATAAAAGATTAAGGCTTGCAGAGTAACAGTTATTTCACATTCCCATTGGAAATGTGGTAAATGTGCAAAATAAAGAATATATGCTGGGTGCGGTGACTCACACCTGTAGTCCCAGCACTTTGGGAGGCCTACGTGGGCAGATTGCTTGAGTCTAGGAGTTCAAGACTAGTCTGGGCAACATGGAGAAACCCCATCTCTAGAAAAATATAAGAATTAGCCAGGTGTGGTGGTGAGTGCCTGCACTCTCAGCTACTTAGGAGGCTGAGGTGGGAGGATCACTTGAACCCAGGAGGTCGAGTATGCATTGAGCTAAGATCAAGCCACTGCACTCCAGTCGGGCGATAGAACAAGACCACGCCTCAAACAGTAAATATCTAAAAATAAAAAATATATAATATAATCATCCATGGCACTTTACTGTCTTGAAAAGTTAAATGATAGACACTTAAAATTTACTTTTTAAATTTCGAAGTTCACTATTCTTGCTTCTAGAGTATAGAATTACACTCCTTTTTCAGAGTTAGGACAAATTATTGAAAATGAATAGCTCTGAAATAGATTTATTTTTATGAACTTAAGTTTTTATGAATATGCTTTTACTGAAAAAAGATGTTGTATATTTAATTTCTAAAATTTTATTTTAGACTTGTCTTGCTACTTTCTCCAGACTCTGAAAGAGGAACTTTATTTTTTCTGGATGGGTCATTGGTCATTTTTACTCAGTGGAAATTTTTTATAAAATCACATTGGTAATTTGGTTAAGGAAGGGTATTTCTCTTTGTACCACATTGAAAAGTACCTGTGGAATTTAGGCTCAGCCTATTTTCTCCTTTTTGTGGTGAAAAGTCAGAAAAGCTGAACAGTAGTAAATGCAGTTGGTAATTGAAAACCATTAAGATAAATGCACTCATTATTTCCTTTCAAAAATTTCCTCAAGTTCAAAATAAACCCAAACAATCGAAATTATTTTCTTTATTTTGAAAATAATTAATCCATTACCTTCAAATCACCTTTAAGAATTTCTATTGCAACTTAATCATAATGATTCAAAAATAAGAAAAAATCATTAGAGAGGAGACACAATGTTGGTGGTTCATAGGTGAAGGGGATATAATGTTGAGCATATTCTTTCAATTTTCTTGAGGTTTGAAGTTTTCCCAAATAAAAATTTTGATCATAGGAAATTCAGTGTAATCCATGTTCTTTTCTGTGGCTTTTTAAAACTGCAAAGTGAATTCATTCTTACCTGAATACTGTAATTGCCTGATGGATTCTTCCTTCCCGCTGCACAGACAAAATCAGTCCGCCGAGACCACAGCATTACAGTAGAGAAAGTTTAATTGACACAATGCTGGTTCATGCTGAAGAACTGGAGTTATAACTTAAGTCAGTCTCCCCAAAGGCTTGAAGCTTAGGGTTTTTATGTACAATTTGGTGGGCAGAGGGCTGGGGAATTGGTGCTACTGATTGGGTGGGGATGAAATCATAGGGGTGTGGGAACCATTCCTCATGCCTCTGGGTGGGACCACAGGATCTGTTGAGTTATGAGTAAGGGGTCCCCTGTTATCATCCTTGCTGTAAGGTTAAACTGTAAACTAAATTCCTCCCAAAGTTAGCTTGGCCTATGGCCAGGAATGATGAAGGACAGCTTGGAGTTTAGAAGCAAGATGAAGTCAAGTATGTCAGATTCCTATTGTTACAATTTTGCAAAGACATTTCAATCTGGCCATTACAGTTCATGTTGTGATACAATCTTTTTTAAAGGTATTTAAAGTCACAAAATTCATACATTATTTTATTTGCAGCCACCTCTATTTGTTCATAGTCTCACTTTCCATATTCTATCTCTAGCAAATGGATGTCAGTGTTAATACTGGGCAGTGTCTGGCTAGGTTTTCATTTTCATTTTACATCAGGTTGTTCTCTTAGTAATCCAGCGCATTCTGGACAACTAAACACTAGAGTCAGGGACTGAGCTAGATGCTGTAGGTGCAAAGATGCCTGAGGGAAGCCTGGCCCTGATAGGTGCTTAATGAAGATCTGAGTTTGCTCACTGTTACTGTAGAACCTCTCATCTCTGCAGGCTGCCTTCTTCTGACATAGTCTCATTTTGAGCAGGAAACTCATGTTTGTTGTTAGTGATGTTCTCTGCAAAGTCCCCCCTGCCCTCCTTATGTTGGTGTGAAGTGTCACTGAAATGAGCCACTCTCCTGGACGTCTTTTAAGAGTGCATCTAGTCTAGTTATGTCTGCTCAAAGCATAGCTGACTGTGACATGACAAGATTTGGGTTATTGTGGGGCTCTCTCTGCTCCTTCCCTACCTGTGACACCTTCCCCAGTAAACTCTATTTCCCATTTACATCTTGTGATTTTGGCACTGTGGATTTTGCACTCTGTTTACAAGCGGTGTGTCCTATTATTAAGTAGCTCTCTTTTGAGGAGGGTAGACCTACATACACGTAGACTTCGTGGATTGATAGCACAGACAGGAGATGGATTACCTAACTACTCTGAGCAGCAGTTCTCTATTCCTAGAATAGGAACAGCGTGTGTATAGTGCCTGGCAGATTCATGAAGGCTTTTAAATCTATGACCACTCAGTTAATGCCTTCTGTCCTCCTACTCATCTTTACCCTCTGAGGGTACCCTCCATGTAAAGTTGTTTTTAGTATTTAAGTATAATATCCATAAGATAAACTGCTTTCTCCAGACAGTATGTATGCACTTAATAGGTATACTTGTAAAACACCAAATAGCAATTCTATGTTCAGGACCACTTTGTTGATGGGTAGATTTGGGGGTGCAATGCCACCTATACACTGCACCCCAAGCTGTGTCCCCTCCAAGTGTCTCCTTTCCTTAATCCCACTGAGGTGCCATACCGGTGAGCAGAGGCACTATGGTGTTTAATCCCTTTCTACTGGTCTTTTATGCAATTCAGGTTCCTTTTTAGATAAGAATCGTTCTTTGCTGTTTGACTGGTTTGCTATAAATTCATTGATTGATAGCATTTCATTTGTTGGTTCAAGTAACATTTAAACATGTGATATATGAATAGGCTTTCTAGAATGTAAAACAATACATATAAAAGCAATAATCTGGCCAACTATGAGTATCATTCAGAGTGTTGATACTTTATATTATTGATTTTGCTTATTTATTGATCTTCTGCGAACTCTTTCTTTTCTTTCTAATGGTACTCAAGTACTACTTCATTCACTTGGCTGACTTCTCCCTTCCCCTGAGCCGACTGTGCATGTGTCTTCCCAACTCTGTGTTCAGTGACACTATATTGGTTGCCAGGGTGGGAGTGTTTGTGCAACAGGTATCAACAAACACTACATATACGGCTTCCCCACCTCCTGACCCTTTTTTTTTGTTTGTGGAGATTCTATTAGATGTTTATTAGCACGCTCCTGGCTCTCTGATTTCTTCATACCAGTTCTTGCACATTGGTGGTTATTCCTCCAGAAGTTGGTGGTTCTTCTTCCTGATCATGGCTTTAACAGTCTGTTCCTTGCATTGATTTTTGTCTTTCACCTGTAAGATCAAACTTCTGGTTACTGCAGATGAATCTGCATGTCTGCATCTGCTTGTCTGGTCTGCCCACCCCCATTCCTCTCTCCATGAGTCCCTGGAAGAGTTATGGTATAGAGGCACTTGGGAGGTCTTTTCAGTTTCCTTTTCCCAGTACTTACTTAGTGACGTTGCTTTTTAATTTTTTTTATTTGTTTTCTAAATATATAATACTTATACATGTGATATTTTGTTATATCCATAGAACATATAATGATCAGAGTACTGGGCATGTCTATCACCTTGGGTATGTTTCGAGTCCTCTCTGCTTTCTATTTTGAAATATATAATAGATTGTTTATTTTTTTCTTTTAATTTTTTTTTTTATAGAGACTGGGTCTCGCTGTGTTGCCCAGGCTGGTCTTGAACTCCTGGGCTCAAGTGATTGGCCCATCTTGGCCTCCCAAAATGCTGGGATTACAGGTGTGAGCCCACGCCCAGCCAGATTGTTGTTAACTGTGGTCAGTAGATTCAGCTTTTATAGAAACCTTAGGGTTTTGACCCGAGGATGTGATTTAAAACTGATCCTTTCCAACTTCTCAGTCCTATCCAAGTTGCAAGGCCGACTGAGTGTTCCTTTAGGATGTTTTATGGCTAGCAATGTCATGGGTTTTTAAGTGCCTTGAGAAAACAGCTGAGCCATAGCAGTGCTCTTCTTAGGCATGTGGGTACAGTAGACATGCTTCTATTTTTTAAATATGATTTGTACTTTGTACCTTGATGATATTTGTTTCTCCCCCCTCCCTTTTTTTTTTTAAGAGCGAGGGTCTTGCTCTGTCACCCAGGCTGGAGTCGCTCTGTCACCCAAGCTGGAGTGCAGCGGCATGAATATAGCTCACTGCAGTGTTGACCTCTGGGGCTCAAGTGATCCTCCCACCTCAGCCTCCTGAGTCGCTGAGACTATAGGCACGTGTTACCACTCCCAGCCAGTTTTTGTGTGTGTGTTTCTTTGTTGTAAAGACAAGGTCTCACTGTGTTGCCCGGGCTAGATGGGATTTCTTTTACTGTCAGAAGAAATGAGATCGTTAACTATTAATCTCTTTGACCTTGTCAATTATTTAACTCAACTACTTTGACATTTGCAATGTTATTACTAGTGTCACAAGTTTTCTCATGGTTTAATGATTCTTTTAGGGTAGAATTTTACTAATATCTGACTTGCTACTCTAAAGAACGTTTATAGTCATCAACTTGTTCCCCCTTTCCCTTGCAATTCCAATTTTTTAAAAAATCCTCATATATAGGGGTGATTTTCAGAATGATAGAGAACAGAGCCAAAATGATTTGGCCACGTAAGGAGTGGGTTTCCTACTTAATGTCCAAGGGACAGACCTAAGCCTGCGAAACTCAGCGTGGTGATAGAGACCTGTGAGGCAGGTAACTCGGGACCCTTAGAGATAAAGAAGAATCTGGATAAAAGGGCTATGAGACTTATTTTAGAAATTGCCTAATGACAGATTCAGGGTTTTGAATAGGAAATAGTATCTGGTAGTCAAAAGGTTTCTCAAATAAGTGGAAAAAAAAAAAAAAAGGTAGAGCTGGCCCTTGAAATGCTAATCTGAATAACAAAAGACCGAGCTGACTTTCCAGGAAAAGTGTGAAAGGCTTCTGAACCCACTTTCCTTGTCTTTGTCTTTGTGTGACTGTACTGCCCATTGTTCCTACACACAATTAAACACATCCATGCTCTGGAGTCAGGTATTAATGCATAGGTGTTATGGTTTTTAAAAATATACCTACCGTCCTATTTTTTAAAATTGACTTTAGTTTCTTATCAGTTACAAAGTCTTATATATATGTGTGTGTGTGTGTGTGTGTGTGTGTGTGTGTGTGTATATATATCTGAAGTACTGCCTAATGTTTTTTCAAGAGAGAAAATTTCTGTTAGTAGTAACCCACTTCACCCTAGTCTATTATTTGGAGAACAAATAAGCAGTCATCTTGATCCTGTTTTATCTTAACATTTTAAGAGTAAACGTTTCAAGAGTAAAACAGTTCTGATCCCCCAGTGTGACCTCAACAAATATTTCAAATCTTTTATTTTTGTAAATGAAAGTAATGTCTTCTGTATTTTCTATTTCTTATTTGGCCTATGTATCATTTGTTTAATCATTTTTCTAAAAATTGTAATGTCTCTTTCTCTGAAGGCATCTCTTTCTGGTAAATATTGATATGAAAATGTTTCATATAAAAGGAGCTGAAGTTCTTTTAGTCCATTTGCAAATCATGAATCCCGGATTTAATTATATCGCAAGGGAAGAACCTGAGGAAATCAAAAGTACTAACATAATTGGGCCAAACTGTGTAATCAAAAGCAAATGATATGGTTATTAAATCTAATGAAACGATTTCCCAGCATTTAATTCATTTCTCGGATTCAAGATATTTTAGTAATAAATACATCTGTTGAAATGGACATTCTGTGTTGTCACCACTTTTAAACAGTTCTTTTCTCAAGACCATTTCTGGTAAGAAATATTTCTAAAGGTTACACCTTAATGCAGATAGTGGATGTCTGCTAGGGCTGGGAGAAAAGGAAGGTGGAATGGGAGGTAAAGTGTGGGTCCTTATTAAAGCGGAAGGAGAGGAATGAAGAGAGTACATCGCTTTTTAAAAAATGTTATTCTCTTGTATCAGCATCTTCATTTTACATAAAATGAAAACATGCCATTGCTTGGTAAAATATATATGATATCTACGGGATTAATGGCTAGTTTGGCTGGGGCTGGGGTTCATGCCTGTATTCCTAGCACTTTGAGAGGCCAAGGTGGGAAGATCGCTTGAGGCCAGGAGTTAGAGACCAAAATGGGCAGCATACTGAGACCCAGTCTGTACAAATATTTAAAAAATTGGCCAGGTGCGATGATGCACACCTTTAGTCCTAGCCACTCAGGAGGCTGAGGCAGGAGGATTGCTTGAGCCCAGGAGTTTGAGGCTGCAGTAAGCTGTGATTATACCACTGTACTCCAGCCTAGGTGACAGAATGAAACCCTGTCTCTTAAAAAAGGAGGAAATACACACACACACACACACACACACACACACACACACACACACACGACTAGCTTATAAAGATTTTGTTAAAATACATAGAAAAAAAACTCCTGATAAACTTGCAAAGAGTATATGTAATCATTCCACAAATATGATTGTATTAGGGTTTTTCAGAGAAACAGAACTGGTAGAATGGAGATTCTGTCTATCTATCTATCTATCTATCTATCTATCTATCTATCTATCTATCTAGATATGTATGTCTTTAGATATATACACACATATAACATTTACTATAAGGAATTGGCTCATGTGATTATGAAGTCTGAAAAGTCCCAAGATCTGCAGTCACCAAGCAGGACCCCCAGGAGAACCAATGGTGTAAGGATCAGCCCAAATGCCTGCAGCTCTAGTCCCCCAGAAGATCTGATACTTCAGTCCAAAGGCAAGAAAAGACCAGTATCTCAGCTCAGCAGTCAGACAGGACTCCTCTTCCTCAGCCTTTTTGTTCTATTCAGGTCTCCAAATGATTGGATGATGCTCACCCACATTAGGGAGGACACTGGGCTTTTCTCAATTTCCTGATTTAAATGTTAATCTCTTTCAAAAACACCCTGGCAGACACACCCAGAATAATGTTGGGCCAAATGTCTGGATGTCATGGGACCCCGTCAAGTTGACATATATACTTCACTTTCACTATGATATCTTTAATCTCACTTGCAATTTTAAATTCCAGCTAGAATGGCAGCAAGACTTTTTGCTGATAGATTAAGGGGAATAAGGGGTATGTGTGTCTTTTTGTCTGTCTCCCTATCTCCCTCCTCCCCCATCTCTGTCTGTTAGAGCAGCTGTCTAAGAACTGAGAAGGATCTAAGATTTTATCCTACTTGCAAGCTAACAAGTTAGCCTGCCTCAGTTTCATGGTTGCTGACAGAAGACCTGAGGCTCCTAGGTCAGAGATGAGAAATTGTATTACTCTTAGCACAACATGCAACATAAGCATCAGCATATTTGGTTCAGTTCTCCTTACTCCCTAGACCTATGGAAGTGATGCCCTTGGGCCCAGATGGATGCCTGCATGCTCTATGGGTAATGTTACAGGACAGGACTCTGAGCTGATGAATCTTTTATAATGGCAGTAAGCAAGACTCACTCCCCTTGGCCCTGGAGGGAGACACTGTCTCTGTCTCCCACAGCTTATCTCTGTAGAGGTATCTTTGAAAAGCAAGTCCAGAACAGAAGCAATCAGTGCCTCTGTTTATAAGACATGCAGATTTGCAAGAGACAAATGGAGAATTGTGTCCCAACACAGAAAATAAAAGTTGTGAAATGAACAGTTTAATAAGAGGCTGGTAATGATATCAATTGGCTCGGTCATTTTAGAAAGTAGTTTGATACTGGCTACCTTAAAATGATCATGCCATTTGAAACATTATGTTATAGACTTCCTCCAAAGAAGTGAATCCTAAATATTGAAATGTTTTTATTTAGAAATCTGTCAGTTACTGGAGTTGAAGTGTTCTTTGATGAGTGAATTGTGAAATGATGATATGTTTACCCGATAGAATATTGAATCATTAAAAATTGTTTCTTTAATGATTGCAATAAAATGATACATTAAATATTTATATTTTATTATTACTATGTAAGAAAAGAAAAACCTATATGATCTAAAAAAAAAACTGAAAGTAAACACCAAAGGTAAGAGGAAAAGACAGAAATCATCTCACATCAGTACAACAGTGTCCTGGAGAGCCTGGTGTTCTTTAATCACTCTAACTGAACTTTTGTGCCATAGAAGATGAAGGACACTTATTTTTTAAAACAAATATGTTACCAAATTCCCATTTTCTTTTTAAAATTTATCTAGAGGGTGGTGTTGAGCACCTAGTTAGCCCTTAATAGTTACAAGACAGTTTTCTGAGTACTTCAATTAGCTCATTTGATTTTTGTGGAAACTCTGAGATAGATACTATTATTTCCCACAGTTTATAAATGAGTAAACTGAGGCACAGAGAAGTTAAGTAACTTGTCAAAATGATTCTGCATGCAAAATCCGTGTTTTTTATTACTGTGCTCAGCTGCCATATCAAATATAACATGTTTAATACTTTAAATTATTGTATTTGTTTAATATCTTAATTTTTGTTTCACATTTGTATCATATACTGGGAATTAAGGACAATGCAACAAATACATAGCTAATGAGTTTTATTTTCAAAAGAAAAATAAGTGTTACTCTGGTAAGCAAGCCACTTCTGAAAAGAGATTGATTAGTCTGAATAAAATCGTGTCAACTAGAGGGTGGCCACTTGGTCACTAGTGTGTGGTGGGAGAACCCTAAGCAGTGCAGACGCCCTTCGTGCAAAACAAGCGGTGCCAGTGTTCCTGGCATGGTGGTATCTGCTTGAGTGGTCATCTGGGATAAATATGTATAGGAATGCGGCAGATGATGGCAGGTAAGGTGCTGGGACTAGTTATTAGATTCAGTGATTTTTAGTAAGCATCAATATGTAAATCTTCCTGTGTGAATCATTGATGACAGGCAAAATGGAAGAAGAATGTGAAGACAAATTGCAGTGTACTTTTGGATGCTGGACTAAATATCTTCCAAGAAGATTCCTCCATGCTCTGGAATCCTAATAATCAATGAGAAGACTTACATATTGGAACTGAATTTTAAGATTCCATTATGCATGGAACTGGTGCAGAGATACATACTTTTTGTTGTTCTCTGTGGTTAGATAGCTTTCATAAATCAGCACCATCTGTTCTTTTGCCTTTGGTTGTATGGAGTCATGTTGTATATGTATCAAGACGGGAGGCATTTCATTTCTCTGGGAAATGGAAATTTCATGGACTGTGTTAAATACTACATTTGATCAGTACTAGCTTGAGATAAGAATAGTAGGAATCTGGTTGAGGGGATGGCGCTTATATACAGTGATTACATCACAGGCGCTGAATAATTCTTCATAGAATCCTAAATAATTTGATGTTGAGCTTTGTTCAGTAGAGCATAGTTTATATTATAAGGAACTGGACTTTGTCTAAAACTGTAACAGCTGTTAATTTCCCTCTACAAGGGAATATTTTTAATTTTAAAATATCTTATTTTTGCTATATATTATTATATTATTATATCTTATCTAATATTGTCTTTTCTAAAAAGTATTTGCATTTTTTTCATGAATGTTTTTATTCTGGCAGAATATAATGATCATGAATTAAAATTGTATTACACATTTCCTGATTTTATTTCTTTGGAAGGTTGCTATAGATTTATCATTTTGTATTGTGAAGCCCCTCTCTCCTACAGATGTTTTCAATTGTTTTCCATATATGATGGGAAATTACTTTTTCCTGGTGTTTCGGCCAGTTAATCAAGTAGTTGGGACATTAACACGAATGCCTTCTGCAATCCTATTTGTGATACCTAGGAGACTTGGAAACAGATTCCCTTTGGAATTATTTTTCATCAAATGTAATCCAAAGAAAAAGTGCTTTAATTCACTCTGTCAACATCCTAATAAATATTTTCTCTAGGATACCATAGCTCACTAATAGTTAACATGTCTCTCATTAAGTTAGGAAAATCTTGGAGGGATTCTAAAAAGTATGAAAAAGAACATTTAGTTGAGTGTTTTTTTAGCAATATATTTGAACTCATTAAAATATTTTATTTACTGTTATGAATAATTTTTTTTAAAAACACTTGACAGAAAATATTGTAAATTGTACCATGAGAATTTTCATTTTTTTTTTGTGCTTTCTAAACACAAAAATCAAAGATAGATATTTTGGAAATTTAAGTAGAGAAGTATAACTTTAAGTTTTTATAAAACATTTTAAAAATTATAAATATAGGCTTTTCTTTCAAGTGATAAATATCCAAAATATTTACTTCTTGGACCTCAGAATTTGAATGTAGATATACAGATGACTGGTTTCTAGATTAAGTTTTATAGTGTTCCTCTGAATTAGACAGTATGGTTTATATTTCTTGTTTTGTAAACATTTGTGTTCCTGTTTTCTGTGGTGAGAGATGGAGGCAGGATTCTAGTCTCAAGTGTTCTAGTTACAAGTCCTGTACTTTTTTTGTGGTAGGATCACTTAAGTTTTTGGATTTTTTTTTTCTTTTTTTTTTAGGCATAAGGACTCACTCTGTTGCCCAGGCTGGAATGCAGTGGTATGAACATAACTCACTGCAGCCTTGAACTCCCTGGGCTCAAGTGATCCCCCTGTCTCAGTCTCCCAAGTAGCTGAGACTACAGGCGCACGCCACCATGCCTGGCTCTTTTCCAATTTCTGCATGAGAAGTTAAACTTTAGTTATGTTTTGGCCCCCCTTTTCTGGAATCCTAATAAAGGTAGTATGTCGACTGCCTTTTTAGGCAAAAGTAACCACTGATTGGTAAATCGTATTGAGACTTGAAAAACTATAAATATCTGAGGAGCAGCAGCTTACGACTATGGCATTGTTCCAAGAGACACTGGCTTCTCTGGGGCATGAGGCTTTTCAGCCATGGTAGCTCTTGCAACTTCCTGATGTGAGTCAACACGCCTGCGCTGTCTGCTAGAGACCCCAAGAGAATGGCTCCTGCACAGCTGTGAGGACTGCTGGGTGCACACTCCTCTGGAAAACAAGGCATGATACAGCCTTGCTGGCAAGTGGGGTCTCCTGCCTTACACCCTGCACTGTCAATCCAATGCCAGGCAGTCTGTGGGGGCCTTGACAGTCTGCATGTTAGTTAGACCGGAGAAGCCCCTCCACCCCCTTGGCAGGCATTTCAGAATAAAAATAAAGACATAATGCTAAAAGACTTATCATAAAAATGAACAGCCTCTCTGTGCCACTGTTCCCGTCTTTCTCCCTAAATGTCTGCTCTGATATTTACTTCCATGTTTCTAAATAATATATTTATGTTGCTCTTTCCTGATTACCAGTTACTGACATCTGTTGACTTGCCATATGGAAGATAAGAGTTGTTCCTTTTATACTGCTTCTGGTTTCTTGTTCCCATCCTTTCAATGCTGTTACATCCAAAGTCTAATTTCAGTCAATAGCCAGTGTCACAGCACATGGCAATGTGACAATTGCTCACTGCATAACCAAATGGATACTCTGAATATATTTCCTCTTCTACAGATTTTTTTTCTCCTGGGGCAATTTTTTTTTTTTCATGTTGCTTTGTTTTCTCTGTATATATTTTTGATTTTCCCCTTGCATTCTGTGTCAGGTCTGTCAAGATGCCTTTTATTTTTCAAATATTCAAAAGTATCAGACCTGAGCCCAGGGAGGAGGTGCAAACTTGTAGTTGCAGCTATTTGGGAGGCCTAGGCTGGAGTATTGTTTGAGCCTAGGAGTCTGAGGTCAGAACTGGGCAACATAGCAAGACCCCGTGTCAAAAAAAGAGAAAAACTAAAGGGGAATGAAAGAACTTTTAGAACGATATCAGACCAATTATTAGTTTCTTTTTTTCTCATGGAGATGTACTTACTAGACCTCTCCATCCTCCTGCTCTTATCTGAACTGGTTTCTGCTTCCTTAAACTGCCATTTCTCCCGTGTTCTAGGACTTCCCTTGGGTTCTGACTGATTTCTTACTGTGTTTTCTGGATTTTGCTGGAGCACTTCCAAAAAGAGCTTTATATAAGAAAGTGTTCATGTGAAGGAGATAAAGATCTCTTTGCAAGTCTCAAAATTTCTTTTATCTTTCATGCTTGATCTTTTTGAGCATGTAGTTTTACACTGAATTGTTTTTTCAGTGTAGAAGATATGACTTTTAGTAGAATTTAATATCGCTATTCAGAAGGCATTGTTATCATAGATCATTTGTTAATAATATTCCTAGTTTTAGTCTGCTAGCAATCATCCACATCATTTGTCAATCCTTTGATTAAACTCTGCAGTTTGGAGATAACTCCTCATTGTTCTCTTGGCATTTTGTACAGATGACTCATCTAAGAGGAGGAGGTTGTATATGTATATATACACACACAGAACAGAAGTCTTCATTGTGGACAATCTTTTCAAGGATGTTTGTAGAGCAAGATAGGTATAAGATCTCCTCTGACAGCAGCAAGCAAAGATACTCCCTGTCTGTCTAAAAGATTCAGGTTCCCTAAGCCTAGGGTTCTTCTGTGTGTGCCAGTGTCCCTGGATCCTCTTCACATCACCTTGTGAGAATCTTAGCTGAGGAACCACTACATAAAAGGAAGATACTCTGGCTAGCGGTGTGGCTATGAGTTGTGAATAGTTCTTTGTCTGTGACCCAGGAATCTTCTGCCTTCTGCCAGCATTGATGAAGGTGTAGCTTTCAGGTATTGTAAAAATCCTAGACCCCTCCTACTTTTTTTACATCTACTTTCTCTCTGAAAATGTCTTCAACCACCACCCCACAAAGTTTTCTTCTTCTTGCCATGTACTTGATTGTATATAGCATTTATTTATCTTTTTTTTGGTTTCTTTACTCATCCTAAAGACATTCTACATTGAAAATATTTTGTATATAGCAAAGCACAGTAAATATCAGGTGTCAGCAAGTTTCTAAATTATAAATAATATGTTTTTTATTTGATCGAGTGGGTAATATGTTTCATATTAAATTGTTTTGCAAGGCACAGTGTATGAATAGATGAATACATGTATATACTCTTAAAATGTCGTATATTTGTACATAATTGCCCTAAAAGATTTATCGAGGTTTGTTTTCTGTATTATGTGTTATCTATTTCTGTCTTCAATAATGTTTATAAAATAACCATTTGTTGGGTAAGTACTATGTGTCAGGCACCATGTAATGCTTGTGATATGGAGGATTTTCGTACTGATTCTTTCAGTACTAAGAGGAAGAGTTTTTAAAGTGTGTGTGTGTGTGTGTGTGTGTGTGTGTGTGTGTGTTTGTGTTTGTGATGGGGTCTCACTCTGTCACCCAGGCTGGAGTGCAGTGGCATGCATGGTCATAGCTTACTGCAGCCTTGAACTCCTGGGCTCAAGCTTCTTGCTTCAGCCTTCCCAGTAGTTGGGACTACAGGCACGCACTATCTCACCTGGTTTTTTGTAGAGACTGAGTCTTGCTACGTTGCCCAGGCTGGTCTTGAACTCCTGGTGTTAAGCCATTCTCTGCCTCAGCCTTCTAAAGTGCTGTGGTTACAGGTGTGAGCCACTAAGCCCAGCCAAGGAAGATGTTTTTATTGTTCACGTTTTATAGAAGAAGGGATAGAAACATGGAAAGGTACATAACTTGCATAAGGTTATAAAATTGGCAAATGATAGAATTGCTATTCACGCCCAGGTCTGTTTAAATCTTGAACCCAAGCTCTTAATGTCTGTACTCTGCTATGAAATGGAGAGTAGGGAAAGGAAAAAGAAAAAAAAAACAAATGGCTGTATTGTCTCATATCTGAAAGTTCTTTGGCACAGTTTAGTTTAAATTGATACTATATAGTTCTATTTTTTTCTTACTTTAAGAAAAAAATAGAGGCGGGATCTCACCATGTTGCCCACACTGGTCTTGAAATCCTGGGTTCAAGTGGTCCTCCCACCTCAGCCTCTGAAAATGCTGGGATTACAGGCGTAAGCCACCTCACCCGGCCAGTACTGTATAGTTCTTAAATATTGATTTGACATACATAATAACAGCTTTGTTTACTGTAGTTATAATGGAATTCAGTGTATAGTTCTTGCTAAAAGTAACTACATTCAGTCACAGCTTGAAAGAAAAAGTACCAGACAACAGAATAAAACCATACAGGAGCTGATAATTTACACATCCAAATATTGGGAAAATCTAAGTTGAGGTTCCACAGCAACTGCAGCTCAGCCTCAGGGCAGTGAATGTTGCCATCCAAACTGGACACTGTATGTAGCTTCATGAAATAATATTCTCCATGCTCTTTGGTGCCTGATAATGGCCACTGTGGGAACAATGTGTGAATTATCAGTGACTGTTTTATCACTGTAGTTTGGGGCATTTCATTTATGTGGCTGTTTCACAGTGCAACATAGGTGTTTCAAGTGGTGATACATCTTGGTGGCATTTCAGTAGTCCTTAAATTATTAATGAATCCTGAAAAAAAGATCTGTAATGTGTAAGATTATTTTTGTGTCCTACATCTGGTTTATAAACAAATCACATTTGCTCTCCTTCCTGCACCCACTCCCATTGGAAAAGCATGATTTTGGGAGTTCGTGTTTACATTCCAAGTGCAGTTCTCAGGCACGTTCAAGATGTTGGTTAACCTTTGAAATGTATTATGTGCTGGTGCTTAAAGGAGATAGATGACTAAGAAGTACATATTAGAGCCTCTCAAGACACAGCATCATCAATCAAATAGCCTGGCTTCATGCAGAGCTCCACCATCCACAAAGCACAGAGCACAGCTACGACTCACAGAAAAGTTTGGTGCCCTTAGTTTCTACTTCTCATAGATTCGCAAAGGAAATGTCAGTTGGGCCTTACTGCCTGCTTTGCCGTCTCTTACTATCTCTTCAATGATTTAATATATTGTTTGACATTGTATCTTGAACCTATAACTCTTGCTTATCTGTTGTTCCTATTGATGGCATACACGTTTCTACTGTGAGTCTCTGGAATAACATGATTGAAAATATAAAATTTTTCTCCAGTGTTGGACTTCCTGTCCTAATATAGATGGCTTGGTAAATTCCCAATGTGTGCACCTATGAATTATGTTGAAAAAAGTTCACAATAAAATCACCATTGTCAAATTTATGTAATAGAAAAGATCAACCTAACAAATTATATGTATACATAAATTATACATATAAACCTCTAAGAAACAGATTAAATACATTTTACTTAGTTGCATTTGGGGAACATATTACCACAGAGATTCCTAGGCATGATTTTACTTTAATTAGCAAAACATTTACAGAGCTTCTAGTAGGTGCCAAAGACTATGCCTCCATCATTGTGTTTGGAGAATCTGAGGATCTCTTAACTGTTCTAATCTGGCTAATAAGTCCATTGATCTCAGTCAGGTATCTTTATCGTTATTCAAATGATTTTGAAAAGCCAACTTTTAACTATTAATAATAGTGAACTCTTTAATGAAAAGACAGTGGCCGAGATTATAAATGAAGGTAGATTCTTGGGTGGCTTTTCATTTATTTTTGTGAACTACCACGTTTATTCCACATGCACCTTTTTGAATACTGATTATCCCATTTGAACACCTATCTAATCATTGGTTTGTAAGCTGAGAATAGTATAACTTCACTAAACTGACATGTGTAAACACCAGCAAACTTATTGAATTTCTGCAACACATTGGAGCAATTTGTACAAAATATTGCCTTTGTCAAAGGAAGCATAGGAGGATGGGGGCTGAGTACTTTGTTACTTTAGCTTGTCCTTTTGTTTGGTCCTTCATGCACAGAAGTAAACAAAAGTGGTCCATTATGGCTAAGACCTTAATACCTTTACAGATACCTCTAAATAATCAGTCGATTGGCTTAGGGTAACTTTATGTGAAATTTTACGGGATGAAGCCTGTAAAATCTGGAACTATACCACTGCCTGTTCCTTTTGACAAGCTGTGTTAGCAGGAATCAAGAACTGAGAAACATGACTTTGAAGCTTTTGGTAATGGTTATGGTTTATAATCGTTGTAACTGTTTTGAGTAGGAAGCTGTTTTCAGACATGCATTTCCAATGTCATGTATATTTGTTTATCAATACATTGTAACAATGGAGTAATATGTAATTACTTCCTAAAATATACATGAAAAGAAATGAAAAATGACCAGATAAGAAAATTAGCATAAAGATAAGTTTTTTCTTTGTTTTTTTGTTTTCTTTCCTTATCACAGTAGTATATCTTATTCACCTTCTGGGATACACTATCTCATGAGACTCTTGTTTTCAATTTTAGCTTTTTACAACACACACTGATCCTGTCATTAAAGGTCATCCTTCTTAGAGGAAACAGTTACCAAGATCATAATGCCTATTAGACTTCCATTTTATCCAGTTTCCTTTCACATTGTAGCAAGAAACCTAACACAGAGTGTACTTTTCTTTGTGTTGGCTGCCTCTAGGATGAGGATGGGACAGAAGAGGATAACAGTCGTGTTGAACCTGTTGGACATGCTGACACGGGTTTGGAGCATATACCCAACTTTTCTCTGGAGTAAGTTACTGATGGTTTCAACTAAGTTTGCAGTATACATGTAGCATCATTAATTGCAGCAAGTATTCTGAAAGCATATGGCATGAGGAATGTTTGTGCTTAGTTAAAAACATGCCGTGCATTGATTTGTTTTTCTAAAGAACATCTTTCATCTCTTGAGTTAATTATGTAATGTAAGCAGTATAGCATGGAAGTTCATGTGTACCAGTCCTGAGTTTCATGCCCTGGCAAATACTATTGAATTATAATATAAAATAGTATTTGATTGAAGATTTTTGTCATGTTAACAACACTGTAAACACCGTAACTCTTTTCAGATTGCTTTGTGTGTCAATATTTTGATCATGTGTTTGTTCTTCACTTTGCTAAATTAAAAAAATTTGCAGACATACTTGAAAAACTAGTTAGATCATGTTAGCATTAATTATTATAGTGCATGTAAATATATGTATTTATTGTTGTTTGAAGAAATAGAATCTTTCAAGATATTTAATGAAAAAGGGAGGTCCTAGGTTAGGGACCTTGAAAATGATTTTAAGTGTAAAAGGACAAAGAAAAATTTCCTGTTTGTTCCACAGTGTTCTGATTATTTTAAATATTGACATGTGTAAATGGTAGGCATTCTCAGGACTTCTTTCCTTGGTAGCTTAGAGCAGGGAGGGCAGTCATTCTGGATTTTTTTCTTTGACTTTGGGCAAAAGTTGGGGATATAGACATTGACATTTATGTACTTAATTCTGTCTTTTCTTGGTCTTCCAAGAGAAGTGAGATTAAGCAGGCACTAGAGTCAGATGCTGTTTGAATGTATGGCAGCCAGCACGCTGAGTATTTACATTTAGTAAAGTACTTGCCATGCCATAGTTCTGTTTAGACTGTGGGATAAAATCAGTTTATTGAAGTTATGCTATTCTTAGCTTACAAACCAATGATTAGATAGGTGTTCAAATGGGATAATCAGTATCCAAAATAGAATTTTATGAAATTTGGTAAAAAAAAAAAAGTAATAAAAAATCCATTTAACCATTTGGCAGTATGGCAGAATTTTTATGTTGTCTTAATTAGTGCATGTGATTAAATCTGTGCACATATTTTCAATTTTGATTTGCTTGATATTCCTGTCTTTATGCAGGACATTCATAGTACATAGGATAACTTCAGGTTTTTATATTAGAAACATAATTGAAAAATTGGCATTTTCCATCACATAAAATTATATTGTGATCTTTGTGAAATTCATTGGTAATAATTGATTGTTTTCCAGCTGGCTTAAAATAGATGTTTAATTGAAGTACTGTTTCCAAATATTGGTTGTTAGGTAAATACTGCTTAGACCTCTGATGTTATATGTATATATGAAAAAATCTACAAAGAAAGAAAAATCTCATTTAAATAGTTTAGAAAATTACATTGTCTATACAAATTTTCATTAAACTCAGGCTTTATTTTATTAATAGTAAAGATTCATAGACTTGACAAATCCATACATTATGTAACGTTATGTTCCTTATGCAGAATAGTTTTGTAATAGAAGTAACTTCATGTTATGTCATATAATATAAATAGCTTCATAGCTGTAGTCCCAGCTACTCAGAATACTGGGGCGAAAAGATTGCTTGAGCACAAGAGTTCTAGGCCAGCCTGAGCAACACAGCAAGACTCCCTTTCTAAAAAGAAAATTAATTTCGAGCAATTTTATGAAAATTATTTGATTTGCAGTAGATGCCTGTTGGCTTTGAGAAAGGAGTTTTGTAAGCTGCACTTGTAGCACTCTTATAGCGGTTTAGGAAATAGTGACTTTGAATTGTCATGAAGTAGTGAGCAGTAAGGACAATGGTGATCTCCCTTGGACTGTCACTTACAGGAGTGAAAACTTTGGTCTCATTGGATTATTGGAAGGATTAATGATGTGACATATAAAAGAGCACTTTGTAAATTAGAAAGTGTTCTGTAGCTGCAACATCTTTATTCAGTTAATCTTTAGAGTCCTTGGTAGCTGCAACATCTTTGTTCAGTTAATCTTTAGAGTCCTTGACGTGAGTGTTGGGATGGAAGAGTTTCAGTGTAAGTCTAAAGATTTTACTTGAAAGACATAAACTTGTATTACACAGAAGAATAGGGTCGGTCCAAGAGAAATGTTCTGTGTCATTTTAATGTAGTTATCTCTGATGATTGCTCTCCCTCCATGCCATCAGACTAGTGTTCAGGTATGTAGTGTTTAATGTTGCCTTCATCACCATGCTTATATTCCAGAATATGTATATATATGCCTATGCACTTGGTGGGATTTTTGTTCTGTTCTCTTTTGTTGTTTATTGTGTGTCTGTGTTGTTGCAGTTTTTTGTTTTGTTTTGTTTTGGTTTTGGTTTGTTTACAGTACACGTTCATGCTCCCTCATTCATCATTGTCTCACAGTGATATGGTAAAGCTCGTAGAAGTCCCCAACGATGGAGGGCCTCTGGGAATCCACGTAGTGCCTTTCAGTGCTCGAGGCGGCAGGTAACGTATCTTGGAGGTTTTTAATTGAATCATAATGTAGAGTGTTTTATCTTCATTTATGCTCAGATAGAGAGTGGTGTTGACTTAGCATATGCTTAATAGGAAACATTCTCATTTGGAGGCAACTGCTCCTTCATTCCTATATATATGTCATAATCACAGAAAGCACTTAGCCTGATGAAGAGAGGTTTTGCAGGAACGTGAAGAAACTGCATTTGAATTATCCTAATAAATTTATTGTTCATCACACTCAAGCAAACATTTTACTTTGCTGTAAATTGATGATGGACTTTCAAGTCAGAACTCCAGATGAATTTGCAACGTTAAGGAGAGCTTAAAAGCACTTTTTTTGGGAAAGCTTAATGCAATAAAAATTATCTAGATGACTTAAATTTGATTTAAGCTTTAAATTTGTGTTTAGTTCTTCAATTTTATGAGTTTTTTTATTGTTAAAAACCTTTAATATGAAATTTTAAAAAATTAGGCAAGCCATAGATTTCTGAACCTTGAGTCTAAAAATCATGTACTGTTTGTTAATCTCAACTTCATTACTTTACAGAACATGCATCCTTAAAAACTTCAAATGTTATGTCAGTTTCCTTGATTCTGTTCCTTTTTATGTGTGAAAGGACTGTTGTGATATTTTTGGTTTTAATGTATTCAAATAGTATGAATTGATTTTCCAACAAAGGCTTGGCAGACCTCTGTCACAGACAAGTGAGGTGCACCGCATCCTTTCCCATGAGTCTGAACTTGTGCATGTTTAACTTGTTTAATTTAATTGCATCTTCTCTTACTTGCTCTCTAATGACCTATTTTGGCTTTTTAATTTTTAACTTATTTCTTTTATTGCTATCACCTTATTTTTTTTCTTTTTATTTTAACTTTCTTTACATGGTGCGAAAAAGTGGGGAAGTTGGAGGGTAGACTTATAGCAGTGACTGAGACCGTAGAACATAGTTTAAACTGTTGTCAAGTAATTACAGGCATCTAGGGTGTTGTAGAAGATAGATGTGTGGGATTAAACTATGCATTTTATTTTTTTAAATGAGTATTTGAACAATGGTAGTACTTTCTTGTTACTTGTAAGTAACTGTGGTGAGTTCAGATTTCATCTCTCATGGTTCATGCAATGTTCTAAAGCTGAAACTTGACTTAGAACTCTGCTGGAGTATGAATGAGGCTTGAATGGTAGTGTTACATAACAAGGTATAACATTCACCTTGAATTTTCAAGTGGTGTTATATTCATAGAGTTGTGGCTGCTTTTACTTTTTAATTCTCTTTAAAATTCTTTTTTTAACTTTAGAGAAGCATTAAAATTTCTTCAAATAACTTATAGTTAAACAATATTATTTTCAACATGGCCTTGCCTTTATTTCGTGTAAGAAATTGAGTTCTAAATTACCTCAAAAGTTAAATTTTGTTTTCATTTCTTTCCGGAGTAGGAAAAAAAAGATAAGGTAAAATGCATGGATTATAGCTTCCCGATATGCATATGTCTTAAAATGCCTGTGAAACATAACTCATCACAAATGAGATTTAATTGTGTCTGTACCAGCTTTGAGCCAGCATTTCAATTACATGTTACTATATTTTCTGTCGTTTATTGTGTATTTTCTACCTCACTGTGAAAGGATATTAGGGTAAAGTGAACAGATGAAAAGCCTAAAGCAAATGGAGAGTAAGATGGAAAAATAAACTTACTATCTAGATTAAGTCAAAGGAAGGCATTTCACAAAATCCACCACAGTTTCTGGTTACCATGGCATTTAGTTTTGATACACCAAACAGATTCAAGAAAACAAGTATGTCTTTGCAGAACTAGAAGTTCTTTTATAGCTGAGTCATTTTTAAGCCCTATTAGTTTGGCACTTAATGAAGAAAGTCGTGCACAGAGATTTTCAAAGAGACAAAGAGATTTAAGAAAAACAGATTCTTTATAACCTCTTCTTAGGCATCACCAATTTTCATATGGAAGCAGAACAGAAATAGTTTGTGATTCCCCAATACCTGTGTTGCATGGTTAAGCTTCTTTGTGGAATTGATAGTCATGGTTCCTCACAGATGGTTAACAATGGGAGAGAAAAAGTAGGTGGTCTGTTCAGATTGACAGATACAAATCTCCAAGAACCCAGAGATCCCCACCTTCCTCATTCTCAGAAATGCTCGGAAATGGATTCCTGTTACTTCATAAGAAACCTTTCCAAGCATTTCTGTTGTGACAATCCCTGTGTTAGGTGCTAGGAAACAAAGATGAACGGAATATGTTCTTCCTCCAGAGATTTGCAGTCTAGACGGAGTGATAGCCAAGAAATCACACAATTATAATTATGTGATAAATGTTGATATAGTTATATAATAGGTGCTCTGTGAGCTGATAGGGGAAGAATAGTCTGAATTAGGCAACTGAAAATGGCTTGTTGCGGAAGATGATTTTAAATGTGATGATAGCTTGTAAAGGTAGCTGTGTCAACTTCATGGTGGCTTGTGCAAGAGTAAATTAAGCAATGTAGTATAGCAGGAAGGAAGAAATTAAGTGAAGTTAAGAAATTGCACATATATCTAGTAGGACTACAATAATATATATTCATGATATGTAAGTAGAAATTTCCAAGATAACTTCCCTTATATAAAACTCCAGTCATTCTTGGGCCTTCTCAATTTTGGAGGATAACTAATTGAATAACAGTTACTGAATACTTACTTTTATAAAAGTGACAAATACATGTCAATATTGCTTTCTCATTTAGATTTTCAAAGTCAGAGCATCTAACGAATAATGCAGAATACCAATTGTATATTTTGAAGAGAAGGAACACAACCCAGACCACCTCAAATATCAAATGTCATTAAGGAAAATAGTAATGTAAGCTTGTGAAGTTAACGTTAGAGAGTTTTTTACAGCCATGTAGATCTTATTGTGACCTGATGTGTGATGAAGTTTTTTTTGTTGTTGTTGGTTTTTTTGTGTTTGTTTTTTGGTTTTTTTTGAGATGGAGTCTCACTCTGTCACACAGGCTGGAGATCCTGGCTCACTGCAACCTCCGCTTCCCGGGTTCAAGCAATTCTCCTGCATCAGCCTTCCTAGAAGCTGGGACTACAGGCATATGCTACCATGCCTGGCTAGTTTTTGAATTTTTAGCAGAGACAGGGTTTCACCACGTTGGCCAGGTTGATCTGGAACACTTGATCTCAAGTGATCCGCCGGCCTCAGCCTCCCAAAGTGCTGGGATTACAGGTGTGAGCCACCATGGCTGGCTTAAGTTTTTTAAAATAAGAATCTTGCACTGCTTACTTTCAAAGCTATTTTTTAGACTAGGTTGAATGTTTTTCAATCAGGGGCATTAATGACAATTAGCTCGTCCTCCAACCCCTGTCTTAGTTGACTACCTGCTGATATGTAGAAATAGAGACAAATAGGTAGAGAGACAATATTATCTTCCCCATGATGATGTTTTTCTTTTTTTTTTTTTTTTTTTTTTTTGAGACGGAGTCTCGCTCTGTCGCCCAGGTTGGACTGCGGACTGCAGTGGCGCAATCTCGGCTCACTGCAAGCTCCGCTTCCCGGGTTCACGCCATTCTCCTGCCTCAGCCTCCCGAGTAGCTGGGACTACAGGCGCCCGCCACCGCGCCCGGCTAATTTTTTGTATTTTTAGTAGAGACGGGGTTTCACCTTGTTAGCCAGGATGGTCTCGATCTCCTGACCTCATGATCCACCCGCCTCGGCCTCCCAAAGTGCTGGGATTACAGGCGTGAGCCACCGCGCCCGGCCGATGATGTTTTTCTTGAGTTATTTCCTTGTATATGTTATTCAAAAATAAAGTTAACTGATCCTCATCTATATTCGTTCACGGTTTCATTACTTTGGTGATTTCTTTTTTTAAATTATTTTCTTAGTAGAAAAACATTTACCTAAAACGTTTCATTACCTTGGAATCAATTTTTATTTCATCCATATCATTTCATTTCCTCCTGATTTAAATGAGAACCATCGGCTGGGCGCAGTGGCTCACGCCTGTAATCCTAGCACTTTGGGAGGTCTAGGCAGGTGGAGCACTTCAGGTCAAGAGTTCAAGACCAGCCTGGCCAACATGATGAAACCCTGTCTCTATGAAAAATACAAAAATTAGCTGGGCATTGTGGCAGGTGCCTGTAATCCCAGCTACATGGGAGGCGGAGGCACAAGAATTGCTTGAACCCAGGAGATAGAGTTTGCAGTGAGCCAAGATCACGCCACTGCACTCCAGCCTAGGTGACAGAGTGAGACTCTGTCTCAAAAACAAATAGGAAAGATAATCTCTTTATTTAAACCACAAATGCCACTATTTTCAGGAAGGTTATGCCAAATAATTGTGATTACCTTTGGCAGAAGAACCTTGCTTTTTTTTTTTTCTTTTTTAATATTTCTAGAACCTGGTTGTAGGTATTGGTCTACAGGACCATAGGTACTGCTTAGTGAAGCGTAATCAGCACAGGAGCAAATGAACCCATGACTATCCATATTAGATATGGTGTTACTATATTAACAAAGAAACGGTAATGATACATCCTGGCCTGGATGGTGGTTAAGAAGTATTTCTGACACTTTCTCATGAAATAGATATATGATTATGATATAATGTTAAGTATATAAAAAGCAACATATAAAATTGTGTGCTAAAATAGGGACTGGACCTATGAAATGATAAGATTTTGTGTTTGAGGCTGGACATGATGGCTCATTCATGTAATCCCAGTACTTTTGGAGGCTGAAGTGGAAGGATCACTTGAAGCCAGGAGTTCAAGTCCAGTCTTGGCAACATGGCAAAACCTTGTCTCTGCAAAAAATACAAAAGTTAGCCGAGTGTGCTGGCATACACCTATGGTCCCAGCCACTTGGGAGGCTGAGGTGGGAGGATCACTTGAATCTGGGAGTGTGGGGCTGCAGTGAGCCATGATCATGCCACTGTACTCCAGCTTGGCATGGCAGAGTGAGAACCTGTCTTAAACAAAAACAAAATAAGGCCGGGCATGGTGGCTCATGCCTGTAATCCCAGACCTTTGGGAGGCCAAGGTGGGCAGATCACCTGAGGTCAGGAGTGCGAGACCAGCGTGGCCAACATGGTGAAACCCTATGTATACTAAAAATACAAACATTAGCCAGGTGTGGTGATGGGTACCTGTAGTCCCACCTACTCTGGAGGCTGAGGCATAGGCCAGGCGCGGTGGCTCACACCTTAATCCTAGCACTTTGGGAGGCTGAGGCGGGCGGATCATGAAGTCAAGAGATCGAGTCCATCCTGGCCAACATGGTGAAGCCCCATCTCTACTAAAAATACAAAAATTAGCTGGGCGTGGTGATGTGCGCCTGTAATCCCAGCCACTCAGAAGGCTGAGGCAGGAGAATTGCTTGAACCCAGGAGGTGGAGGTTGCAGTGAGCTGAGATCGCGCCACTGCACTCTAGCCCAGGTGACAGAGCAAGACTCTGTCTCAAAAAAAAAAAAAAAAAAATTACTACTATTCTTACTTGGGCTTCATAATCTAACTTAAAGTAGATACTCTAAATCTTTTCCCCTATGGAAAACAATTATGGCTAAAACATTTTAAATTAATTAATTAAGTAGAAACTGGGTCTTGCTTTGTTGCCTAGGCTGGTCTCAAACTCTTGGCCTCAAGTGATCCTGCTACCCTGGCCTCCCATAGTGCTGGGATTACAGGTGTGAGCGGCTGTACCTGGCCTAAAGTTTTCTTCTCTGGATCTTTTTTTTTTTTCCTTTTGAGATAGCTTCTCACTCTGTTGCCCGGGCTGGAGAGTAGTGGCTCACTGCAGCTTCAACCTGCCGGGCTTAGGTGATTTTTCCACCTCAGCCTCCCAAGCAGCTGGGACTACAGGCAAGTGCCTCCATGCCCGGCTAATTTTTTATATTTTTTGTGGACATGAGGTTTCCCAATGTTGCCCAGTCTCGTCTCAAACTCTTGGGCTCAAGTGATCTGCCAGCTTTGTCCTCCCAAAGTGCATGGATTACGGGCATGAGCCACCTTGCCTGGCCTGGATCTTTTCTATAATGGACATTTCTCACTTATTTACATCTACCTTTATTCTTAAGTCTGTGGCACTTAAATTTGTTTCACATTACTTTTCCTTGTGAAAATAGTAATTGTATGTTGGTGTTTATATACACTTTTTTTTTTTTTTTAAGATCTAGTATCTACTAGTTAGCATTTTTGGTGCCTTTGATATCTCAGATCAAAGATTCACAAACTTTCTGTAAAGGGTCAGATAATCAGTATTTTAGGCATCATGGCCCAGAAAATCTGCCATTGTAGCATGAAAGCAACCATTGACAAGATATAAACAAAGCTTCATTTACAAAAACATATTGCTGGCTGAATTGACTCATAGGCTGCAGTTGTCAGCCCTTGCCCTAGGGAACCAAACAAATAAAAATGGCTGCCATGATGGTTTTACATTCTAGTATTTTTCATGTCTAAAACTTCTTCACCTCTGTTTTCTATTCATATCTTTGGGGGACAAGAGTGTACAGGATTTTGATTTCCACTTACTGTTTGATAAGAAAGCCTCTTTTGTTGTAACTACATATTAATTCCCAGCAGTGCATGTCCTTGATTCTCAGGAAGAAGGGAAGTTGAAAAAAACCATATAAGCCCATTTACCATACTCTCATTAGTAGTATGTACTCACAGAACAATCCTTCTTAACATCTACTTGTCAATCATAAGACTTAAGGAAAAATCTAAAGTTTCACAGTTAGAAAATCAGGCCCTGTGAAGATGGTGGTGAGGGAAATGAAGGGACTCTGGGTGTGGGTCTGGCTTTCTGCTACTGACTCATGTTGGCAGATATCTTATTTATTAATTTATTCTCAACTTACTTTTTACAGATTTGCCATCATTTGATTTGTCTGATTAACTTTGATTTTTATCCCAAATAATTTTTTTCATCTGTTTATCTTCAATACAATATTCAGAATATCAGGTGAAGTGTCAACATCCTTTGGAAAAAGCTTCTTCAATTTCTGTGTTAAAGTTTATTTTTATGACTTTTCCCCTCTTTATTTATTTGCTTAGTTACATTATTGTCCATAAATTCCATCATGAAGCTGAAAAATGAAATCACATCTCTAAGAGAATATTTTTTATTTTTAAAATTGATTTATTCTTTTTTTTACTTTCTTTCTTTCTTTATATTTTTTGAGACAGGGTCTCACTCTGTCACCCAGGCTGGAGTACGGTGGCAGGATCTCCAGGCTCAAGTGATCCTCCCACCTCAGCCTCCCTAGTAGCTGCGACCACAGGCACACACCACTATGCCTGGCTAATTTTTTGTATTTTTGGTAAAGGTGGGGTCTCCCCATGTTGCCTAGGCTGATCTGGAACTCCTGAGCTCAAGTGATCCACCCACCTCGGCCTCCCGAAGTGCTGGGATTACAGGTGTGAGCCATCACTTCTGGCCACTAGGAGAATATTTTTAATGTTTTGCGTTTTTGAGTTGAAATAAAAGTGACCCTGTTGGAAAATATGTATTTCATAAGTATTATTATTTGCATTCTATTTAAACCTGAATATAGATTAATTAGAAGGTGGTTAAAATAATCTATATGCAGATTGTATTTTGTAATTAATCTATATTCAGAAAATCACTGAAATATAAAAGTTTGTTTTTTACATCCTGCATTCATGTCTTGAATAATTTCCCCCTCAAATATAAACTGATGTTTCTCTGTCTACAAGACTAGTAGTCAAACATCTTTGGATGGTCTTGAGACATACCATACTCATCCATTTAATTCAGCAGAATCTGAGCTTCACTCTCCCCTCAACTAAGATTTACATGATTATAATTATATTGTTTGTCATTTTTATCCCTTCCTGTCTGAACAAAAACTGTATGGAATCAACACCACCGAGCTCTGTGGGAAAAAAGAAAAACCTTCTCCCTTCGCTCTGCTGGAAGCTGGAGGGCGCTAGGCCCCTGTGCAGTAGTGCATAGAATTCTAGCTTTTTTCCTCCTTTCTCTGTATATTGGGCTCAGAGAGTACACTGTGTCTCTATGTGAATATGGACAGTTAGCATTTACCAACATGTATCTGTCTACTTTCTCTTGTTTAAAAGAAGAAAAAAAAAACTAAAAAAAAAATGAGGTTATAGAAGGTCAGCAAAGGGTGGGTTTGAGATGTTTGGGTGGGTTAAGTGGGCATTTTGACAACATGGCTTCTCCTTTGGCATGTTTAATTGTGATATTTGACAGACATCCTTGCAGTTTAAGATGACACTTTTAAAATAAATTCTGTCCTAATGATGACTTGAGCCCTGCCACTCAATGGGGGAGTCAGCAGAACCTGTAGGATCTTATTTGGAATTGACATTCTCTATTGTAATTTTGTTCCTGTATATTTTTAAATTTTCTTTTTGTTTCGCTGGAAAGGAAAGATGATGCTCAGTTTTAAACGTTAAAAGTGTACAAGTTGCTTTGTTACAATAAAACTAAATGTGTACACACACAAAAAAAACTATATTGTTTGTTATACCCTTTTGTTCATCTAAGATATTCTTTATCATTTTTTGCTCTATTATGTATTGAAAACGCAATTTATTTTCCCCAGATTTGGAGTTGGGAATTTTGTATTACCTCTCTGTGTCAGTCAGTGACTGACTTGACCTTATGTTGTCCTCGTTTTATTGGCACGGGGATTGTCAGGACTGGGGAAGGATACCTTGCTCAGTATTTTTTACGTAGTGTGGCCTTGGGCAAGTTAGCCTCACTTAGCCCTACTCCTTACATATGAAGGATAGGAATCATGACTTTTGTATGGTTTAAATAAGAAAATATATGTAAATCATTTAGCAAGGTCCTTGGCAGTGGCAGCTAATAAGAATGATCAAATCATGAGAAGAGATTTTATACTCAATTTATCTTTTGTTATGTGCCTTGAAATTCCCTCCAGTGGTGCTTGGTATTCTGGTGCTTGGTATTCTAGGTAGGTAGTGATTAGTCTACCCAATCAGAGAAAGTGATCATTTTCCTCTTATATCATGAATCTGGGAGAAAATTTACTATTATGTCGTAAAATTGAGAATCCCAATACACATTTGTTTAGTTAATTGGGTACATATGCTAATGAAGAATTACAGTCAATTTGAGCTTCACAAACTAGCTGAGAATAAATATGCTCTTGAACTTTTGAGTACTCAATTTTAATTTAATAACTTTTGAAAAAAACGCAATTTAACTTTATTTGCTGAATCAATAGTCTTTTGTCTGAAAGTTTTCAATTGTGCATTCTCAGCCGCAGACTCATTTGTTATAATAAAGAACTATAACATACGCATTGGTTTTAGAGAGACAAGTTGCAGTTTACACTTACATGAATCATGTCTCTTTATATATAGCAATATGACATCTGTGATTTCTGCTGTAATCTAAAGGAATTTTCCATTTTTATTTACCTTTTTGGCCTGATTTATCTCATTCATTGAAGTTTTTCTAAAAAAAAAATTAAGATTTAAAGTTTTAACTTGGCATTCCTTTAAACTTTCTCCTTTTGGTGTCCATGCTTTCAGTGGCAGTACTTTCTGGGCTCATGTAGGTAGTTGCTGGCCCCCCATGGGCTGTACTCAGGGAGCTGAGCGGTTCTTGTTGATGAGACCCTATTCTGCCCACTCATATTCTGCCTTCCCTACCGTTGTGATGTTTATACTGTGTCAACCTTTATTAAGATGAATTATAATCATTTCCATACAGCTGGGTGGCAGTTGTGGTAGTTTACATTATCAACGCAAAACTCAGACTTACTCAGCCAATTTGGATGTCAATAAAACATTTGTTACTTATTTTCAGTTTTATCATTGGTTGTAATTTATACTTAGAATTGAAAATGTTAACATGTGTGACTGCGTTTGTTTTAATTAAGTGTATAATTAGGCTAATGAACCTTGTAAAAATGTAGTGGTGCAATCCTTAATATAATCTAAGTAGTTAAATTCTAATTATGCATCCAAAATCATGTACAAAGAAGCAGCATTTCAATGGCTCGCTTTGTGCTACTGTACCCTAGCTTGTCTTTTTTTTTTTTTTTTTTTTTTTTTTAAGAAACATTGTTCAAAAACGAAGTCTTGAAAGAAATATGCATGTAACATACTTTTGTATTAGGAAAATTATTCAGAAGTGATATTTGTATGCAGCGGATCTAGTGTTTTCTTCTTTTCAAATTTTGAAGAAAATATAGGAGACTAGAAGAGGAATAGATTTGGGGATGTTTCAGCTCCATCAGGAAAAATCCATTTGCTTGAAAAGCATAAAGCCAAGTAGGGTTTATCTTAGATTCATAAGGAAGGTAGAGGAGGTTCTGTTTCACATAACCCTAAACCCTATAATCATTTCTTCTTAAATCTGCGCCACCCCACTAATAAATGCCCAACTCTTTTCTCTTATGTCTTTTGTCCTAGCATAACAAATCTGGGGTTGTTCTGCTCTTGGAACCATTCCCCAAACAGAGCTTACTCCAATGCCTCCTTTCCTGACACCTACCTCTTTTATTTTTTGCAAAGTGGTTTCTTCTTAGGATGGAACATGGTTGACCCAATAAGGAATTCTGGTATTAGCTGCCAAGAAGGAACACTGTTCTCTCTACCAGCACACTGACGTGCCAAAATGTTTAGAACTTCATTTGCTTTGATTACTTTCTCTAATAAAACTGTTGCAGCAGCCATACCATAGGCAGTTGGTTCTTTATTACTTTAGAACAAATTCTGATTTCTAGTTGAGTTTGCAAAATATATCCCTAAAATTTGTTTTTAATTATATTGTTTGATACAGCTTTAAGTTGCAAATGAGGGCTATGGAAATGTATCTGCTCGCGAGCACACATTTTTCAGGAAAGTGTCTCTTCTTACTACTTTTGATTTCCTTCGGAGGTTCTTTTCATTCTCAGTCTAGCTGTTATCAGTTGGATTTTCTTGTGACTTTTTTTTCTTTTGATAGTTCATTCCCATTCCTTTGCAATCATTTTCACCTAGTGGAGTAAATGAGATAATTTTGCAGATTGTACCACTTTCCTTTTAAATTAATCCATTCTTTTTGAGAGAATGATTCTAATAGTGTGGTTAAGTACTTAGAAATCAGCAGGCTACTAACTTCACCTTAATTCAGTCTGTTCCCTTGATTCCCTCATCTCTTGCTGTGTCAGTCAGGGTGATGTTCTTTCTCTTCTGCAGTCTTCTTCCACCCTCTATCTCCCAGCCCCCCATCAGGTCTCTTGTACTGAGTAAAAGGAATCTGAGATCTGAGATTTTCATGACTTATAACAATGTTGGTTGCTAAAGCCTCAGTTAATAAATTTCCATTATAGTTTCTATACGTGTGTGGTGTATTTATGATTTGTAGAATTTCTACTGTATGTTAGGATTGCTAATGCATTTGGCCATTGATGAGGACTTATTTAGAAAGACAACCATTCAAGAAATGGAACATTACATGCTTTTCTACTTTGGATTATTAGTCTAGAATGATTACCAGAAAAAAAACACATAGGTTTAAAACTGAAAAATTATGAGATGAATATAAATCTGTTCATCTACTTATCTGAAAAAAATTATTGATGTTACTTCTAGAATTAAAGAGCAGATTTCAGCTGGCACAGTGGCTCAAGCCTGTAATCCCAATACTTTTGGGAGGCCAAGTCCAGGAGTTCAAGACCAGCCTGGGCAACATAGTAAGAACCCAAGTCTACAAAACAAACAAACAAACTAGCCAGGGGTCGTGGCACACACCTCTAATCCCAGCTACTCAGGAGGCTGAGGCAGGAGGATTGCTTGAGCCCCGGGGTTTGAGCTTGCAGGGAGCTGTGATTGAGCCCAGTATACCTCCAGCCTGGGTGACAGAGCAAGATTCTGTCTCAAAAAAAATTAAAGTGAAAGGATTTATAAGTTACACTGTTTTAAGTTGTCATAAATACTGAAAGGATGTATCCAAGATAGTTTCATAAATTTAAATAAATGATCGGTGCTAATTAACTGCTAAGTAATTTCCATTGAAGACCGTTTATATATATATTTTTTGTAAAAATTTTCTATGGACTATTTTAGATTACACAAAATATAATACATAAAAACATACTAATTGTTAGTCACTTACATTTGCAGTAATATTGTAGTCATATTGGGAAATCGCTTATGATTTCACCAATTAAAAACTCATTAACTGGAGTGAGTCTTGGTAGGGCATATTTTTATTGCAAGGACTGAAAGCATACACATTCCAAAGTGTGTCTGGTTTATAGTGGTGGCTTTTAACTACAGCTGTGGCACCTCACATGTGGTTCTGTTATGATTACCTGTGGGTGACTGAGACATCGTTTCCTTCAAGATGTTCTTTGAAACTGAAGTGGTCAGATATCTTCTGCATGTTCTAGTGGTACCAGTAACTGTGATTTAATTTAATTTCTTGTATTAATCTTCCTCATTCATCGGAATCATAGATATATCTTAATAATTCTTTTTTTTTTTTTTTTGGACGGAGTTTTGCGTTGCCCAGGCTGGAGTGCAGTGGCGCGATCTCGGCTCACCGCAACCTCTGCCTCCTGGGTTCAAGCGATTCTCCTGCCTCAGCCTCCCAAGTAGCTGGGATTACAGGTGCCCGCCACCATGCCAAGCTAATTTTATACTTTTAGTAGAGAGGGGGTTTCTCCATATTGGTCAGTCTGGTATTGAACTCCTGACCTCAGGTGATCTGCCTGCCTCAGCCTTCCAAAGTGCTGGGATTACAGGCGTGAACCACTGTGCCCAGCCAATAATTCCTTTGATTCCTATGATAGAACACTTTGTTCAGTTGCAGATAGAAACAAACAATAGGGAATCCTAGGGAGATAAATTATGGACATGATCACATTTAAACAATAACTTCATTTTTGGTTTGGCATATTATGGAATCTCTTTCTCCCAAATATGAACTGAGAGTTAAGTTGCTCCTGAAGATAAATCAGTGTACTTTATTCTTACCTTTGAGTTGAGATAATTTTATGTCTTTATATAGCTGCAATAAATGATAATAAGTAACTAAATATTATCTACATAATATTGTTTTTACTAGTCACTAATATTTTTAGACTCATACACTAGTAGGTGCTGATTCTCAACGCTAAAATTACAATTCTTGCAAGCTGATAGGCTTCACTCTAGTATAATGCCACCTTATTATATTTATTAATAAAAGTTAGAATGAAATTAATCGTTGACCTTACTAATATCGTAAAAATGTTAAACTGCAAAATTACAAGTGAAATAGGACTTTTGTCTGAGTTTAATTTATTTCAGTTTCATCATATCTTTAGTAGAAATGATACTTTCATGAAGAAAGAATCTGAATCTAAATTCTATTCACTTGTATTCTATTTTGCAAAAAGCTTATAGAAATAGACTTGTTTGCCTCAGCTAACCTCAATCATGCCTTCATTCAGTTGTCATTTATCAAGACCTTACTACTAGTTCAGTGCTTGAACTGCTGAATCTTATGTTCTCTGTCTGCTAGGAGCTTATAGTCCACTAATAGAGATAAGGTATGTATATAAGAGAAGAATATGATAAATGCCCATGGAACAGATACAACAATTACTGGAAAAGTATAGAAGCAGCAGCTATCTATTTTGGTATATTTCTACTGGAAAACATACACAGATGACTGCAAGTTGTAATTCTCTTGGAAATCATTTAGACATTATTTGAAAATTAGGGTGTCTTCAATTTTAATTTATACTGGATTCTCAATTTTAGTGCCTGTGTAGGCATTTTTGTCTCTTTATTAGGATTATGAAAGAAAATACAAATTTTGGAAGTAAAAAGACTAAGTTCATATAAAAATTTTAATATCATGATACAAAATTTATGCCAGCCATCAAGTAATTAACAGTGGCTCATGCCTGTAATCCCAGCACTTTGGGAGGCTGAGGCGGGTGGATTACCTGAGGTCAGGAGTTTGAGACCAGCCTAGCCAACATGGTGAAACCCCAGCTCTACTAAAAATACAAAAAAATTAGCTGGGCATGGTGGCGCATGCCTGTGATCCCAGCTACTCAGGAGGCTGAGGCAGGAGAATCGCTTGAACCCAGGTGGTGGAGGTTGCAATGAACCAAGATCATGCTATTGCACTACAGCCTGGACGACAAGAACGAAACTCCATCTCAAAAAAGAATAAAATAAGACTAAAAAAATAAAAATAACAGCAATCAGAGCTAGGTTAAGACCCCTGTTGCTTATACTGTGATTTAAAGAAGTATTTCTTATTTGTCCCAGTCTGTATAGAATGTCCTGTCAGTTATGAAGTTAGTGTTCTAGAGCAAGTAGGGGGTCTCTCAAAGGTCATTCACACTTTTCTTTCAACCTGAGTGAGTACATATGTGGAAGAGATGAATGGTGATTGGCATTATTTGAACCTCTCACTGACGTTTTTCTGTTGGGTCATTTGTTTTTCCAAATGGGAATATTGACAATAAATGACTTACTTTTGGGAGACCTGACAGGTTTTGAAATTCACAATACTAAGCACTATCAAATTCAAATGCAAAGCATGGAAACTCCTTTATTCCTGAAATCTTTCCTATTATCATTCTCAAACCTGCAGTGCAATGAGGTTAGCTTTTCCTCATTACCTTTACTTTCACAGAAAGATGGGAGTTGCAGTCGTCTTTTAAGCTAGCGTGCCAGCTGGCTTAAAACAGAAAATTGCCCAAGCCATTCAAAAATACATGCTTATCCATCCTCCACACTGCAATACCCACTCAACCATTAGGCGGGCTCTGTTTGGGGCATTTGTAAACAGAGAGAGTGTTATAGCTTGTTCTAGAAACATAATACTGACCAGCCAGAAACTGATTTTTTACATTTATGGAAGGGATGCATTTTTACATGTCATTTTAACGTTGTGGTTTTTGTCTGTCATTTAAAAATGTATGAATAGTCATTTTAACATGCTCCTTTGTAAGGACATCTTTGTAAATATAATAACAGCATTAAAGTGGTAAGGCAGTGTGCATGGTGGAGATATTACATGTGTAATCATTTGCATTCTTAATGTTCCAGAACCCTGGGGTTATTAGTAAAACGATTGGAGAAAGGTGGTAAAGCTGAACATGAAAATCTTTTTCGTGAGAATGATTGCATTGTCAGGATTAATGATGGCGACCTTCGAAATAGAAGATTTGAACAGTAAGTGTGTGCTCGCTGCACTTCTGTTCTTACTTGCATTAGGCATGACAGAGTGCAGTCAGTTGAAATGCTTCAAACATGTCTGTGATCTCAGTCTGTATACTGGAGAGGAATATTTTCTGCCATTAGCTTTTAAAAATTTAAACATACTCAGTAATTAATACCATTAGACTATATTTCAAAATGTCCTCTGATGGATATAGCTCTTCTTAAGTATTATGGCCCCCATTTCAACTTTACAATTTTGCTGGTTCCTCTCCTTTTGGAAAATTGACAGTGTGCCCATTTTTATCATACTTTAACTCACCCGTCCACCTTTGCTGCACACAGTTTCTCTAGATACAAACAAGCAGATAAAGCTGTTTGTATCTGCTTGAGGTTGTATTCAGATACACTTTATCTTGGGTTGTATTCAGATACAATATTGGGTTGTATTCAGATACACTTTATCTTGATTCAGGCCCTTAGTCAATGAAAAACATAACAGTTGGCCAGTTCTTATAAAACAAGGCAGGAGCAAACAGAACTCTTAAGAACTTGAGGTCCTGACCAGGGAACCAGCATGAGAAAGAGCTGCTTCCCAGGCTGGTTGTATGGGTGCACTGTGACCCACAGCTGTCAACATTTTGAATTATTGAGCCTGGATTGCTGTTCTTGAGATTTTTACATATACCAACTTAATAAATAATTAATAGTTACTTTCTATAGTCTTCTAAGTGTGTGTGTGTGTGTGTGTGTATTTTAAAAATTTTAAATACACATCTAACCCAATCCAATATTCTAAATATAATTATAAAGCTCTGTCTTTCTTTGAAAACTTAAATTGAAGTATTTTGTAATGTCTACAAGTTGTATTAGACAATGTTGTAGAGAGAATGTTCCATTTGGTTTCTATTATTGAAATTATAATACTTGTTATACTTAAAACATGTTTAATGATTTACAGTTGAGAGGACAGAATTTTATCTGTAGTTGTAGATAATTTTTCTATTTTTATTGAGAGAATGAGAAATTTATATTTGAAGAAACAGCTATTGATAGATCAGAGCTGCAAACTTGATTGATAAATGGGTTATTAGAATTTTGCTTTTCAATTTCAACAGCCTGTCAGTTCTTATTGCTTAATTAGTAAACTTAATTAAGCTCATAATATCTTCTAGTCTGCCAGTCTTAATTTGCTAATTTTCTATTCTTTCTCAAACCCAGAGCACAACATATGTTTCGCCAAGCCATGCGTACACCCATCATTTGGTTCCATGTGGTTCCTGCAGCAAATAAAGAGCAGTATGAACAACTATCCCAAAGTGAGAAGAACAATTACTATTCAAGCCGTTTTAGCCCTGACAGCCAGTATATTGACAACAGGAGTGTGAACAGTGCAGGGCTTCACACGGTGCAGAGAGCACCCCGACTGAACCACCCGCCTGAGCAGATAGACTCTCACTCAAGACTACCTCATAGCGCACACCCCTCGGGAAAACCACCATCCGCTCCAGCCTCGGCACCTCAGAATGTATTTAGTACGACTGTAAGCAGTGGTTATAACACCAAAAAAATAGGCAAGAGGCTTAATATCCAGCTTAAGAAAGGTACGACCTATCCTGTTTTTGTTTTGTGGAATTTCTTTTCTTAGCAGCAACACACAAGGGTAGAAATGGAATTTATTTTAAAAGTCAACCTACTAACCCAAAGCACCCTGAGTCTTATCTAATTATTTTGTGAAAGAACTGATAGATTTTTTAAAGTTACTTACCTTTTAACATATTTCAAATTGTATTTCTTATATGTCTCAGGTTTATTTTGCTCTGTAGAAATTAAAATGTAAAAGTGCAGAGAATAAGACTATGTCTATGAGAAGAAGATAGCAGTTACTGTAGTAAAATTTTTGATTGTGAAAGAAAATGGCTTCAGGACATTAATATCAAATGCAGAACAATAGTAAGGATTTGACCATTTTGACTGCCCCATTTGCTGTATAAGTCCAGCCCTCAAGGAGGACTTTAGAGGTAGTGCACGTCAATCTCAGTATTTGATGTGGGGAGGGACCAATTTGTTTGAGGCTGCCAGGAGTTTATAGTAGGTTGCTGAGAAGCCAGGCCATTGACTCTTGTCTTTTGTTTTCTTGTATTATTGCATTACTTCCCTTTCTTTTTTTTCTTTTCTTTTCCTCTCTTTTCTTTTTCTTTCTTTTTTTTTTTTTTTTTTTTTTTTTTTTTGAGACAGGGCCTTTCTTTGTTGCCCAGGCTACAGTGCAGTGGTGCAGTCATAGCTCACCGTAGCCCGCAACACCCCATGTCAGCCTTCCAAGTGCTGTGACTAGAGGCACATGCCGCCATGCCCATCTCATTTACAAATTTTTTGTTGTGTTGGAGTCTTGCCATGTTGCCCAGGTTGATCTGGAACTCCTGGCCTCAAGTAGTCCTTCTACCTCGGCTTCCCAAAGTGCTGGGATTATGGAAGTGAGCCACCATGTCCAGGCCTGCTTCTCTTTCTTATGGTGATGTGGAAGTCATGATGTCGATTGCCGATTCTTCATACATCTTCCATCCATTATGTATTTTAGTACCCTTCCTGTATACAGTGGATCTCTGTATAGAGAGCATGTTCTTGCAGTTTGCCTCCTTCAAAGTTGAGTGCAAACTATTGGACTTGACTTTATGATTTTCACCCAATGTTTCGTCCAGGCACCAAGATACACTTTTACTGTTCCTGATCCATTTTAGCTGAGCATTTTGATATATTTTTAAATCATGTCTTTCAAAATGGTATTATTATAAAGAATATTTTTTTTTATAGGCTCAACCATCAACTCTTATAGTTGGATGGAAATGATTCCAAGAGAGGTTCATTATTTCCTCAGGTCATGTGGCTGTTGGCCACAGATTCTTACTAGTATGTTTTCCATATCCGGATATTCAGACCATTCTTCTTTACATTTGGGGTAGCATTTACAAGGTTGTAAACTCTGAGACTGCTGTTTCCTTTCTAACTCATATTCTTTCAGTGAACTTTATGTGAACCTCAAGTTTCTTATTTCTGGTTACTGGTTTTTAAGCTCTAAATACTTGGTTGACATGATCAGGAGTTGACAGCTTGCCTCGTTGCAAACACAGAGTCATATCAACAGAAACCCCTTTAGCTCTGTCAATTCCTAAATGAGAGAAATATCACATCCTCTTTCCTCCTTTTGCTCTACTTAAATGACAGGCCCTTGTTTTTAACCAAAAACATATCAAGAACTACAAATAGAATCGTATAAAAAATAAAATTCTGCTTGATATCTCTAAACAAAGGTACAGTATTTTGCTTCACCATTGTCATAAAGATACTGGTTCATAAATATCTTTTCCTTTTTACACTGATACAGCAATATTCATTTAGTTAATTATGGTTTTTCAAAAATTAGGATATTTGACAAATCATGATATAACATGAACTTTTTAAATGAGGTGATTTGCCATTAAAAGTACCATTGTTTTGCTAATGAAAGAATGAGAAATACAAAGGAAATCTGAAGTGAGAAGATAAAGGTAAAGTATTAAACAGAATACAGATTCTCCAAAAAAAGGAAAATAATGAGTATATCTAATTTTTATGTTATAGTAAGTCTGAAGTGATAAATAAATCAAATTGATACATTTTACTTACAAAACTGGTACCATTGTTTTGAATACAGATATTATTTTAATAGCATTTAATGAAAAATATGATTGCATTTACACAAGCTAATTTAGAAAGACTATGCTTAATCACTGAAAGGAGAAACAATGGTTTTAAGTGTTTTTCAGACCTTGAGTAATCTTAATGATATAGAGTCCCATAGATCTATCTTGATTTTAATTTACCAACTGTGAGAATGTATGACAAAAAGCACATGCTGCTTGTGCATGCTGCCAATACTTACAAATATTTTATATAAAAATTATGTTTACTATAAATGTGGGGAAGAATGCTGATTATCTTTGATTAGGACTAAATGCATATATTTTAATAATAATGAATGTAGGAGAATTGAACAGGCTTTCCTTGTAGCTAGCAGATTTTTTTCTTACAAGTTATTACATTTATTAGTGAAGTACATTAAAAACATAGGGTGTGTCAGTGTTAAACTTCAGATTCAGTTCAAAGTGAGCTAATGTGCTTTGAGTGGCAGCAGTTCTTCAAAAACTGGAATCAACTCTTAGTACAAAAAAAGATGTCAGTATAATTATTCTTTGGCCTAATTTTGGAGCTATGTTATATAACATGACAACAGAATAGCCTCAGTGTACTTGCTTCCATAATTATGATTTCTTAATATTTATTGCCATTTTGGTATTCTCAAATACCCAGCTCTTTTGTAGAAATTAGCTTTTTAATAAAGTCAGAGGAGAAGGTCAGTAATCTGTTTCAGTCAGTGCAGAATGTTTTGTTGGCTTTGTTAAATGAAAATTGATATCTACTTATCTTTCCTTGAAAGGTCATTGCCTGAACTTTTAGCTTACAGATTTAGGGGTTGTTGCTGATATTTTAATAGTATTGAGGTTCCTACAACAGTCAGCATTCATAGTTCAAAAAAGTTAGTATTGCAAAAGGAGAGTAATTAAGAATTCTTTCTTAATAAATGTTATTGCAAGTCATTAGAGTTTCATGAAAGCAGAGACATATGGAAAAATCTCCCCAGAGCAATAACAAACATTTCATATAGACAGTATGCCATTCAGGTGTTCAGCATGGAAGACATCAGAAATATTAATAGTCCAAGCACCCTAAAGTGACTTCAGACTAAAGTAAATGAATGCTTTGTTTGATGTTGAGAATAACTATGGTAGGTTTTGCTACAGGAATAACTATGGAGTGTTTTCTTTATTTCTCCTTTAATGTTTCTTTAATCTACATTTTTATTCACCCTTTTTTGTTCACTTATATTTTATACTTTTCATTACAGTTTTATACTGAGTGATGTATCAGATTAATGTGCTCTTTTCTAGATTTTTCACCTTTACAGATCTCTTTATTCTTCCCATAATGAGCAAGCATTTGCCTTAACAATATTTTAACTGAAATGGAAACTAATATCTTAAGAAGTAACTTTTTAAAAAAGCTTAGGTAGAAATCATTATTGTAAAAATGTTGTGATTCATTACAAATGTATCATTATCTCCCCAGTTTTTCCTGGGCACGTGTTGGCTTCTTGCGTCTTGATTCTAGTGACATATAAACACTTTTCTGCTTTGTATTGAGCATGTAAGACTGTCTGTCAAGAAAGCTGCCAAAGAAATGAGAATTTAAATTCTGTGAATCATCAGAGTAATTTATAAATGCATCATTAATTTAGTACCTTTAAGCATAATATGATCCCCAGATTTGGTAGCCATGATCTGAGATGGAGTCTTCACTGAGTAATTTGCCTTGTTTGGGAGTGGGGGGTGGTGAAGGAAATATACATGGTAAGATTTAGGTGAATTAGAAGTGAACTAGGCAAAGATAATTTGGTTTATGGTTTATCCTCTTAGTAAACTGCTTTGAATAATTATGATTTTGGGAGGTTCCATTACCTCTATCTAGAGATACCTCTCATTTCACTGTTCTTTTCCATCTCCCTGGACATTTTTGTTTCCCTTGCTCATACCTCCTACCCTTAAAATTTGGATGTCATTATTGCACAATAATACTTGAGTTTTGAGGTACTGTGGGTCTTAACAGAAGTTTTTTTCTTTCTTCATGTAGTGAATTTCCTATTCAAAGATTTACATTGATTTAAAAACTTTTAGCAGTCATATTTACATATTAACTTTCATCTGTCTTTGAGAAGATTGCTGTTTCTTCTTAGATTAATAACTGTTGATATGTAAACCATTTAAACCTTCCACAATTTAGTCTATTTTGAAAAATTTATTACAACTTTTAAAGTAGTAGAAGAAATGTGGACCATTGTGAAAGTTACAAAATGTCAAGTTGAGGTTGAGTATACTGGTGCAATACACCTGTAAAATTCAAGATATCTCATTTTATTTACTTTTCTTCTCCTTCACATACCTAGGTACAGAAGGTTTGGGATTCAGCATCACTTCCAGAGATGTAACAATAGGTGGCTCAGCTCCAATCTATGTGAAAAACATTCTCCCCCGGGGGGCGGCCATTCAGGATGGCCGACTTAAGGCAGGAGACAGACTTATAGAGGTAAGTGACTTCCCCAGCAGGATGTTCCCTGATTCTTGAAATGTTCCATTTCCAGGAGCCAACTTTTAAAAACATTTTCATAAAATATGAAATTCAGTTATATACATTTTAGCGGAAGTATGCGTCACAAAATGTGTTTCTGTTTTATGTTTAGATTTTCCATGTTATTTTTTATATATATTTTTTTAATTGTTAAAATTTTTGTAGAGGCAGAGTCTTGCTATGTTGCCCCAGCTGGTCTTGAATTGCTGGCCTCAGGCGATCCTCTTGCCTCCCAGTGTGCTGGGATTACAGGTGTGAGCCATCGTGCCCAGCTCTTTTTTCCATGTTATCTGATGAGAAATTATCTTTCCATTTATTTATTTATTTTTTTTTATGAGATGGAGTCTCGCTCTGTCGCCCAGGCTGGAGTGCAGTGGCACAATCTCAGCTTACTGCAGCCTCCACCTTCTGGGTTCAAGTGATTCTCCTGCCTCAGCCCCCCTGGTAGCTGGGACTACAGGCGTGCACCACCATGCCTGGCTAATTTTTGTATTTTTCATAGAGACAGGGTTTCACCACATTGGCCAGGCTGGCCTTGAACTCCTGCCTTGGCCTCCCAAAATGCTGGGATTACAGACGTTAGCCCTCATGCCCAGCCCCATTTAGTTTAGTTATAAATTTTTAGTTACTCAGACATTTGGTTTATGAGGTAACATTTTGTCATATAAAATGTCTGTAAGGTTACGTTTCTAAATGGCTTTATATTTATGTCTGGCAATGTGGAAATGTATTCAGAACAGAGACAGATGAAATAAATGAAAACAGTGTTCCTTGATAAGAGGAGCAAGGAAATCTTGAAATGGCAGCATGGAGAATAAATTGAGTCATAAGAGTCAAATGTCAGGAAAGAAAAGAAAAATCGTTTTTGAATTTTTTTTCTATGTCTTATGAGTTTGGGTTCATTGGTATTTGAAGCTGCCTTGGAAATAGATTAACATACATAATTTGTGTTTGTGTGATGGTTTGCACATAAAAGAGAAAATTGAAAAATATGTTTTAAACCATTTTTCTTAGTTTTTTTTAAAGAAAATATAGTCTGTATTTTTATTAGCAGATACTGCATTTCCTAATTAACTAGTATTCAAATATTAATGCTAAGGTAAACTTTTACCACACTATCCTTTTTTCTTATAGTTTCATATATGGTTTCTATCTCTCCAGATTGAGTTCTCCTAAAGAATTTTTGTAAAGTAGGGGAGGAGAGGGATACCGTCTGTATTTTTTTCCATGTCTACATTTGGAGCCTAGATCCCTTAAATTTTATTCCCACTGTTTTGGTCCTGTGCATGTGACAACGTATGTTAAATAGGCACTGTTAGAAGCTAAATAACAGATGTTTGAGTACAAATTATGTTAGGGTCCTGCTTCCTGAAAAAGCCACTTGTCCTGGGGTTATAAATTGAGTGGTACGTTAGCCCACGTCTGCAGTCGTAGCTTGTTTTATTTGTAAGAGTCTCTGCTGGGACTTGAATTCAGTCCTCCTGTCTTCTGAGTCCAAAAAAATATCTGTCCTTTTCTGGCTCTCTCCGTCTTTCTTTCTAAAGATAATTGCTTTATTATTGAGTCACTTTTTTCTTTTATCACATAATCGCTTTACTTTCAACATATCAGAAAAACCTTTTTATTTTAAAGCAGTGAGAAAGACCTGCAACCTGCATGTCTTTCGAGTTAGGCTTTATTTCCATAGCTGTCATCTTTGTCTTAAAATGGAAACTTCATTTTTGCATGCTTTAAGCCCAACCTTCTAGTATCTACAGTTGTAGCTATACAATATTGATACTTACGTGCATTTTCTCTGAGTGTCTAGATAATTAGAATCATACAAAGAAAAAAGGATCAAGTGACTTAATTGTCTAGATTTTTTTTCACTTTCTTTTGTTTGAGTACAAATTATGTTTAGGGTTCTGCTTCCTGAAAAGGCCGCTTGTCCTTGGGGTATAAATTGAGTGGTATATTAGCCCATGTGTGCAGTCGTAGCTTGTTTTATTTTGTAAGAGTCTCCACTGGAACTTGAATTCAGTCCTTCTGTCTGCAATTCCTTAATAGTAGTACCTTGAGGTATATGAGGTTGATTTTTTTCAGAAGGGGAAATGTTCTGAAATATATTTTAACTACAGGAAAATTTTGATACTGTAATTTAAGTTATAAACTTATTTGCCTTGGACAAAATGTCTTTTTTGTCTAAAAAGAAAAATGTAGAATACCTTTTAAAGGAAACATATGCTCTCATTTCTGTGGAGTATATAGTGCTTTCTGATAATGATGTTATACTTCCTGTTAGATAAAAGATTCCCTAAGAACAAGTTGTTTTAAATTTTTTTCCTGCTTGAATTCTCTCATAACATTGAAAAAATTTCAGCTGAAATATTGCTTCCCTGCTAAAAAATATTGTTTTGTAGTTTCTTTAATGTTTACCTTTTAGAGGTAAAGTGTTTTATTTATATTTATCAGTAAAATTTCATTTAAAGTGAAAATACTGTACCAAAATATTTTTGGTGTGTTTTTATTACCCTTTATAAGAGCAACACCTTTTTATTTTGGTGTAAGAAAACCTATGATGCACAAGGCTATCAAAATATCTCTGTTCTAAGCCAGTAAGTTTTGTGTTAACTTGACATTTTTGAAATATTTATTGCTTGGTACTTGTCAATGCCCTGGTGATTGTCACTTTGGGTTTAATGATGAACACTAAAAGATTGACCACTTCCTCTCTTCTAGATATCTGGTCTTAGTTTCTTTATTAGTCACAAAACCTTAGTGGTTCCCAGATCATGGCAGAATTGTGCATGAAATGAGTTATGTTCCATAGCAGATATGGCTAGTCCTAGAGTGTGTGTGTGTGTGTGTGTGTGTGTGTGTGTGTGTGTGTGTTTTCCTGTTGTTTCCACAGGATTACAGCTGAAAACTTTTGTTTTGTTTTAGGTAAATGGAGTAGATTTAGTGGGCAAATCCCAAGAGGAAGTTGTTTCGCTGTTGAGAAGCACCAAGATGGAAGGAACTGTGAGCCTTCTGGTCTTTCGCCAGGAAGACGCCTTCCACCCAAGGGAACTGGTGTGTAAATTTAGAGTAGATGAAAGATTTCTGATATGCAGCAGCCAGGGGTCTGGGTTAGTTGCCTGATGGCAAATGTTTATTGAGACATTTTCTGAGGAGTTTCTAGATCTTATATTTCTTTCAGCCCTCACTGAATACAAACATTCTTTTCTCTAATACTCCCTTAGTTTCAGAAATGGATATCCTCAGTAATGAATGGAGGGGTACTTAAACATCAGACTGTAGGGATATTTTCAAGGGCATCAAATGTTCATCACTGTACACCCTCAGATGGACTGACTGAATACAGAGACGCCGATTATTTCAGAACTGTCACTCCACAGACTGTCGCTGAAAGCTTGCCATCTTCCACACTGCATATGACAAATTTTCATATTTCACATTTTCATAGTACATGTCAGTAAGCCAAATAGATGCTTGCTTCCTTACTGTTGTATGAAAAGGAATACCTTTTTAAAAAAATTATTATTAAAAATAAAAAGACCTAAGTGGCAATAAGCCTCATGGCTATTAATTATACAAATATAGGTCATGTTACTTAGGATGACATAAATGAAGGAAATGAAAAGGCATTTACAACTTTTGCAACCTATCTCCTTCACTTTCCATACATACATTAATACATCTGAGTATTTACATGGTATTGGTGTGAATGAAATAAGTGTCTTAAATGTACATAGTTCTGAGTGGTTTTCTGCAAAAGTGCTAGGTTTCATTTATATATAAAAATGACATAATTGGAGGAGTTGCCTTTGTCTTTTGATGTGGTAAGAAAATTGTTTTATTTCAAGTACAAGTGGTATTTTAAATATTTCAAAACAGATTCTACTTGGATCATTTTGGAATACATCCTTTTCATCTAGCTCTTAGTGCTAAACAAAAATTAATTTGTATAATCTAGAGTGACAAGGTTTTAGAAACGAGGTTTCCAAATTTATCATATAGCCCAAATTCTCTTGTGTCTTCAAGTATGGATGTGTTATGATAAAAATAACTATATTTTATTCTCTATATAAACTATTTCTATAAATATTATAAATGAAAAAATTTTAGTCATAATATCTTATCCCCTGGTTACACACAGGTCTTAAAACTTAATGTGGATTTTGTGGAAATTTCAGACAGTGATAGGGTTGAAAAGTGAACACTTTTGTTTTAAGTAGATTTTGAATAAATTATGAAAACTTCTTTATATTTAAAAATGTTTAATGCATTATTTCTCAATTTAAATTCAGTTTTTCGTTTTCCCCCCACTGTTATCCAATTTTGTGCTTAAAATGCCACCTGATCCTAAATCTGGAGATGTCTCTATTAAATTGTAAATGAGCACTTAAAAAAAAAAAACAACTAGCTTTCCATGTGATTTGCCGAAGCTTTAATTCTTCCTCAGTGTCTCGGAGTGCACTAGTTAGCATTATTAGATTGCCAAAGCTTAGACACTGCTCTTAAGCAGCCTTTTCCAGAGTTAGTGCCAGCATATAGCCAGCTTAAGGTTATTCAGGTTCTTCTTGTCCAATTTTGATCTTCCAGGCTTCTGTTTTTCCCTTCTGCTACCTACTTTTTTTTTTTCTTGGTTATGTAATTTATTGCTTGTGAGCTTTTCATTAAGGAGTACGCCAGTAGGCCGTCAGTCTATTATGCATGTTGCAGCTGCTTCTCAAAATTTAAGAGAATAAAATCCTGAAAATTTAAAGGGAGGGGACATTTAAAAATAATCTTGAATCCAGTAGACGTAACTATTTTCCTCTGTTTGGGGTGTCTGTGTTTAAATTCTGTGTGTCTAAATCTAAATACTTTTATCAATCGGTGCCTTTTTTTAATAAATCATCCTTGTAAGTTCCTAGGTAATTAAGGCAAATCAACATTATAGGAAAAAAAAATCATGTTTATTTCCTGTGCAACATTTTAAAGTATAAAGCTGTGGTTCAGACTGTGGTTCAAACTGTTATTATCTGGTCTAGTTATCAAATGATTCTATACCTTAAAACTTTGATTTGATTGGGAAAATTTTAAAGCAAAATTAGAAACAGTGCCATGATTAGGAAAGCAGTTTGGTGAGACTTGTTTTCCTCCAGATAATAAATTCATGATGTACTGTGAATGAGCAAGTAAAAATGTATATCTAGAAAAATTTCTTAAAACACACACATAAACACACACATCAGCAAAATTTTGGAAGACAGAGCATTATGTCAGCCATCATATAATTACCCTTTATATATTTTGTGGATTTTAAGAATCAACAAAATTTTCTTTAAAATAAATCATTGTGTCCCTGTGTGTTGAAGATGGCTTTGGTCAGTCTGTATTTATGTTTTTCTTCAATTCTTCTAGAATGCAGAGCCAAGCCAGATGCAGATTCCAAAAGAAACGGTAAGAGCTTTGTCTTTTGAAGGATGCAGAGATGTTGGAAAGATACATGGAACTAACTTCTTACTAATTTAATACGAAGTTACTTGTCCTGCCTTTTCCTGGCTCGTAATATTTAATACATGGGTTTATTAAATGCCAAAGTGGTCTTATTTTAAGGTGACTTACTGTTACCACCCCAAATGGAGTATATTTTGTGATTAATTTTGGTCAGATAGACGCAAAAAAGAGAGAGACTTCCTATTCACTTGCAAAGTGAGGACCAAAGCTTAGTTGTTTGGCATATATGCAAAGTATTTCATGAGTTGTGAAATGCTAAATTATAAGTGGCCACAAAATGGAAAGAAAAGTTAAAAAACTTGATTCAATCATGGAAAAAAAGGGAGGGCTAAGAGAATACAGTAAAAAAAGTATACACAGGAAAATTAAAGTGACGTGTCAGTATTAGGCTAAGCATAGTTGTTAGAATAACTATAAAAGAGATAATTTAACAAAAGTTAAGGACTCACAGCTCACATTAAAATGCAAACATAGTTGCATCCTGTTAAGAAAACAAGTCCTGAGACAGACTGGGGATAAAAGAGTAAGCTTAGTTCCAGCAGGCAGAACTAACACAATAAAAGGAAGGATTGCTCTATCAGTCTCTGTGATGATGCGCTATATGGGAGTAAAAAGGGCATTTTATATTGACATGGTAGAAATTCTAACAATCAGGATCTTTTTTCCTTTTTACATCAAACAACATAGCACAAAAACATTCATTCTCAAACTATCGTAAATGGAAAATTTAGCAAAGTCATTTCCATAGTAGGTAATGTCAATATGTCCCTTTCCAAAAATTTTTACATTGTTGACTAAAGAAAAAATATAATGAATTTAAATAACATAATAAACAGGTTTCATTTTCTGTACAGCTTTATAAACAGGCAACTTTGAACTAATGTTATTTTTCAAATATTCCTTCGTTGTTTTTTTTTTTTTTTTTTTTTTTTTTTTTTTTTTTTTTTTTTTTTTGAGTCTAGAATCTCACCATATTTCATGGCTCACTGCAGCCTTGACCTCCTGAGCTCAAGTGATCCTCCTATAAATATTCCACAATTCTAAAAACAGGTGACAAATTACATCTTGGAGGAAAATCAGTAAACAACCTTGAGAATATTCCACATTAATAAGTGTGTGTTGTAGACAATTCCTAGCTTTAATTTTTGGCTTATAAAATAAATAGGGCAATTATATCTAATCAAAATCACACTGATATTTATGTGTTGGGGTAGGTTAGATAAGGGGAAATTGGACAAATTGATTCTAAATAATAAAATGGGGTACAATAGCAATTTATACTACTCTTTGAAAAGACAATAATTGTGGCAGAGTATATATAATATAAAGCTACAATACCTAAAACAGCATGGCATTGTTATAGGGTTAAACAAATAGATCATTTAAACAGATTAAGGGTTACAGAAACTGACATGATGTGCATAGGTATGTGCATGTGTGTTAAAGATGGCACTTCAAATTAGTAGCTTTAAAAGGATAGTTTACGTAGTGTTTATAACAATTGCCCATTTATTTAGAAAAGTTAGCTTTTTCTCACCATATCTCAAAATAAATGGAAAAGATCTATAAAACAAAATAGATCCACAGTCATTTACACACACACACACACACACACACACACACACACACACACCCCATTTGTATCTGTACCATGAAATAGTTATAGAATAAATGCAAAAGGAGGAAGTATTTACAATGTGATCCTTAGGGGAAGAGCTATTCCTTTATGGTTTAGGATAAGTATCATAGAATATTTTGGAAAACTCAATGACTTTGCACACAAACTCCATCTATTAATGTCTGAGACAATCTGAGATGGAAAATGATGCTTTAAGTAGTAAAGATAGGGATGTTCTTTCGAAACATGTAGTCAGGGCCAGGTGCAGTGGCTCACACCTGTAATCCTAGCACTTTGGGAGGATCACTTGAGCCCAGGAGATTAAGACCAGTCTGGGCAACACAGCGAGACCTCATCTCTACCAAAAAGTTAAAAATAAACAACAATAAAAAACATGTAGTCAGTCGTGTTGAGGAAACTGATGATCGGCTGTGAATTCCTCAGTCACCAGAGGGAAAGAAGCATCTTTTGATGTGGTATTCTGTTAAGAAATGCAAGCTGCATTTCAGTTCACAACCTGTGTGTTTATGGTAGCATGACATGGTGACTGGGAGTCACCTTAAAAAAGGAAGTCATATATACTTTTACATGTGTCTGACTTCTAGTTACGCTTGGACTTTTTTTTCTAATACGAGTTTCCCAAACAAAGTTAAAAGTATAGTTTAGTTTGAAATATTATTTGTTTCTTAATTTTTTATGCGTGCTCTCACATCTGTGCCTCTCTTTGTGCTCCAGGTATGCGGTATCATTTTGAGTTGTAAAAGGCTTAATATTAACATGATAATTTAAGAAATTGACAGGGGCACAGTCTCTGCCTTTCTACCTTTTGATGGCCAAGGATCTGTTTTAGGCTTTTTGAATATTGCTAGTTCTTGGCACATAGTATTGCTCAAGGAAAACTCCGTGATAGGCTTTTGCTCTTTTTATTAGTGTTTCTTAATGACTTGTTTTAGGTTCTAGGTCTGTGAAATCTTTGATTATCTATTTTGTCAATGCCTAGAAATGGGGAGGAGGGGAGCACTAATGATTTCACCACAAATCCAAGTCCAATGCTCACTTTCATTTTGGGCTTTCTCAGGGTTGATTTTGGAGCAAACCATGGTATATCAACTTTAAACCACAGGAATGGTAACTGTGCATACAGTTATGATTCTTTTTCTTTTCCTGCAGGAGATATATTACTTCTGTCAGGAACTATATGTGATTTATACAGGCTTACAAAAAATAGAAGACAGTTTCTTTCACCTCTAATGCTTAACATTGCTTATAACGTTGCAGTCCTATCTATGACTGGCATTTATTCATCAGTTATTGTGTGAAACTCTTTATGTGGATTATCTTATTTAATCTTTACAATGTCCATGACTTAGTTCAGGCACGTCCAATATCTTGGCTTCCCTGGGCCACACTGGAAGAAGAATTGTCTTGGGCCACACATAAAATACACTAACACTAACGATAGCAGATAAGCCAATAAATAAATAAATAAATAAATAAATAAATAAACAAATAAATAAATAAATCACAAAAATCTCATAATGTTTTCAGAAAGCTTAGGTAGGAATTTGTGTTGGGCCACATTCAAAGCCATCCTGGACCACATGCGGCCCACAGATCTCAGGTTGGACAAGCTTGACTTAGTTGGTGATATTATCCTATTGAAAGGGGAGGAACAAAGAATTAACCTTAGGACACTCCAAATCTTGGAGCCAGCCATAAACTCAGGTTGTCTGACACCAGAATCTGCAGGGCAGATTTTATTTCTCCTTAATGTGACTTAGTATGTTGAGGGGGGAAAAAAAAAAGCTAAGCTACATATATAGTTTCAGGTAATACAGTATGAGTTCCATGTTGGAGGCTGATAAACTATGACTGAATTTTTTTTAAATAAACAAGTAATAAAGAAATCCAGGGTTAGATGCCATCTCATTAGTCAAGATAGTGGGAAGAGATCTTGTTGATTTTTTTTTTTTTTTTTTTTTTACATTGCTCATGGATTGATACATAGGCTTTCCTAGAACACGCGTTTAGTACCATTGATTTCCATTAACTACTGCATGGACACTTCTGTCCTTTCCCAGCCCAGTGACCAGTTTTGCAAATACTTTCTCCTGACTTGGGCTGCTCCCACCTTCTTCTTTTTTTTTGTTTGAGATGGAGTCTCGCTCTGTCTTCCAGGCTGGAGTGCAATGGTGCGATCTTGGCTCACTGCAAGCTCCACCCCCCGGGTTCACACTATTCTCCTGCCTCAGCCTCCTGAGTAGCTGGGACTACAGGTGCCCGCCACCATGCCTGGCTAATTTTTTGTATTTTTAGTAGAGACAGGGTTTCACCGTGTTAGCCAGGATGGTCTCAATCTCCTGACCTCATGATCCACCTGCCTCGGCCTCCCAAAGTGCTGGAATTACACGCGTGAGCCACCGCGCCCGGCCTGCTCTCACCTTCTTTGCCTGTCCATACGGACGCCAACTTCTAATCCTACTGACTTCTACCTATCTCATGAGGCTTACCCTAACCGGAACTAGTGTTCTCTCCCATTTTGTAGTTCTTTATCATATTTGTCTTTGTTCGTTTTTATTTGTAGAATGCATTTGTCTTGCTTTATTAACAAAGTTCACTGATGTCGGCTCACTGGAGCCTCCGCCTCCTGGGTTCAAGCGATTCTTTTTCTCAGCCTTTTGAGTAGTTGCAATTACAGGCATGCGCCACCAAGCCTGGCTAATTGTTTGTATTTTTAGTAGAACGGGGTTTCGCCATGTTGGCCAGGCTGGTCTCGAGCTGACCTTCAGCAATCCACCCACCATGGCCTTCCAAAGTGCTGAGACTACAGGTTTGAGCCACTGCGCCCAGCCACATGCTTAACTTTCAAGAATTCAAAATGCATTCTAGAAAGTTAGTGGGCTTTCCCTACAGAAACCACAGGGATACATTGGGGATTCTTTAGGAACTTTTTTGAAGGTCAGAAGCCATCTTGATAGGCTAACTTCAGAAAGGTTAGAGTCTCAAGTTAGAAATTTAATGAGCTAGAAATTAAGCATGGGCCTTATTAGGTTTATTTTGCTAACACTTAATAGATCAAGTGTAGGCTGCCATATTGTTTGTGTGTGTGTATGTGTGTGTGTGACCAAGTCTCACTCTGTTGCCCAGGCTGGAGTGCAGTGGCTCGATCTCGGCTCACTGCAACCTTCTCGCCCAGGCTCAAGCAATTCTCCTGCCTTAGCCTCCCGAGTAGCTGGGATTACAGGCACGTGCCAACACACACAGCTAATTTTTGTATTTTTAGTAGAGACGGGGTTTCACCATGTTGGCCAGGATGGTCTTGATCTCTTGACCTCGTGATCTGCCCGCCTCTGCCTCCCAAAGTGCCGGGATTACAGGCGTGAGCCACTGCGCCTGGCCAGAAGGAGGACATTTTCTTATATAACTGTGTTATAGTTACGAAAATGATTAAATCGATTGTATTATCAGTTGTCCCAATTAATGTTCTTTATATCATAAATGAATGAGAGAATGAATGAAATACAAGTATGAATAGAATTTGGTCCTGTTTCCAATTCAGGATCATGTATGGCAGTAAGTTCTCATGGCTCTTTAATCTCCTTTAACCTATTACGTTTGTTAATATTTTCTCAAGAACAAATTACTCCAGGCAAATTTTTAATTTTTGAAGGGGCAGATTACTTTGAGAATGTCCCTCAATTTGAGTTTGTCTGATGTTTCTTTGATTGGGTGAGTATTTTGGGAGTTAACATTAGAGATTAATAATTGTGCAAAACATTTTTTCCTCAGCATTATTTTACCAAGCAAAAAATTTAAAAGTCTTTCAAAATGTATTTGGCATCTACCATTCGAATTAGAAAAGGCATTATAAAGCCAGATATGACATTTGAACTTTACTGATAAGAATAATGAACTTTATAATATCAACACAAATAACATACAGAAATGTTCATCTCACATACGGGATAAATTAAAATGGGGAACTTAAGGAAATTTTGGAGTCTCTTTGGAGGGTTATTCTTTTATTAAGAGGTTTATCATGGTTCTTAAATTTAAGAAAAATTTAAGAAAAATTTTAAAACCATGATAATTTCTCCATTTAAAAAATCTTTCTCTTAGTTAAAAATATAAATGGTTGTTCATATTGTCTCAGATACCTACCTGCATATTATTTAATCTCTGTTTGTTGAATAAGTATATTCTCTCTTTAATGTCTATGAAAATTTCTATTCTGCGTGACGCTATGATGGTCTGCTGTCATGGCATGGTTTTTTTTAGAGCTGTCCTAAGGTGCTCATTCATAGCCCATCTTTGTCCCAAGCAACAGCCCCTGCCCATCATATCCAGGTGCCCCTCAATTTATGATGGGGTTACTTCCCCATAAATTTGTCAGTAAACCCACTCTATGTTGAAAATATTGTTATGATGAAAATGCATTTATACACCTAACCTACAACGCTGTAACCCAGCCTACCCTACCTCATGTGCTCAGAAGGTTTACCTTAGCCTTCAGTTGGGCAAAATAATTAACACAAAGTTATTTTACAATAAAGTGTTGAATATCTTATCTAATTTATGGGATACCGTACTGAAAGTGAACAACAGAATGGTTTCATGGGCACCATCAAAAGTGGAAAAATCATTAAGTCGAAACATTGTAAGTTGTGGACCATCTGTATAACCCTCTATCAATTTCTCCTCCCCCATGCAGTGTTTTTTTGAGGAAGCAGAATTAAAGAAGTGGTATACAATGGATTTTTTGTATTGTAAAAATAATGCATATCAACTGTAGAAAATTCAGTCATGTGTAGAAGAAAATTAAAATCACTTGTAATTCTGTGACTTCAGTATCATCATTTTAATGTATTTTTTCATATATATATTTGTGTCTGTGAGCCTAGCCAAAGATAATGTATTTTTTTAAATGATTTTCTTGTTCTGGCTTGGTGGCTCATGCCTGTCATCCCAGCACTTTGGGAGGCCAAGGTGGGCGGGTCACCTGAGGTCAGGAGTTTCAGACCAGCCTGACCAACATGGCGAAACCCTGTCTCTACTAAAAACATAAAAATTAGCCAGGTGTAGTGGCTCACGCCTTTAGTCCCAACTGCTTGGGAGGCTGAGGCAGGACAATTGCTTGAACCCAGGAAGCGAGATTGCAGTGAGTTGAGATCATACCACTGCACTTCAGCCTGGGCAACAGAGCGAGACTCCATCTCAGAAAAAATAAATAAGTAAAAAGATGTTCTTGTCTACCTATTTAACTAATATGTATCATGTCCCAGCCACATATCCTATTATTGTTAATAAATGTCATGCCCCAGGCACGAGTGAAGACTGACATAAATTCCTACCTTGTGAAGCTTCTAGTGATCTTTGAAGGCAGACATTAATTCATAAAAATATGTTATGGAGGTTTTTGATGGGTGTACTGGAAGTTATGGAAGTCCAAAGGGTAAAACTCAATTTCTTAGTCACAAATACTTTCTTGTCTTACATATTATTTTGCTAAGACACTTTATTAGCTGAATGGCATTCCATTGTGTAGATAGATCTTAATTTTCCTGACTTTCATACATGTCAATTTTTAGCTATTGTAATTAAAACAATATCCTCACAGTTAAAACTTGGTACATGATCACAACTATTTTTGTAGGCCATATCACTAAAAGTAATATTTCTAGCTTAAGAAAATGGCAAACTGTAGAAGGTTTAGGTAAGCATTGTCAAATTGGTTTCCATAAATATTGTACCATTTTTTTACATTCACCAGCAGTGCAAGAACATGCGCATTTCACCACACCAGTATTAAATATCATTATTTTTATTTATTTTTTAGTGTTCTATGGCAAAGCAGTATTTGTTGGATATCATTAATTTGAAGAAAATATATGGAGCAATTTGATAACCTTTGATTGATTTGCGAGTAAGATTGAACCTTGTACTTGGAGGTTGATTTATTGGTTTGCTCATCTTTCTTTAGTGAATGGCTTGTTTACATCCTTTTCCTGTTTGATGCAGACTGCTTATCTTTTTGTTATTAATTTACTAGGGATTTTTGCATTAATTTACTAGCTATTTGCTAATAACTCAGCTGGGCATGGTGGCTCTTGCCTATAATCCCAGCATATTGGGAGGCCAAGGTGGGAGGATTGCTTGAGCCCAGGAGTTTGAGACCAGCATGGGCAACATATCAAGACCCTGTCTCTACAAAAAAGAGAAAAAGTTAGTCAGGCTTGGTGGTGTGCCTGGGGTCCCAGCTAGCTACTTGGGAGGCTGAGGGCGGGATAATCACTTGAGTCCAGGAGTTCAAGGTTATGGAGAGCTATGATCATGCCACTGCACTCCAGCCTGGATGACAGAGCAAGACCCTGTCTTTAAAAAAAAAAAAGATAATTCTGTAGATAAGGGCAGATCTTGAGAGAGAGAAATTAATGATTTATAGTGGAGTGATGAAACTTTTGCTGAGTCACGTATTTTGTTACAAAGCCAAAAATCGGCTATTGAGCTCACTCCTATAATTTTATGGTCTTCTATCATTTGTGCACATTCCATGTTTCTTTTGCCTCTCTTCACAATATTTTGTACATTCTCATCCAAATTTTCGTTTGTTGCGGCTCAGAGATTACCCTTCCCATGATTGTTTTTCTGCTGCTTGACACAATCAACTCTTATTTCCTTTTTTATAGATAACACCTTTGCTGCAGATTAACTGTGGATTTGGGCCTATAGGCCAGCTCTATTCTCAGTTTTTTGGACTGTGATTTCGGGAAGAAGGAAAAGGGGGCCATGATGGTGCCCACTTGTGACTCTTTGTCTCACTGCAGATAGAAATGTACATCTTTTCTGCTGTTCTCTGGAGGGTGGGATAGTAAGTAGCTTTCACAATACCCATTCAGCAGGTTCCTTAGCAAAGGTGCCCTTTTATTCTGGGCATTTAAAGACAACAAATGGTAATGGAGAAATGGGCAAAGGAAGAACTGACAGGCTTTGTTGCTGAAAACAATCACTTGAGGTATACACACATGTATGTGCGTGAGGCAGGTGTGCTTGAGTGACATGACTGTGCCCAGATGACATGAGGAGTGAGTTAAAGAAAAGACATTTTTTGCGTTTCTGTAGAAAGATCTTAATTCGAGAAACAGTTGATAAGGTGCAGAATTTGGATGGAATAGCAAGGTGATAGAAAGTTAGTTTCTATTTTACATCAGAATATGGAGATTCCTATACTATCTGACTTTATGAACATTCTCAGTAATATAGCATTTCAAATGATTTTTGAAGAGCACAATTTTTAAAAAACATTTTTCTGCCAGAGAACTAAGTTCTAAAAGCTGGCATTAATTTCTGTCTATGTCAAAAGCCAAATGGATTAATAGTGGAATATCACATGAAACATACAATGTTTCACATCAGTGTTCTTAATGATAATAATGACTTAAGACTTGGTAAGAAAGCTGAAAAAGATTATTCCCATTCTGCAGTTGTTATAATAAATAAACTATCCCCTGGAGAATATGCTCTTCTTTAAAACAGGTTCAGAGTTCAGCAATCAGAAAATATTGCAACTTGATTAAAATTTTTCTTCATATATGCAGCCAGCTCCTTATCCTGATCTTTCAAGTAGGAAAAATATGAGAATTGTAAGCCTTGGTAAAATGTTATGGAAATGTAAAACTCAGTAAACACTGAAAAGGCAACTGAAGATTCAAATCAGAAAGTAACAATTAAGAACCTTCCAGAGTTGAAGCAAGTAAGCATAGTGAGTGATGAGACTTAGGTGTGTCCATAGAAAGAATATTCTTGTTTTCCATTTTTTCAAATGTAGCTTTTCCATGCTTATAAGTACTGATTGACAGAATAATTTTTTATTTCAGCAACCTCCAAATTTAAAGTCAAGGGGAACTATGATGTGTATTGATGTTGTTTTGTATTTTAAACATCAAAATTTACCGTACTTTATATTCTTGTAACAGATTTTATATTGAGGTAGTGCAGTTCATTCACACATAGTCATTATTTCGTACTCTGTAAATGTTTCAAGGGGCTGGGCACGTAAGCCCAATACTTTGGGAAGCCAAAGTGCGTGGATTGCTTGAGCCCAGGAGTCTGAAACCAGCCTGGCCAACATGGTGAAACCCCATCTCTAAAGAAATACAAAAATTTGCCCGGTTTGTTGACATGTTCCTGTAGTCCCAGCTACTCTGGAGGCTGCAGTGGGAGGATCACCTGAGCCTGGGGAGGTCAAAGGTGTAGTGAGTAGTGATTGTACCACCGCATTCCACCTTGGGTGACAGAGTGAGACTGTCTCAAAAAAACAAACAACAAAAACACTTGTTTTGAGCTACATGGACCAAAATAAAAAGTATATTGAATATTCATGTTTATAGAGCAAAGCATGTATATAAAGATACTTTTGTATCAAAGTATTTGATATATTTGATCTTTTTTTGCCCACAATACATTGGTTTTATTTGAGCTAAAATTGTTCTCTGGGAATATTTTATTTTATTTTATTTTTTGTTATGGGACAGAGTCTTGCTCTGTCGCCCAGGCTGGAGTGCAGTGGCATGGTCTCCACTCACTGCAAGGTCCACCTCCTAGGTTCACGCCATTCTCCTGCCTCAGCCTCCCAAGTAGCTGGGACTACAGGTGCCCGCCACCACGCCTGGCTAATTTTTTGTATTTTTAGTAGAGATGGGGTTTCACCATGTTAGCTAGGATGGTCTCGATCTCCTGACCTCGTGATCCACCTGCTTCGACCTCGTGATCCACCTGCGTCGGCCTCCCAAAGTGCTGGGATTATGGGCGTGAGCCACCACGCCCAGCCTGGGAATATTTTAAATCTAGTTTTTATGATGAGCAGGCTTAAGGCTTTATTTGGACTTTGATCATAAATGTATTTACTTTGCATAGTTAACATGACTATTACTCTGTATTTTTTCAGATTCTTATTTTGAGTTCTTCATTATATAAGTTTTAATTTTTTTTTTAACCCATTAGCAAGTTTATTGTAATTGAAGTGTTACTTGTCTTTAAAAACTATCAGGCCATCCTTTGAGATAGCACAAAGATGTCCTACCATAAAATGTTAACTTTACATATTTGTAAATTAGAAACATCACATTACTATGGGTCTAAAGATTTATAAATAGCATATTGCTTATTTTATGATGATCTAAAAAATTCACTTACAGATAGTGTACTCTCAAAATGTATTTTATCTAATTGAGACATCTGAGATTGCATGTTTATGCCCCAAATTCCTTGCATTCCAAATTTCCTTGAATTCCAAATTCCTTGGGTTGATTTTTATTCTTATTAGGACATTTTAAAAATTTGGTAGGATGCAGTCACCTACTTTTTTTGTGTTATTGAACATTCTGTAAAAGCACAATCTGTTTAAAGTATATATTCCTACATATCTGTGTACCACTGTATTTCTTATTCTTCAATTATAATTTGATAAGTCAAGCTTGAATGACTAAACAGATGCTGGAGAAATATTTCAAACGTGGGAAAAGAGGAGGAGAAATAGGTTGTAGGACTAGATGTGCCATTCAGTTTTTACTTGAAGAGCCTGTGCCACGTGTCTGTTATGTGGTTGGAGCAAGAGTTTGTGCTTGAACAAGCATCCTAGCCTTACTGATTTGGACATGACCAGTATAGAGATGGTGGAAATCTTGGTCATGGGCGGGATTGCTGAGGAGGAGGAGCTCAGAAGGCTGAGTGCTTCCTCTTCTGGAGTGTAGGCTTTCTTAATGATAGGCTGTCATCTTAATGCATTTTATTCAGTTCTACATTAAGCTTTCATTTCTTCCTCTGTTTTAAGGGAGGTGAACAATAATTTGTATATCCTAAATGTTTTTTATTTTAAAAAGTCTTCCTTCTATGCTTGGTGACTATGAAGTTAAATCTTAACTAATTAAACAAGATTACCTGAATAATATTTACCAGCTATATTATGTATGCTACAATATTGTGGAAAAGTTTTCTGTGATGTTGTATATCTCTACTTTGTCTCACAGATGTTGATGTTAGAATTCTTTAGAGGCTCTCTGAACCCATATACCTTTTTCTGCTGATTTTGTATGATCAGGATTTGTTATTTTTTGTGAATAAACACCATTAGTGAACATTAAATATATTGATAACTTCAGAATTTCCTCATAAAAAGGGAGATAAATGAATTATATTTATTTATTTTTACTCCCATTGTTACTGTTTTTCTTGTCGTTTAGAATATATGATTACACCAAAAAAATCCCGAACTCTAGAAATCTACTAGTCTTTAGTCCTTCCACTACATTTTCCCTCTATCTTTCTCAAATCTGATTTAAGTTTGGTTCAATATTGAATAATTGCTACATAAAAATATTAACAGCTGGTTCCAAGAATCTTCTGGAGTGGGTGCAGATGTAGTGTTTTCATGGATCTTGCTGTGGAACCTTCATGGAAATATTTTGCCTCTTATGATTAAGGAACTGCTCATTAGCAGTCTTTAAAAATAACTTTGAGAAAGAAACATTGGACTATAATGTGCTGTGCAATTTTGTTCCCTATTAGAAAGCAGAAGATGAGGATATTGTTCTTACACCTGATGGCACCAGGGAATTTCTGACATTTGAAGTCCCACTTAATGATTCAGGATCTGCAGGCCTTGGTGTCAGTGTCAAAGGTAACCGGTCAAAAGAGAACCACGCAGATTTGGGAATCTTTGTCAAGTCCATTATTAATGGAGGAGCAGCATCTAAAGTGAGTGTCAACTTTATCATGCGTATGCCTATTAACAAAAATTTTAATTTCAACCCTGTTCCTATTTTGGAAACATATACAGTTAACAGAAGTTTTCTCATTTCTTTATGGTACCCACATTCACATTTAAACAACTAGGTGTATCAGTGATGTGTCACGTGGGGATGGAGTCCATAACTTCAACCTTTCATTTTTTCTCTCACAGAACATACAACCCATTGACATGCTAGTTAAATGAAGTTAATCAATGCAAAGACTTGGCATAGGTCCTGTCACAGAATGGGCGTATAGTAGACGTTAATCTTTCCCCTCCCCTCCCCTGTTTGTGGGTCACTTACTCTATTTCTCAGCCTAGAGAAAATTTCCTGGCCATTTGTTAAGGGGACAGTTCTCTGCAACTGTCTAATAGCCTTGAGCTTTTACATGTCTTGGTTTCTAAATAACCTCTATGGGTGTTTCTGGAAGCAAGAAAGTAATCACTTTGTGTCCTTTGAATTAGTATGCTATTTTGGTAAACAGATTATGATAATGACTTGATTTACAAATGTATAAATGATTGAAATAGACACAGGCTACAATAGCTGCTTAGACGTTATTATGCCAGCGTTCAATTGGGCATAATCCATTAGGATTAAAGCTCCCCACTTTTTTTTTTTTTGCTTTGTTTTTATTTTATTTATTAACTAAAGGAAAAGCTACTTCTTTTATAGCAGTCTGTTTAATAGCACTTATTTTTACCTGTTTTCTTCCCAGGATGGAAGGCTTCGGGTGAATGATCAACTGATAGCAGTAAATGGAGAATCCCTGTTGGGCAAGACAAACCAAGATGCCATGGAAACCCTAAGAAGGTCTATGTCTACTGAAGGCAATAAACGAGGAATGATCCAGCTTATTGTTGCAAGGAGAATAAGCAAGTGCAATGAGGTAAGAAATGCAAAAAAGTGCTAGTATCTAAAATTGTAAATAAACTACATTTCTGTCCTAATTTTGGGCAAAGGGTATTAGGTTCCAGGACCTTACATCAAAAGACCATAAATTATCTTTGCTTATTGTAGTTTTATTATTTTGTAGGTGGATTGTGGTTTGTGTTCTTAATTCTTGTGATCAACATATTCCTAAGTGGACATTAATACTCCTATTGCCAACTCAGCAGGAAACACTGGGATCTCAAAAGCCCCTTTAGCTGAATTTTTTCTTGAAATCAGGGTCACATCTTCCTTCTCAGAGCCAACAGTTTCTCTTCTAGTTGGCAGAGTTATACCTGGGAGGTGAATCATGCAGAGAAACAGTTGCTTATTCATTTATTTAAAATGGGATGCCTCTTACAAAGCCCCTAGTAGGGAACAGTCTTTCCTTCCCTGTCCTTTCTTTTTTATTTGAGACAGGATCTCACTGTGTTGACCATGCTGGAGTTCAGTGTTGTGGTCACAGCTCGCTGCAGCCTCCATCTTCTGGGCTCAAGGGATTCTCCTGCCTCAGTCTGCCAAAGTCCTGGGATTACAGGCACGCGCCATAGCACCTGGCCCACAGTCTGGCTTTCTTAGATGATGGTGTTCTCTTGTGAGATTATCAATAGCATATACCTCCCTCTCTTTCCTCAGTCCCCATTTTCTCTTTCTCTATGGGATTGAGTCTGTTCTCTTAGAATGCCTCCTTTTTCAGTGATCTGTATTGTATTATACTCTGCTTGTTCTAAATGTATGTTGCAGTTTGGAATTAGGGGTGAGGAGGACACAGGGCATCCTCTCTTGAAAGGTAGGATCATCTATTTTCCCAAATATGGAAAAACATACTTTGTTGTATAATAGGACATTTGAAAGTTAAAAATAAATTATATGTTGCCTTGATAATATTGGAGCTTGAAAAAAGCTAAATTTCATGGATCCATTATAAATTATGTGCCAACTGTAGAAAATAGGTCAGACTTGCCCATGTGCAAAATGAGCTGTTGAAAATGTGAAGTTTTTCTTAAATCAATGTTCAGATTCCCACATTTTAAGATCAAATCAACTAAGATAAAATGATTAGCAAATAATACAAACTGAAAATTATACCTAAGTTGTTTAAGAGTTTTTCTTAATTTTTAAACTTCTGTTTAATAAACACATAAAGCACCGTTTTCAGGTTGCAGTGACCACTCATCTGAACCTATGATACAAGCATATTTTACAGAGAAAATATACTCTCGAGCTCAGTTGGTAGTCAATATAGAGGTGACGTATTCTGAAAGATCACTGACCACTGAATTATTTTGTTGTTTTTATTTGCCAAATGTAGAATGAGTTAACAGTAATCAACAAATTAATTGCGATATCAAGAGAACAACATAACCTTAACTAAAAAATCTCAGAGTGGAGAAGAGTGGGACATACAAACATTCATTTATGTAAGATAAATATAAAAGCTAATCCCTCACAGTAGGATGCTGGACTGATATTTTTTTCTCTTTTCCGTCCCTCCTGGACTGATTGAATAGTAGTTTTTACTCATTGCAAAATCATTAGCTGATCTTTTAACTTAAGTCCCACAAAGCACTATATGAAAACATCTCAACTGTAAGTTTACAAAACATATCATTCTCTTTTAGGCCTTTTTATTTTGGCCACCTGAATACTTTCCCATTACACAGGACAGTTTTCATTCCACAGATATTTATTGAGCATCTTATGTGTATCAGAAAATGTGTTAGATCCTGAGGACATAGCAGTGAATAAGACAGATGGCATGCATTCTACTGGACAACGTATCACCTTAGTCTTTTAGAGACCAATTAAAATTTTTAACACCTTCTCAATGTTTTCCTTCACAGAAAACATTGAATGCTACAGGAGGACTTAAAATGCAGAAATGAACTGAAGATCAGTGTTCTGCTTTTATCTGATTCAGATTATTCCCTATTGTTCCCCCCAAATAGTGACAAAGTAAACCTGTACCTGCCTGAAAATGTTTTGATAAAAGCACTGATTTTATTCCCTGTAAGAGATGTGAAATTGGAATCCCCCTGAAATATCTCTGTGTTTTATTCACTTCTCCATATGAATTTTTGTGAATGAATATGATTTAAGTAAGGAAACAGCTGCAGTAGACAGTAATAGACTTTAATATTCAATATTCCTTATGGTATCATTTTCATACATTGCTGGTTATTACTATTTCTTAGGACAGCATAAGCTTATAAAGCAATTATATCAAAAAATCTTATGAGTGCTGTGCTATCTTTGTAATACTAGCAAGAACCCTTTTGTACTGATAGGGTTTAACTAAAGAATTACATGAAGACAGAAGATCTCAATTCAGCTTCCAGTAAGGTATAAGACATGATTTTTCAGCTGTTGTACTTATGCATTACCTTAGGAAAACCTTCTCCTTTGCACACTGGGAGGGTATGTGTAAATTATGTTATAGTAAATATTGATATAAGCACAGGGCATCCTGCTGTCCTGAACAAATCTCAAGCCAAAATAATGTGCTGAGTTTTCTTTCTAGGTCTTTTAATCAGCTGTATAGTCCAGTCTTTGCCAATCAGAAAACTGTATTTTGCTATCTCATCTTTAAATCCAAGGTTTGCATATTTAATTTCTAGTTAGGGAAGGTAAGAATGTGTAAAAGAAAATCTTTTGTTCTTTGTCACATTTTTCTTTCTCTTATACATGGAAGTGCTGTGTATTATCTTAATATGTCTTCTTTATTTTTCATTTTTGTAGAGACACGGTCTTGCTATGTTGTCCAGGCTGTTCTCCAACTCCTGGCCTCAGCTTGCCAAAGTGCTGAGATTTCAGGCATGAGCCACCTCACCTGGTCCAATGTGTTTTCTTTAAATTTATTTGTCAGCTCCCTTCACTAGGTATTATGTTAAAGCCCTGTATTTCCCTAACATTAGTCGCGACAGGGCACATTGGAGACATTCTCTGGGAGCTATTTCTTAGCCTATTTTGCTTAGCCTTCCAGGAATCTGCAGGCACTATGTCATTCTCAAAGTGTCTCCTATGTACTCTCTCTAGTTTTCTGCTACCCTACTCCGGGTCTTCTCTAAGGGTTCCTCTTTTCTGCCTGTTCTTTCATTATTCCTGTCTCTCAAAGTTCCTCTGGGTCTGTTGTCTGTTTTTTTGTTTGGTTTTGTTTTGTTTTTTTTTTTTTTTTTTTTTTGAGACGGAGTGTCACTCTGTTGCCTAGGCTGGAGTGCAGTGGCGTGATCTTGGCTCACTGCAACCTCCGCCTCCCGGGTTCAAGTGATTCTCCAGCCTCAGCCTCGTGAGTAGCTGAGATTACAGGTGTGCGCCATGCCCAGCTAATTTTTTGTATTTTTGGTAGAGATGGGGTTTCACCATGTTGGTCAGGCTGGTCTCAAACTCCTGACCTTGTGATCTGCCCACATTGGCCTCCCAAAGTGCTGGAATTACAGGCGTGAGCCACTGCGCCCCACCAGGTCTGTTTGTTTTTACTCTGCTCTTGCTCCCTAGCTGATCTCCACTCCCTTGCTGCCTGAAACCACTTGTTAGGATGAATACTATCATCCTCTTTCCAGCTCACAGGTCCACTCTGGCACCAGATCCCTCTGTCCACCTGCCTAGGGAAATATTTCCTGGTATGTCTTATGGGCACCTAATTCACAAGGCACCACATTCTTTCTGTTGTAGAAGGCAGAGATCTGGGGTCACCCTTGACCTCTCAAATGCTGTCCCTATCCCTGTTGCCTGTTGCTTCTACCTCTAGAATTTCCCTCTTTTCTTTTTTGGAGACAGCGTCTTGCTCTCTCGCTCTGTTGCCTAGGCTAGAGTGCAGTGGTATAGTCCCCGGCTCACTGTAGCCTCGACTTCCCATGCTCAAGCAATCCTGCCACCTGTCTCCCTAGTAGCTGGGACCACAGGCATGCACCACCACACCCAACTAATTTTTCTTTAAAGATGGGATCTCACTATGTTGCCCAGGTTGGTTTTAAACTCCTGGGCTCAAGTAATCCTTTGGCCTCAGCTTCCTAAAGTGCTGGAATTACGCCTGTGAGCCACTGCGCCTGGCCTAGAATCTCTCTTCCTTTAGCCGCTCCCCTCTTTCCCCTCTCCCACTGCCTGAGTTCAGACCTCATCCTCTCACCAGGCGCACTGCTGCAGCTCCCTGAGGGTTTTCTCTGCAATCAGGCTTTCTCCCTCAATCCATTCTCTGCACTGCAGTCAGGCAAATTTTTCTACAGAACACATTAATCACGTCAGTCCCTGCTGAAATCCCTTCAGAGGCTTTCCATGTCTCCAGGATCAACCAGTCTCCATCATGGGGACCACTGGGACATGCCTGATTGTCATCGGTGCCCTACAGCCCCTGCAGCACCTCTGCTCTAGCCACTCAGTGTTTCTGGTAATTTCTCAGACATGGGATGCTCTTTTACACCTCTAGGTCTTCCACTTGAGTCTATCTGCCCCTCATCCTAGCAAAGACTTAACGCAGTCTTTCATTTTCCATTTTCTCTTCCAAAGGATTTTCATAGCCCCGTGTACTCCCCTTCACCCAGCAGCTGTCACACTATCATGGTTTCCTCTTTGATTTTCTTTTGCTGGAATGTGGATTCTGAGACTGCCAGGGCTTGGTCCATCTACCACTTTCCTGTGTATCCTTTGCTGGTATCCAACCCAGGCCTGACACATCAGCACAGGCTGAATGACGAAGAGCAACCCTGGAGAGTCTGGCTTTTTTTTTTTTTTGAGACAGAGTCTCGCTGTGTTGCTCAGGCTGGAGTGCAGTGGCGTGATCTCAGCTCACTGCAAGCTCCGCCTCCCGGGTTCACGCCATTCTCCTGCCTCAGCCTCCCAAGTAGCTGGGACTACAGGTGCCCACCACCACGCCCAGCTAATTTTTTGTATTTTTTAGTAGAGATGGAGTTTCACCGTGTTAGCCAGGGACTGCAAGTGCCTGCTACCATCTGGCGTTTTTTTTTTGTTTTTTTTTTTTGAAGAAAGACAGGTCTTGTTAGTATTAGAAACTGAAATTCCAGAGTCACCCTCAGACAAGGCAAACAAAGTGATTTTGAGGGCAGTAATTTTTATTTCCTTTGCTTTCCTTCTTTTCTTAGATCTAATGGTTTTATCTAACTACACTTAAAAACATTGTATAAACCATCATTGTTTGTTTTCTTTTTTCTTTCTTCAAAGAAAAAGAGATGGCTTCCCATTGTTTAAAGCCCTTAAAGGATGATTTCACTTTTTTAGAGAAAAACTGAGTCCCTGCATTCTTTTCCATCGTTTCAGTTTTGGAATACACAAAGTAAGAAGAGAAAAATTGTTTTCACTTACCTCAAAGGACACATTTGTTGAAGACTTTTATTTTTTATTTTATTTATTTATTTATTTATTTTTTTATTTATTTATTTATTGATCATTCTTGGGTGTTTCTCGGAGAGGGGGATTTGGCAGGGTCATAGGACAATAGTGGATGGAAGGTCAGCAGATAAACATGTGAACAAGGGTCTCTGGTTTTCCTAGGCAGAGGACCCTGCGGCCTTCCGCAGTGTTTGTGTCCCTGGGTACTTGAGATTAGGGAGTGGTGATGACTTTTAAAGAGCTTGCTGCCTTCAAGCCTCTGTTTAACAAAGCACATCTTGCACCGCCCTTAATCCATTTAACCCTGAGTGGACACAGCACATGTTTCAGAGAGCACGGGGTTGGGGGTAAGGTTATAGATTAACAGCATCCCAAGGCAGAAGAATTTTTCTTGGTACAGAACAAAATGGAGTCTCCTATGTCTACTTCTTTCTACACAGACACAGTAAAAATCTGATCTCTCTTTCTTTTCCCCACATTTCCCCCTTTTCTACTCGACAAAACTGCTATCGTCATCATGGCCCGTTCTCAATGAGCTGTTGGGTCCACCTCCCGGACGGGGTGGCGCCCAGGCAGACGCGCCCCCCACCTCCCTCCCGGACGGGGCGGCTGGCCGGGCGGGGGCTGCCCCCCACTTCCCAGACGGGGCGGCTGCTGGGCGGAGGGGCTCCTCACTTCCCAGACAGGGCAGCTGCGGGGCGGAGGGGCTCCTCACTTCTCAGACGGGGCGGCCGGGCAGAGACGCTCCTCACCTCCCAGACGGGGTGGCGGTCCGGCAGAGACACTCCTCACATCCCAGATGGGGCGGCGGGGCAGAGGCGCTCCCCACATCTCAGACGATGGGCGGCCGGGCAGAGACGCTCCTCACTTCCTAGATGGGATGGCGGCTGGGAAGAGGCGCTCCTCACTTCCCAGACTGGGCAGCCGGGCAGAGGGGCTCGTCACATCCCAGACGATGGGCGACCAGGCAGAGAGGCTCCTCACTTCCCAGATGGGGTCGCGGCCGGGCAGAGGCTGCAATCTCGGCACTTTGGGAGGCCAAGGCAGGCGGCTGCGAGGTGGAGATTGTAGCGAGCTGAGATCACGCCACTGCACTCCAGCCTGGGCAAGATTGAGCACTGAGTGAGCGAGACTCCGTCTGCAATCCCGGCACCTCGGGAGGCCCAGGTGGGCAGATCACTCGCGGTCAGGAGCTGGAGACCAGCCCCGCCAACATGGCGAAACCCTGTCTCCACCAAAAAATACAAAAACCAGTCAGGCGTGGCGGCGCGTGCCTGCAATCCCAGGCACTCTGCAGGCTGAGGCAGGAGAATCAGGCAGGGAGGTTGCAGTGAGCCGAGATGGCAGCAGTACAGTCCAGCCTCGGCTCGGCATCAGAGGGAGACCATGGAAAGTGGAGGGAGAGGGGAGAGGGGAGAGGGGAGCAAAAAAGAGTAACTTTACAGTGGAGAAAGCTGTTGACACTCTGTTGAAGATTTTTAAACGAGACTGGAGTGGAATGGAAGTAAATGCCAGGCATCATTCCTTGAGTGTTGAAAATAGCCTCTATATGAGAATTATGCTGAGTTTTAAATATTTTAAAGACATTAATATTTGTAGAAATTACTGTAATTTAACATAGCTTCCAGGCATTTTATTATATCCATGTTAGAAGTGATTTTATGTAAAGCTTTTTCTTAGTGCCAGTAGAGAATATCGCCAGGTGAGCTTTCTGTCTTAGACCTCATATTGGGGGATTTAGTCATCAAGGACTTCTTTAAAATGAATTTTTTCTCTAGGCTTAACCCTCTTAGAATGAGAAAGGTATATTAGAATAGGAAAGGGGCCTAAGGTATCATTTATGAATCTCTTCATTTTCTGTATTAAGAAATAAATGCAAAGAGGTCAAATGATTTGCTTTAATGGCTGCAAGGCCAACATAGGTGGCAAAGTAATTTAGAAGCAAAATGTCTGTTTCTCTTACACAAGTGAGTGGATCTAATTGACTGTGATTGTGTTGTTCAGGCACTTTATATCCCAGTTGCGTTGGGAAGTAGTGTACAATAAAAGCATGGGCTTTCGAATCTGATGTAATCGGAGAAATTCTGGTTCTGCCATGTGCTGACTTGAGGAGCTCACCTCACATTTCTGGTTCTTGCCATTGCCCTCATGGGGATGTGAAGGAAAATAAATGTGGTCCTGTTTGAAAAGAGAATGTGAAACTGTGCTCTAAATCTTCCTTCACTCTCCTCCAAAACTAAAATCTGTGTTTTCATTAGTTGCTTTATGTTCACCTGTCCTCTGGAAGCTAATATTTTCCAGAATGTATATTTGTAATCTAGGTTAAATGTCTTTTAATATCAACATCATGGCGTGTCCTCAGTTTTAACAGCCTATTTCCACATAATGTAGTGTGTTTTAAGGAAATTATGACTCACTCACTTTTAGGAATGAATTTACTAATCTAATTATTCCACCAGTGCCTGCTCTACGCTAGGCATTGGGGATAAAATACAATATGCTAAAAAAAAACTGAAATATTGAATAATATGATCTTGCCAATCACCAGTGAGAATCCAGTTTTAGGTTTGTTGAAGGGGGTTTAAGGCCATTCCAATACGAACTTTTCAGTGTTTGTAGTGGAGATAGTGGGATACATTTTCTTTAGGTGAAAGACACTATTTGGCTTGCTAATGCATACTCACAACAAACGGAGATTTTATTAAACCCCACAGATAAATTCACATGAATTTTCATTATTCACTTAGCTTATTATTTCCTTTGGGATAGTGACCACAACATGAAATAAAGGCCTGTTCAAAGAGTTAAAAATAAGATTTTTTTTTGCCCTGTGGTAATATATTTCCAAGTTACTGTAGCAAAAGACTGTATCACTTTACACTCCTACCGAGTGTGGGTTATCTTGCCGCAACCTAAAGCTATTTTTGTTCTTTAATAGGTAGAAAGACTTTCCTTGGGATGGAACTGAGGGGCTAAACAGCCACTGCTACAGGGGACTGTATTTAGTTGGAGTCAAGAAAATTTTTGCACATTAAACCACAAATAGACAACAAAATGAAAATCGCAGTTGTGCTTACTTTGGTTTCTTCTTCTAATGAAGCTTAATTCTACCACCCCCCCTCCCCCCCCGCCAAGATGGAGTCTCTCTGTTAGCCAGGCTGGAGTGCAGTGGCGTGATCTCGGCTCACTGCAACCTCTGCCTCCTGGGTTCAAGCAATTCTCTGCCTCAGCCTCCCGAGTAGCTGGAATTACAGGTGCCCGCCACCACACCTGGCTAATTTTTGTATTTTTAGTATATTTGGTGTTTCACCATGTTGGTCTTGAACTCCTGACCTCATGATCCACCCGCCTCGGCCTTCCAAAGTGCTGGGATTACAGGCGTGAGCCACTGTGCCCAACCGAAGCTTAATTTTAATAAGGTTTTAATATAAGGAGCCTGCAAGGGGGTGATAGCAGGCCTGGGGGAGCAGAGGCCAGCCATTCTCCCAGGACCACTGGGGTTGCCTCTCTTCCTCAGTGCCGCTGGTGCCCCCTCTGACACATTTCTATTTCCTAAGCTGGTGTTCTTGCAACAACAAAAAATCATCAAAAGATTTAAAACAAAACTGTAACCCCAATCAGTTTTTTTAAAAGAAATTAAAAGCCATTGTATCTTCTGTTAAATATTTATGTAGTCAACTATTGATGTCTTCATTTAAATCTGTCTTTTGAGATGCAAATTAAATATGGGTAGAGAGGTAGGGGAGGTGGAGAATCTTTCCTATGAAAATGTTCAAGTGCTTGGTTTTTTTCTGAACAGACGTCTTACTGTTTTTCTCTAGAAAACCTGCATGTACTCCTTTTTAATGGAATTTTTATTTGGCTTTATAAAATTTTAAAATAGCCTTTTGGGATATTTAGGGATTTCTCAAGAAGAAGTTTTATAAAGGTTTTATCATGTAGAAAATTGCAGCATTATACAGTTCAATTAAATACATTTTTCAGGCAACCTTGAGGATATGTTGTCTGTCTTTTGATAAATTATTGTATAGTAAACAGAATTTGTTTATAGAGTCTTGTATAGCAAGTCTTTATGTAGGTATACTTTTTAGTGTGTGTGTTAATTTAAAAACCATACTTGTTCTTAATGGTATAGAGTATTCGTTTTATTAGCTTTTTTTTTTTTTTTTTTTTTTTTTTTTTACTTTCCCAGAGTCTCTTGGAATTTAGGCATTACATTCTTTTAGAAACTGTTCTTTTATTTCTTTACATCAGAGACCTTGAATATTTAATTTACTTTTCAGTAAAGCTGTCAGTTGTAATCTACAATTTTAAAAAAAACAAATGAAACAAATCCTCGTTTCACAATTTAAACCTTATTGAGTCTAATTCACTAGAGCTGCAAGTTTATTATTCTCCTGCAGTTTGATGTGCCTCCAATTGTAATTGTGTTGACCCTTCAATGCATTAAATCTCCCCAGTGCTTATCAAACTGGGAGAGATAAGTCTACAATTCGAAACTTCATTAAATATCTCATTTATATTAAACAGATGATAGCTTCTAACGGAAATAATAATTTGTTCAGCTGAAGGAAGTGCGACAGTTGTGGTTTCATGTGTGAGAGGAGCGCCTTCTCTCCCGCTGTGCTGTGTGATGCTGCCCTCCTGCCCACTCCCCCACATTGGCCCTTCCTGTCTGTCTAACATCAAAGCATCATGAGATACCAGTCCTTGTGGTGAACCTCACAGTCTGCGTTATGAGGATTGTAGTTAAATGTTCTTTCATTAAAACAGATTTGTTTGAAGGCCTTACTAACATGAATTTCTTACTCATATTATTTTTATGTAAAATATGACTTATTAGACACAGCTAGCTGTTTTAAGAAATGCCCGATACATTTTAATTTATTGTCATCGAAATTGACATACATTCATTGCTTATTTATTAGATTGTATATGTTTTTGAAATCCTCCTATCTTGGTGTGCTTTATTAGAATATTTGGTCCCGATTTTCATATTGTTCTGTACACTACTGAAGTGATTATTGCAGCTACTATCTTGTACTTAAACATTACAGTAAAGATAATACCATGATTATTCTTAATTTCTAGCAGGAGGAATTTAAAATCAGTGTGTTGTTCAAGACATCTGAGCTGATATCTTTAGGTCTTGTAGAGTAGGTAATAATTCCACCAGCACACATGGAAAAATGTGTGCTAATTGTTAGATGTATTTACATACCATAAGTTTAAGACCTATAGCTAAATTGCAGCTTCCATTCTGATCAAGCACGCCTTTTATAGAGTAACATCTAGTAAAGAATTCTGAATTACACTGTAACTTAAATTGACTTAAACAGACACTAACGGTCAAATTGGAAAAATAAACAACAAGCTCTGATTTTAAAAAAGCCTTAAATATACATATTTTTCCTCCAGCGGTTGAAATCTGACAGAACTTCATGGGAGGCATGGTATAAAGTGGCACAGAAAGTTGGTCATTAGGCAGAGCTGTCATCACAAATTATTTTGGTACAGGGTGAAAAGTTCTAGTTCATTTGGTACCCAGTTGGATACAGGCCTCGGGCAAGTTGTTATAATTCTCCCATGCTGCTAATTGGCCTCCAGGTACTGATTTTTCTTTGCCCCCATACCCGTTACTCTGTAGCTGAAGTCACCTGGGAGCCCCCCTGGACCTGAGCTGCCCATTGAAACAGCGTTGGATGATAGAGAACGAAGAATTTCCCATTCCCTCTACAGTGGGATTGAGGGGCTTGATGAATCGCCCAGCAGAAATGCTGCCCTCAGTAGGATAATGGGTGAGTCAGGTAAAACTCTGTTTATCACATCTTATTTTGATGCTTTCATTGGTTTACTGAGAGGTTATTGGTGTAATATTAATGTACTATTAGTGTAATATTAATGTAAATAAAAATATTAATGTTTTCAAGACAAAAGAGAACAGGTTTATTAAAATCATTCAGGAAGTGTTCATGTGAAGAGGTAAATCAATCCATTGATTTAAGTGACTTTTAGATCCTGTAACATGACGAAGCAACCAAAAAGAAAGGGATCATATGGAAATGTTTTCTAGTGATCAAGATATTCTTTACTTACTTGAGATAATATGTGAAGCTATGTTTAAAAAGAAATCAAAATTTAATGGCTTGTGGCAAAAAGGATTCAAAAGTTACATATCATTCACAGTGGCACTGCCTGGAGGGGGAGAAAAAATATTTATATACAGATATATGCACACATATATAAAATATTCACATGTATCTGGTTTGTATTTAATAGGATGTTACTGTATTTTAATTGTATTTTACTTTTCTGAAGCTTTAGTTTTAAAATCGCGAAACTAGTCTTCTGCATCCTTTGTTTGGATTCAGTACCATCCTATCTGCATGGCCCCCAGTGGGTAATGAGGTTATTAGCACTTGCTTTGCAGCAGTTCAGCTTTCTACTAACAGATCCAGTTCATAAATTCTTGCTTTGCCACAGGAGTGGTTGGATTTACTGAGCTGCTCATCTTGCGATTAGCTTGTGAGAGTTTTCAAATTTAAAACACAAGAAGCCATTTTGATTAAAATAACACCTGACATAAAACACTTTTATTACTGGTATATTTTGCAAGGCTCTCATTTAAAGTAAAACCCTAAATTTAACTCCATTTTGAGTACATTTAATGCAGATTTAATACAATTCAAGTTTCCATTATGGAGCCTCATTGAAACAGTAATTTATTCATCAGTGGGTGTTTATGGAAAGCATGCTATTGGCAAGACATTGTGTATATACTGTTGCTGTAGATACAAAGATGAGTAAGAAGCAATCTCTGCCTTCAAAGAACTTTCTACTGGGCATGATCAAAAACATACATAAACATGTCTAGTAGAATTGTCTGTTTTTCTTCCTCTAATCTCTCTAGCTTTCTAGTTTAGAAAAATTGCTGAATATGTAATTTCTTATCTTGTTACATGTGGAACTTAGACAAGCCAGCTTTCTGGTGTTACTTTGTCAACATTTTTCTTTTTACATGCTTGGCGTAAGTGAATGTCAGGGAAGAGTGCCACACCTGTTGGGTTGAACACCTGTCAGGTGAAAGGCTTTGTACATAGTTTATCACTTTCAAATCTTTGCTTATTACTTACCACTCTCTTCACTGCTGTTGGATTTTCTGTACTTTCTTGGCTTTGGTATAAATCTTTATCTTTGTTAAATTATTTTTTTGTTGATGAAATTTCAGTCCCCTTGAGAGAGAGAGAGTGTGCATGTGTCCCTAGATATTTGTGCACACAAAGTGATATGCTGTAATTTCCCCTTTATTATAGGAACATAGGACTTGCCATACTGAATCAGACCATTGGTCCACCAGTTCCTGTAACCTGCGTCCTGCCTCCAATCCCTGATGCTTCAGAGGAAGGCGAAAAACTAAAACTAAAACTCAAACCAAAAAAATCCCTAAATTCAGCTAGTGACCTTTTGAAATGCTGTATATATGAGTTGAAGAGTCATTCATTTTCTTCCTAGTCTGTTGCCCCGATTTTGTTAGCTACAGCTTCATTAGTCCTCTTCGGTTTGCATTATAGTTGACATTGTTTCCTCTTCCTTCTGCTAGATATGTACTGAACTCTTAAAACTCCAGATGCTTCCCCAGGGCAGTAACTTCTCTCCCAGTTCTGTGTTTTGTGATGTGTATGCCCTTTTACCACTTTGGGCTGGGGGTGACAAATGCGTTACTATTTAAGGGTAGGCTAAATTGATGTTTTTATGATTTGGATATTTTCTTAAGATAATTTTTACAATTTGTAACGGAAACTAGGGATTCTAAATAGTTTTACCCTGACAAGTATATATGCATATTTTGATTCATCTTGTGTTTTGCAAATTTGAAAATTCCTCACTTTTTGTCAGTCCTTATTCTAGTATCTTTGGCCGTAAGAATCAAATGCAATTTGTGAAATTAGTTACCACTTAAAGTTAGAAATCCTGTTCAAGACGTTACCTTGCAAGAGAATGCCCAAACAAGGCATTAGGAGAGGTATGGGGCAAAAAAATTAGGAAACTTGACAAATCACACCGTTTCTGAACCAAAATTCGGATTTATGTTTTTCTGAGTCATGAATTCCATAGTTCCAAAGACATTAGGACTTTGGATTTCCATTCGCCTAAACCAATAACAACAGTGTTTATTGATTTGCACAGTATCTAGGCGCATAGATATTCCTCAGACTGTTTGGTTAATGATTGTCTTCTATATGTTTGGAATCACTCCTTTGTAGACATTAGTGGAGGTTGAGGTATTTACTTCATGATCTGCTATGATACAAAAGGAACTTTGTATTGAAATTCTGGCTGATTACCTTAGGGAGTTATTAATTTTATGTTAACAGGTTGAATTTTCATATGGAGTAATCCCCTATGTAGGACTCTAGGCTAAACGGAGCTTTGAGGCTTTGTGATGCATTCCTATGTGAACACATCCCTGGCGAAAGGCTTTTAAAAGATACACCCCAAAAGGAAGAGCCTTTAGAGTTGAAAGGATGTCAGATGTCATCAGTCACACTTTCCCATTTAACAGATGAGGAACTAAGTCCTGATATCCCATGATGTTTTTTGTTTTACTTTGTTTTTGGCTATTTCCTTTTTCTAAAAATAGCCCTCTCTGGGGAATGCTGAGATCTTCATTCTTTATTAGTATCAATTTATAATTATCTACATCTGTAAGCAGTTATTCGAAAGTCTCCAGATCTTATTCTATCCTGGCACCCATGGTGACTAAAAAAATCAAAGACGTTAAATCTTTGAAAGCAGCCTTCAAACCACATACTCCAGCCAACTTACCTTATATGTCGGGGAGTTATGGAGCAAATACATTAATTAACTTGACAGAAGTTGCACACTTTCTGTACTTCTGAACCAAAATTTGGATGCATGTTTTTCTTTATCATGAGTCACACCTGATTAGGATTTCCTTAGCTTTTGTTGGGGTCAGACAGGATTGTGACCAAAGGCAAGATTTCTCTGTCATCTCTTTTGACAGAATTTCCACAATCATGGATTTTGTAATAGTCCTGGACATTCATCAGAAAGTAACCTGTAGTGGGGCTGCCTACATAGGATTCTTCCTTTGAAAAGCCTTAAACATTTTTCTAATGGTTGGTCTCTCTTAACTAACAATAAAAAACAGCAACAATGCAGCTGGGCACAGTGGCTTATGCCTGTAATCCCAGCACTTTGGGAGGCCCAGGCAGGTGGATCAACTGAGGTCAGGAGTTTAAGACCAGCCTGGCCAACATGTGAAACCCTGTCTCTACGAAAAATACAAAAATTAGCCGGATGTTGTGTTGCACACCCGTAGTCCCACCTACTGGGGAGGCTGAGGCAGGAGAATTGCTTAAACCCAGGAGGCAGAGCTTGCATTGAGCTGAAATCGTACCACAGCACTCCAGCCTGGGCAACAGAGTGAGACTCCATATCCAAAAAAAAAAAAAAAAAAACAAAAACAAACAAACAAACAAAAAAACCAGCAACAGGGATAGTCAGCATAACTAATTTAACCAGCACATCCATTTCGTAAAAGACATCACACATTGTCATTTGTAAGCCTGGGACTTTAACTATTTCTCAACTTTTTTAGCTGAATAATTTTTCTTTTTAAAACAAAACTGAAATCTGTTGTATCCATTTTAGAATTTATCTCAGTAGTTTGTATATTCATATATATGTGGTGAGTTTAAGAAGACGTATTTAGAACATTTTTATCTTGTTAGCAATTTGACATAGAAAAATGAAACATTAATGTTTTTATTGTGAGTCATGTCACTGGCACAGTTTTCCTCTAGTATCATGTGTGGTGTTACCTTCTATGTAAATTTGCCAATGAATAAATGTTTAGTAAACAAACATTTTGTATTTCATTGTTTCACTCCTCTACAAGATACTGACTAGTTTACTTAGTTTGTAGGTCACTAGTTAACTAGTTGAAGATAGAGGAAAGTTTACCTATCAGAAATAAATTGAAGCCTTCTCAAGTCATAGAAGGTTTCACATTTATGATGTACCAACTACTAGCAAACATAATTAAGGGATCATTGTATTGTCTAGGTGCAGCTTAGTAGAATATGTAAAGTTTTTTAGCTGTCCATTACCCTGGTATAATCTTGGAGCCATAACCCAAAACTATATTCCTGGCAAGCATGTTAAGAAGTGGAAAATATGGGTTTTCAAATCTTGTGGAAATACTAGCCTTTCAAATCATGGGTGAGAAAAAAATGCTAAATTATTTTCTTACTATGAGGAAGATTTCTTGCCATTTATCTATGTATACAATATTGTATCACAACAGTTAAGGTATAATATTTCTACTCAGAACAACAGATTACAAAAAAAATCATATGCCCCTTTCAGTGTTCATATTGCTTTGTTAGGCCATCTCTCAGAATATATTGTGTAAAACCAGAAGTTTTAGTTTTGTGTTTAAAAATGAATGCACTATGATTATACTGTAATATTTTCTTTTAATAAATTATGCCCGTGTGAGTATTTGGTATTTAATATTGTGACATGCCTCGTCAGTGGTGAGTTGTCCATTGGGGTGACTGGTTTTATAATTCTATATACTTTGAAGGAAAAAAGTATGTCTTGAGAAGGAAATATTTCTTGGCTAATAGTGCTAGAAAGTCCCACCTTATTGATGAATGACACTTTTGCTGAACAGGTTTCTATCCTAATATTCTAATACTGTATTAGAAATAAATGAGTAATTTGAATTCAGGTAAGGGAAATGGCTAAGTATTACATTTGATTTACATTTTTATCATTAGCATTTATATAAGCTGTTAATTTTCATAGTTTGTCAAAATGGGTGCATTTGAAATCAAAGAGAAAGTTTTTCTTGGTAACGTGCTGAGAAGGGGTTTCAGTGAACTTACAGTATTACTACAATAGTGTAGTTGATGTTAAATGAGGAATGCAGTTGAAATCCCCAGCAAGTTTACTTTTTGTGGGTTATCCTGAAAAGATGTAGCAATTTAAATAAATTTTTCTCCTTTGCTGAAATGTCTAGAACAATACAATACAGACTTTTAAAAATCCTTCACGCTTGTGTATGCCATCCCAACATCCTCAGTCATGGCCTGAAAAACCTCTGGCCACTCAGATCCTAATTTTTTGCATCAAGATCACTCCAGGTATCTCTCCTTTTCTAGGCTTTGTTTTTGGTAATACTCATCTTTTAAGTTTCACCTGACTGCATCATGGGCTTTTCTCCATCATGCATTTAATAATGATGTTGTTGCTATCTAAAATAAATATCATCATTTCTTCTGGCAGAAAAGATCATATTGACCATTTAAAACCTAATTCTGATGTTAACTTTTGCCAAGATTTCCAGCACTTCCTACCCCCAGTAACCCAGGCAATTACAACACAAGTGAATGGCTTTGGACTCATCTCTACACCACCATATAATTATCACTGCTTGTAATTCTTTCTCCTTCACTAGGGCATACGTCCTTTAAGGACAGAGACTGTGTCTTGCAGTACCTGCTCTGCAGCAGTTGCTCAATGAATGAATGAATAAACAATGCAAGTTAGTGGGGCTTCTTTGTAAATTTCCTGGTAATTTTTCAAAGGACATTCACAGTTTAGAATGCGTGTAGCATTTTCACATTATAAGACATTTGAGAGAGTATCTTTGGCTTTAGGAAACTTCAAACCAGAAAAATTGCATGCATTGCCCTGAGCTATATAGTTGTAGCGTCAGAGGTAGTAATAGACTCGAGGTCTCTGTTTGACAATCATTTATGAAAAATAAATGTGCTAAATTCTGTTTTGTTCTACCAGGTTGAGCAGATATGTGGAAAATTAGACTTTTACTAATATAGCAAAGTATTAAAATTAATAGATGTAACACTTTGATCGATGTCTAGAATTTTCTCTTCTTCTTTTTTCACTGGACAGGTAAATACCAGCTGTCCCCTACAGTGAATATGCCCCAAGATGACACTGTCATTATAGAAGATGACAGGTTGCCAGTGCTTCCTCCACATCTCTCTGACCAGTCCTCTTCCAGCTCCCATGATGATGTGGGGTTTGTGACGGCAGATGCTGGTACTTGGGCCAAGGCTGCAATCAGTGATTCAGCCGACTGGTAAGCTCATCGTCCAGGGTTGGAAAACATGAATTAATTACAGTCCCATTTTATGTTTAAGTGGCTTACTGCTAAATACAGTTAATCATTTTTTTAATAGCTCTGTCTTCATGGTTTTTATATACTTATCACTCTTATAATAAAAGATTATACCCGAACTCTGTAAATTTAATTGTTTTAGCCTTCAAGAGCTATAGTTAGTAATATAACCAAAACAATGACAAAACTACTACCAGTCAAAAAACCGTGCTCATTTGTTTTTCACTTTCACTTTATGATTTATTTCACATCTGTGTTAATTTGATGCATTGTTTTTTAATTAAATAAATTCTTGGTAACTCCCTAAATTGATGGCAACAATTAGATACTTTTGCAAAACTAAGAGTTGATGTGTTCTAAGAGTGGGAGGAGGCTTTTTTTAAAGTGTTTTTTTTTTTTTTTTTCAGAGTGCTATAACCATACTGTTTAAAATGCTTTGTAATTGCTTTTAACATAGTGACTTCTGGGGCACTCCCTGCTATTTTCTTTCCTGTGTCTTTCAAAATAGAAGAAAGCATTTGATACTACTGAGCCAATGTGTGGCTCATGAAGGTGGATGTGTGCCTTAATGTTTATGCCTAGTAATTATATACATCAATAAGCAAAAGCAGAGCTCCTCTTGGGGACGACCTCACAAGGTTGTAGTGATAATTAACACAAACCATGTGAAGTATTGTACCAGAATTTTCTCATTGCCCTTTCTCTGGGGTCTTTTATGAATATATCAGCAAAATCATATTTAAATGTTATGGTGTTGTTCCTTCACCACTTAGCCATTCCTGCTTCCTACTGTTTTTCTGGCTTGTGTCAACATTAAATATTAGATAGGAGGTGTCTGGGGGACTGGCATTTATTTGCGTTAACATTTTTAGTGATGATCTTAACAAAGTGAACCACTCCCCCAATCCTCTTCCCTGACTCTCCACATGAACACACAAAATACAGTTCATTTATCTGTTAATTATGAAGATGTTCTCTTGGAATAAATCACACCTCTTATTTGGGACCTTGAAAAGTTCATCTCTAGCTTTTCATTTCTTTCTTTTTAAATTCTCTTTTTGAAAGCACAGGATTTAAAAATAGAACTACCCTCAAACCTGTATGATAATGGCCCATCTTTGAATGAGGTTTTTGATTAAACATAGAAGGGAAGACTACAATATAAAGTAAAAACCCATTTGAAATCTGCAGATGGTGTTACATTGACTGCTGTGTCTCATATCTCTTTCTGAAAATGAAAGTAGCAACAACAGAGAAAGCAAGGATTAGATAGACGCAGTGTTCATCTTAGGGACAAAAGCCTTTAAATCTCTACCATGATGAGAAATTGTGGAGGTGGTCATAGTCTTTGGGGCATTATAAAGCAGTATATTAGTGAAAATAGATAAATAAGTAGAAGGGATAGATTGTGGCATTAATTTCCCTAAGGGGGATTTGCAAAATGGTGAGGACTTGGATAATTTTGCTGTGGGGAATGTGGGGCAAAGAAAATAATATGAATGAAGGGTTATCCAAACAAGAATGCCAGCTGTTCTGAATCACAGCAGAAAATGCAAGCTTTTCCAGCCTGACAATATCTTCCCTAATCCTTGATGAAAATGCTATGAAAACAAAAGGCCAATAAGACAGGATTAATAACTGGAATTTTAATAACATTAGGGGTCAGGATATGGTTACATTCTTTAAAGAATCAGCTGTCATTCCTGCCATCTAACTTGTTAAATATTCCAGTGTACCGTTTATTGTGTCTGAAATAAGTTTAGTGGGAATATTGATAGGGAAGAATTAATTTTGTCATAGTTTAAGAATATTTAGTTATTTAAGACTCTTACTAATGCACAAACTCATTTGACATTTTAAATTGTACATGTAGTTCACTGCACAGTTGTCGAAGGCCATGTCAAATGGCTAAACTTACTTGTTTACTTATAGAATATACTATTTTCAATCCATTAATCAATTGAGAGAACATTAATAATGTGTTTCTGGGGGAAAGGAAATAACAGCAAAATTCTAATCTTAATGGTAACATAATTTTAGAGGATATAAAATTAAAGGTGCACCAATATGTGGTTTTCAGGCGAGATTGGCAGTGACAATTTGTATTTCTTTGAAAAATCTTTTACCAACAATTTATTTCTACTAACACTGTATTTCAAATGCATTCTGTTTACAAGTTTGGTGCAGTATTGGAGTTGAGGTTTTTTTTGTTTTGTTTTTGTTTTTTTTTTGAGACGGAGTCTCGCTCTGTTGCCCAGGCTGGAGTGTAGTGGCGCGATCTTGGCTCACTGCAAGCTCCGCCTCCCAGGTTCACACCATTCTCCTGCCTCAGCCTCCCAAGTAGGGAGTTGAAGTTTTAAATTATTCTAGAAGAGGTAAAAAGAATTGGTTAGCATGTGCAGAGTGACTGAAGAGATCCACTGACAATATATAAAAGAATTATTGGAAATATATTATTTAGAGTTTGCTGTTGCAAGATTGTGTCATATTTCTTATCATATGGGTTTTGATTTTTTACTTTTAGAAGTGTGTTTTTTTCACTTGGGTGTATGTGCTCTCATCATATAAGCCATTTACACCTAAGCATAGTAGTATGTGAAGGGGCATCTGAGGGTAGATGTCTGTCATCATAATTTGTGTTTGATAATTTGAGATAGTCTTCATTGGGTGATGACTGACTTGTTTAGTAGTTAGCAATTTACATGGGGCTTTCACCTTAGGTTGCTGAATTCTCTTGTTAGCTTTTTAAGTGAATGAGACAACTGTTCTCTTTATTGAGCATATTTAATACATAATGAGCTCAAAACATTTCAAGTCACCCTACCCAGTGGCAGGGCTTTTGCCTGCTATCTTACTTTTCAAACTTTTACCATAGCTCTTTAAGAGCCAACTCTCATTTCATGCACAGTAAATCGCAACTAAATTTCTGATGTACATCCAAAGGTTGACTGTTTTTTTACTAGTATGGATGATAGTTCTTATAAGGCCATAAAGGGTTGGAAAAGCTTGCTTCCATCAGAAACATGAGGAAGACTATCATAAATTCAGCTGACAGTGGAAGGAGCCCTGGGCATTTTTAGTGTGCTCAGTTAGCTGTAGAGGGATGTTCTCTCACCTGGCCAGATAGGCAAGGTGGCCGGACCTGATATAGTAGAGCTAGTATACTTACTTACCCAATGTGCCCAGCACAGAGAAAACCCTTTTCATATTATGAACTGTGGCTAGAACACCTTATAGCACTTTAGAATGTGTTCACAGATTTTTACAAACAGGAGTGATTCTGGGACATCTTCAACCACTTGCGTTGGAGGAACACTTCAGAAGGCATCCTGTTACCAGGGATTTGCCATATGCTTCCTTATCATGCCCGCTTGAGCCACTGTGTTGGTGTCACCCAAATCAAATGTCATCTAAACTTAGTCATTTTCTTCCTGATTCTCATATACTGTTTATTCACTCATCTATGCATCCTCAGCATCTGTTTCAGACTTCTGGTTTAGTATTTTTCTTATGAGCTCATAGAGTACAGGGAATCTTTCTTATCTGTTATTTGGATCTACGTACCTGGCACAATGCCTTAATCAGAATAGGTTCTAATAAATGTTTGTTGAATTGATTTCTTTGTTTTAATATTTCAGAGAAACTGCAGCCTTATGAAATGGCATGCCATAATGGCATTTTTTTTCTTTCCTTAAAACACAACATAAAAGATACATAAGAAGGCTAGAATGTACTCTTTTTGAAACTTCTATTTAGTTACAATTTATATGGTCACTTGTTCGCTGCTAGTGTTTGTATATAATATATGACAGGTTTCCTGAAAAATTCAGTTGTTCTAATATCAGGCTCATTTTTTATGATCATCTTGAAATAATTCTGTATTGTCAAATAGAGTGAAGAAACAGAGAGGAAAGTAGAGAAGGAGAAAATTCACATGGAGAAAGAGTTACTCTAAAAGTTAAATTAATTTTGTATTTTTCTATCACTTTCTATACAGCCACAGTTTTTTTTTTAATGGACTGTATTTGTATTATTTAGTTGAATTTTTCTTGAGGAATATACATATGTATATTTACACTTGCAGGTATGTATGAACCTCCCTAAAATGGATGCGTGCTATTTTTAGTAAATATTTTTATTTTTATTTTTTCTTCACTCCAGCTCTTTGAGTCCAGATGTTGATCCAGTTCTTGCTTTTCAACGAGAAGGATTTGGACGTCAGAGTATGTCAGAAAAACGCACAAAGCAATTTTCAGATGCCAGTCAATTGGATTTCGTTAAAACACGAAAATCAAAAAGCATGGATTTAGGTAGTGAGTACAATCTCCATGAATCTTTATCTAAATAAGTTTTAAATGCTTTCAGGATAAAATTGATGGTCCCAAGCAGATGTCTGTTTACTTTGAGCAATAGAGAAAATAAATGTGAAATGTGGCAATTTGGCAAAAATTAGTTTTTCTCCCAGTTTGAGATAACGATATTACTCATAAGTGGCATGTTTACATAATATGCAATATGTTAATATATATGTTTTCTTAAGAGAATGGAAACAAACACATATGCATATCATGCTATGTCCATGTATCTTTATTTTACAAAATGAAATGTTTTAACACTTTGGCTATTTAAAACCAATTTCATTGAAATTGTATTTGGTTGGTTGTGGGATTTTTGAACTAGAAGAGAAAATTTTGGAGAGAAACCATTATCTCAATCCATGTCTAGAATTTGGTTACTTCATGATGTCTTCCTTTCATTGCTGTTCTTTAAGGTTTATTTATTGGAAGCTTTCATATTTTGATAATTAAGGCATTTAATCAAAGTAATAATTTGAGAGTATTTATTATAGAAAGTATTTAGGAGCAAATGAGAGGAGGAAAATAATCATAGTTGTTCAAACACCAATCAGGTAGTGTCTCTTTAAATCCAAATCCACCAAAAAAAAAGTAAAATAATTAATTATATTTATACACTGAATGATTTAAAACCTTTGTTAATCAACTGTAACTTATGCTGTTCTCTGGTGGCTGTTTGTATTCCAAGACTAAAAGCATTAATTTATCATACGCATAAAGAAAAATTTGGTGATGCATTGCCTTGGCTAATTATGATATGCTAACATATAACACACATGTCTGTGAAATGAAATGACTGGCATATTGCATGGAGACACTGCTTTTTTTTCCTCCTTTTTTGATTATGAATGTTTGCTTGATGTTTCATAGTATTTGCATGAAATATTAGCTGAGGATCGTCACCTAACTAAAAAGATCTGGGAATGGTGGAAGCATGGTGGGCTATGGGAACTAACTGGGCTAACTATTATACATTTACCTTTTAACAGTAGCTGACGAGACTAAACTCAATACAGTGGATGACCAGAAAGCAGGTAAGAATGGACAGTTAGACTGTTGCCATAGAAACGATGGCCCACATAGCTTATCACAATTATAGAGCTGCCAATCATATGCCATGTAAACATACATATTCCAGTCTTACGCAGATGTTTTCATTGTGAGAAATTGAATTACATAAGAAAAGAAATATTTTCTGTTAGTAGAAATTTATCAGTGGTGTACTTACTAAATAGTAATATGATTTACTGCTTCAAAAAGGCTAGAAACAACCTAGATTTTCTTAATTATATTCATGTAAGGATGTTTTATCCCAATTTTTAAAAAATCAAAATCCTGCAAACGTGATCTGTTATGGTAGAGTCCTAGGTTTTTAAGTCAGCTATGTGATGTCTAGGTTAACATCCAAAAAGTGATTCTCAGAGTGGTGATTTTGATTTGAAAGATAATAGTGCCAATATAAATGTTTTTCATTGTAGGACAACGTCCGGTATTGCTATCATTAGTCATTCAGAAAGGCATATTCTTTTTTTGATGCTGGAATTAGCTTATAATTAACCTGACGTTGGATTAGACTATATAATGCATATGGCTTCATATCTTAACTTTGTGAGCTTGTTCTAAATTCGTTACTTCTAAAATACTGCCAAATCATTCCATAGAAACAATGGATTATATTGAACTGGGATTGCATTATAGTCATCGATTTTGCTTTTTATGTTATTGTATGACAGTAATCACAGGAAGGTCTTTTAAGTGTAGTTAACGTGCTTTGTATAATTGACCATTTATGACTTATTATAAGTTTGGAATAGTGTTTTAATCTGTATCCAGTATGATGTAGTTACACTACTTAGCACTAATTAGCTTCAATTTGCCTTTTTAACTTGCAGTAGTAAATTAGTTTTAGCTGCTTAAAAAATGTGTATCCCACATATATATATGTAAAAATTATTGTAAACATGGTTGGAGTTATATTCTTTGGAGTATAAGATAGATTGTAAAAACGACATCTAATAAATCATAAGATTAACTGTATTGCACGGCAGTTAACCGTAGCCTTATCCCTTACTGAGTTGTTTGTTGTTCTTATGAAACCTAAAGTTTATTGAAGCAGAGCTAAAGAGAAATGTTATGTGATAGTTCACATATGTAAAATAGTAGTTAGTTTTTACAGTTAGCAGTATAAGCAATAACCCCGATCCAAGTAAACAGTCATAAAAACCAAATTGAGCTGCTCAGGTAAAGGACCTGACTTCATATACAATGTCAGTTAGGTAAAATAAGAAAAATACTTAATTTAACCAACTCACAGCTACTATAAGGAAAAGGACAGTTTATTGTGATCTACAACATAATGATATCCAAGTTATAACTCAGTGCGTTAGATAACTTTCATGGAAAGTCATTACATAAGTTTCAAGGCAGATTTTATAGTCTAATCAAAAATCAAACTGTGCTAGATTCTAGAGAAAAAGAACTTTTTTTTTTTTTTTTGCACTTTGTGCAGTCTATTCTACCAAATTAAATTAGAAAATATTGGGGCAAAAAATTATTACAAAGATGTCAAAATACTTGGTCTGTTGATTTTACATCTAAATGAATAAAATACCTAAAGTAGATATTTTATTATTTCCCTGTCCCCTAATATTAGACAGTGAAAAGATTTTCACTTATTTTTCTTTCGTCACTTCACTTGACTTGAGTTTTCAAGAAAGATTATGATTTTATAGATTAGTCCAAAGGTTTTTGGGAGAATCATAGTGGCATTTTAGCATTGAACATCTGTCTAGCCTAGCCATAAGCCTTTCATAATGAAAATTGAATTACATTTCCCTCTGCCCCTTGCAAAAGACATCCTTTCCTTTCTTTTTTTTTTTTTTTTTTGGCAAGAGGGATATTACTAAGTAGGAATAGGAAACAGATCTAGGAAAATAGTATGATTATGATTTCCCTCTTTTTTTTTCCATATTTAGGAATCTTGTATCATATTTTGGGGATAAATATTTCTCCTCAAATTATAACAAGGGAGAACAGGTATAAGAAGAGAATTGGATTTCTAATGGTTTCATTCTTGAAGTATAGAGATTAGCAAAGTATGCTAATGACCTAAAAGATATGTGTAAAGTAAGAGCTTAAAATATTGTTTTAAAATTAAGACAAAAGATACTAACTTTTATGATGTAAATAAAATCTTTTCCATATATTTTATGTACAAAAAGACTTTTTCAATTTTCATTACTAGTAAAATGCTGTTTGTATTGTTAGGGAATCCTTTTAATTTTTTTTCTAAAGACATTTGACTGAATCAATGTGTTAGGGATTTTAATAACTTCGCTGAGAAATCCTAACATATCATTCAAAACCTTTGTTATAGTTTCTTGGTCAAATATAGTACTAAAGTGTATGTTACTCATATTATAAATCGAATGTTAGCAAGCTTTTTCTGTAAAGGAACAGATGGTAAATATTTTAGATCTCTGTTGCAACTTTTACATTCTACCATTGTTGAATGAAAGTAGTCATAGACAATATGTAAATACATGGGCATGGCTGTGTTCCAGTAAAATTTTCCACATTTGACTCACAGTTTGCTGATCTGTGTTACAGGTTCAGAAGTTGTAGATAATTGACATTTTGTATAATTTTTTATTGTAAAAGTTTTCATCTATACATAAATATACAGAGAGTAGTTCATTGACCTTCCACAAACCCAGGGCCCACCATCCACAATGGTCAACAGTTTGCCAAAAGGTTATTTCAGAGTGTTATGAATTTAGGGAAACAAATAGGTAGGTATGCTCTGAATTGCACTTACAAAATTATCGTTTATCGAATTATACTTTGACCATTGTTTTTCTTTCCAAGTTTGCCTGTGTTTATGCTTAGGGACACTCAATTTCAATGAATACTCATGCCATTTCTGAAATTTATTATTTAAGTTTTTATTGCTGTCAGTACACTAAGTAAAATCTCAGCTAACTTTACACAAAGAAAAGCTTTATATAAATGGTGTTTTTATGAGAATTTTTTCTGGAAGCATGAAATCTTTATTCATGATATATACTCACATACAAATACATACACACATACACATATCCTTAATAAACTCAAGAAAGCACCAAATATTTGCCCAATACATGTGTATGGAAGCCAAATATAGCTGGTAAATTATGAAAGTTGATAGACATTTATTCACAAAAGGATCTTTCCAGTGCTAATTCTAGGAACTATAAAGGTAAATATCCCTGCCCAGGAATGATCTTTTCCCATTCTTTTTTATTCCTTCATTTCTTATTATGTAGGTTTTTGGAACAAAATTCATTTTTCTTCCCATGACATGACTTTTATGAGTAATTTAGAAAATGCAGTTGTCAAAAATTGTAGTGCTGCCCAGAGAAAAAGTAAGATGGATCTCATTCAAAGAAATAAATCTCATGAACTTTTGTCATAAAATAAAGAAATATAGACAAACCTGCACTGAGAAAGCTAAATATGACATCTTTTTCTTTCCAGCACAACAATTTGTGGAATATTATTTCTTCATTAGAATCATGTGTTTGCCTTCCTGTTTGTACTACATTTTAAACATATCTATTCTTACCCAAAATAGCTTCATTTAACATCAGTGAATCTTAAAAAATTAAATTTTGTTTTGAGTCTTTCAGTGTAATTTTAATTCTATTTTATTTTCTGAGCTGTGAAAAGCCTATGTCACAACTATTTGTCTTCTGGGTAATAACATGATCAACATATGGGCTGATGACCCCATGCAGAGATAAACTATTTTGTTTCTCCTACCCTCTATTTTTTTCACCTGTCTTTTTAACTGTATATATGAAGAACCAGTTCTATAACCTGGATTGCCCAGGTGGTGGTGCAGAGCTGGTATTTCAGTCATCCGGAAGCTAAATTAGTCTACCTTTGAGTATCAGGTCAGGCAGTGATGGATGAGGCTGTCTTACCTGGTTAAAGAAATCAGTTTTGATTGCCTTCCACAACTTGGTACTATTGGTATTATCTTGGGTCCTTCTGCCCTAGATCCTCAGGAAATAGAGCCAAATTTTTAATTCCCGGAATTTGTCCCTGTCATCCTCATGAAATGTTCTGGTTAATTGCTAAGTCGTCTTTCTTCTGTCCATCACCTGTTTTTCAAACATATTGTTCCCAGGCCTAGAGATAGAAGTACTCATATCCAGTCTCTCCTTTTTTATTTCCCTCTGAGAGAGAGCCCTTATGTAATCTGTTTCCGTTCAAAGCTTGTGTTACTCTTCCTATAGAATATCCATATTTCCCAGGGTTGGGTTTCTGCCTGCTGCCAGGTTGCCCTAACTGTTTTGGTGACATGTTGGCCCCCGTGGTCTTACTCCTTATGCAGTGTTGTGGGTCTGCAGTTTAGCAAGGAAGAGACTTGACAATGCACATTGATGTGCATGTCTAGCTTCTGTTCTAAAGAATTTTAAATTGCCAAAAAAAAAAAGGTTTTAATTAAGTGCAAAGCTTATTCTTGGTTGTTGACCTTAGCCTTCTCCTCATCTTCCCTTGCTTTTCAAATGAGCTTCCAGGTTATTCTGGTTCTTTTAGATTATTCCTATTACCGGAGCAAAACGATTTGACAACAATTTCATCTGTTGAAATTTTTTTTAAAAAGTAATGACTTAGAGTTTTTCCTAATGCAAAGAGAGAAAATAGACCAAATCTAATATAAGTTTGGGAAAAATAAAAATTAGCAACTATTACTTCATTTATTCTTTGTCTTTTCCATCTGCATTCCAGAACTCATCATTGAGCAAATAATTGTTATGTACCTGAAGTTTTCGACAGTGCATATTCAGGTACATAATTTTCACTAATTCACACTAACATTTTTTTTCTTGTAAACCTCCCAGGTTCTCCCAGCAGAGATGTGGGTCCTTCCCTGGGTCTGAAGAAGTCAAGCTCGTTGGAGAGTCTGCAGACCGCAGTTGCCGAGGTGACTTTGAATGGGGATATTCCTTTCCATCGTCCACGGCCGCGGATAATCAGAGGCAGGGGATGCAATGAGAGCTTCAGAGCTGCCATCGACAAATCTTATGATAAACCCGCGGTAGATGATGATGATGAAGGCATGGAGACCTGTAAGTTTATAATGGCTGAAAGAATAATAATTAAAATTAGACTCTATTTCTTAAAGTGAGCTCCAGGGAGCCCTGGAGTTTTCTAAGATTCTTCAGGGTAATCTCTGAGATCTCTGAGGTCTAATAATCTCTTATTTCATAATAAGACGATATTATTTGCCCTTTACTCACATTCTCTTATAAGTATACACTGGGGTTTTTTGGAGGCCACATGTCCTGTGATACTGCATTAGATTGAATGCAGAAGCAGATATGAGAATCTGTCTTACAGGCCAATATTAAACTAAAAATTCTGAAAAAATATTTAACAGTGCCATTGTTCTCACTTCTTTTGGAATATATATATTTTTTGGTAAAAAATGTAATTTCTGTTAACACGAAGTTGCTTGTTTTTAAAAAGTAATATTTTAAAACTTTCCCAGTTTTAATTCAGTACATGTTGCTAGATATAATCCACATATAAAAAAGTTATTTGGAGTGCTTAATAATTTTCAGGGGTGTGAAGTCATCCTGAGATCAAAATATTTGAAAACCACTACTTTGTAGTGTCTCAAATAGGATGTCTCCATTGAGTACCTGTAATAATCTGTGATCTTAAAAACATTTTTTTTTTCTTTTTTTGCTTTCAGGAATTACTCATTCTTTCCTATAACTAAACTAGCAAGCTATATTTATGTGTGTTTATTTTGAAATTGCAAAATATTTAAAGCCAAGATTATTAAAAGTCAAAGGTTAATATGAATGTTTTCCATGGTTTATTGAATAAAAAATAATTTATAGATAGGTACAAATATATCCTTCCAGAGAGTTAAACATTTCTTATATTAAAGTAAACATTCTATTAAAAAGTAATGGAAAAACTCTACCGATATATTTACTAAGAAGCAAAAGGGCTTAGGAGTCCTAATAGTGAAAATTGTTGATTATCTTATATTGCTCATAACTACTAATTTACCTTTTAGTGTTTTAACCTCAAATGTGACTCAACCATCAAACTATTGTACGAATAGTTGGAGGGACCACAGAATAAAACTAAGGCAGAGACCAGAGATAATTTGTGTAGATTGTAAATTACTTGCAATTCAACATTTGAGTGGACCACTTCTATCACATATACCTAAGAAAGACTTTCGTGGGAAGAAGAGTTTTAAGTAATAAAGATCACATTTTGAGAATATATACATATACATATAATGTATATGTATATATACGTTAATATACATTGCTTATACGTATAATGCTTATACATATAATGCGTTTGGGAAGATGAATATTTCTGTCATAATGTAATATGCGAAGCATAACTTAGAGGATTGCTACACTTCTCTCCACCTCCACCTGATTCTCCATCTAAATCCAGGCAGTTTTGTCACTATGATCAGATTCCTCACAACTGGGCCTTTCCAGGCCCAGTTTTTCCCTTTTGGCGGCCTCTCCAGGCCCAGAACTTCCTTAGGTCAGCCTCTCCAGACCCAGTTGCAGCCTCCTGGTGTCCTCTCCAGGCCCACCTCTTCCTCCCGGCTGTGAATATATGCAGCCCATTCTTGCAGGATGAGGAGCATATTTACTATTTTTGCTGCCAAACCTGGTCTCCAAGATCCTGAGTCATATAAGCTTTCGACCCTATTGAGTTTTTTCTCTTTGTAATAATGGTTCCTTGCCATCCTAATCAATATTACTTGACAATTATAGAGCTTGCTTCTCTCTGTCTTGGGTGTATATTTAATCAAAAATTACTATGCTTTGGCCCCTTGATATATATTTTTTAAGTATCTATAATGATGCTTTTGAACTTTTTTCTTGTTCTGGTTAAAATGTTATTTAATTTTCCTTAAAAAATGCAGTTTGCTCTTATAATATTTCACTCATTTCAAATGTAACAGGAGATAGAATACATATGAATATAAGGTATATTTTTAATTCTGTAGGGATAGCCTCCAGAGTGTCCCACCAACATGGACATCTGATTTTGTCCCTATATAAACTTATTTTTTAAAAAACAAAATGAGAAATAACAGTATATTAAAGTTCATTCATGTATCTGTCCTTCAGAGAAAAAAAGTGAAATGAAACACATGGATAGGCAAATTACAATTTGCAAACCAAAGATAAAGTTCTGGACAAGACCTGGGAAATACACGTGTGGCAGGTGCCCTAAAACACGCTGCACCTACAACCACCAAATGTTGTATTTTTCAAAAGTCCTGTTTTTATTATTTTTTGCATACCAGTCTTCTGAACTTTGCATATGGCAAATGAATGGCAACTATTGTAAATTCCAAACTTTTCCAATTTTGGTTGTTGAAATCGTGTTTATAGGGTGGAATGAACACAGAAGTGGAATTCAGGTGACTTGCATCCTCCTCTACATTCTTCTAAGTAATTTGGGATTTTAGTCAAAACTTCAACTGCTTGAGCTTTAATTTCTTCATTTGTAAAACTGAAGATTTGGACTAGATAATTGACTTTCAACTGGTGTGTTGTGATCTCTGGTCAGGAGCAGTACCTCAATGGGTTTGGAGAGTGGGAAAGGCCACCAGTGTCACCTTCCCCCCACCACCACCTTCACAGTTGTTTTACTCACTTCTGTACATGGGGATCCTTTGTAAATTTTAGTTTTTAAAAAGGGTGTTTTTGAGTATTTAGGAAAAAGTTGTAAAAGTTCTGGCTTAGATGGTTTAGATGGTTTCCGAAGTCCTTCCTAGTTTAACATTCCATGATTCTATGTACCCCCTCACTGCCCTACTTCTGGCACGCTAACCCCCTCACCTTTTGCGAGGCCCATGTGGAAAACACCCCATCTATTTCCATCTTGCATTACCAAACACAAAGCTTGGCAAATCATAGAATTAAATAAATGTCTGCCAAATCGATGAGTGGGTGAGTGAGGTATCCCACACTGGACCTTGTATGCACTAGATCTTCAATACTTCAGCAAACTCTTTGTTTTTGTTTAAAAAAAAATTGTCTATCAAATGTGGTGTTACTGCTGGTGGCTGTCAGCTTACATAAAACTGAAGACGCGAAGGCACTTTCTGCCTCCAGCTTTGGAAAGAAGGCTGGCTCAGTTAGCCCTCCTTCGGCTTCCTAACCACACCATTTTCAGCGTCTGGCTTGTGGACCTGCACAGCGGAGTCTCTGGACTTGCTGTCTCTGTGGCTATGCTCCTGCATTTTTGCCCTTCTGGGCTTGTCCCTTAGCTATGTGTCCCCTGGCTGCATGTCCAACATCTTCTATTGTCTGTGCTAAGTGGGCCTCAGGGGAAGTGGGTTCTTTCTTGTCCCGATGGTCCAACTCAGTTACAGCTGCCCGTAGAAATTAAAAAGCCACATCCCCCTTGAACCTGGATCTGAAAAGAGGACCCTCGTCTAGGCAGATGGTCTTTTTGTCACATGGGACATTTCCTGAGGATGCAGTGCACCCTGGAAATGCGTGGCTAGAGACTGAGCCATTGTGGAAAAGCTAGTTATGGAGGTCAGCAGGAACAGAGAGCTCCTTGCACCGTGCTGCAGGCTCTGATTTCTATCATCATGTGGCACTTTTCCTCTTTACAAGTAAGACACATAGGCGTAGGCATGGTTGATTGCTTTTGTCAGTTGGGTCGAGCCCCTCCCCAGTGACTATATTCATGGCACTGAACAGGCTGGCCTCTTCTCAGCAGTGTGGAAATCATGGCATGGGCACAGCAATGGGGCCAAGAGACTGGGGTGGGATCCATGTGGTATCTGGTATCTGTCATCTTCTGCAGCACTTACATTCTTCCTGTGGAGATGGCAGAAGCCAGCATTTTTGTGTCTCATTTAATCCATCTGGCCTCTCCATGTTGTGTGCGTCTGTCTGGATCAAGATGGAGCTTTGTATTCTGGGACCCATTATCTCCGAGGCCCTACCTGTGTTTGACAGGTCAGGGCATTGACAATCTGCTCCCTCTTCTATGCAAATTACATGCCCAGCCTGGCTCTCAGCAAGCGACTTCTCCTCCCCATGATAAATCAGTTTCTATTGCTACCAAGAAAATGCATGCAGTAAGATTGCTTTGTTTTCTTTTAAAAAATACATTAATTCTACTTTTTCGTAATTAAAAGTTGCCAGAAATTGTAAGCCCTGCACTCAGTTTTGTAACAGCTTTTTGTTAAGGTTGAGGAAGTGAAACAGCAAAACTAAATATCTCCTATTAATTATACCTATTGATTTTAAGATATATCAAGTTCAGAATTTTAAATGTGACAAACTTTGTGCCTTGCAAACATGAAGGCATTGTCTTCAAACATGAAGTAGGTAGCTTGCATAATTTCCTATAGAGCTCTTATTAAGAGATAGGAGAAAAGCACTGCTCCAGAATACACATAATTTAGGTTTTCAGTATGAAATTTGAAGAAACTGAATTTACATTATTAAATCAACTAATATGAGAGCTTCTAGGGGAATTTTGTTATTGTTTTATTAGCTATGAAATAACATATTGCCTTTGATATCTCATTTTCTACTCTCAGTATTCTACCCACTTCTAGCCACCTTTCATCACCACCTATTTCAGCAAAAATAATGCAAACTAAGTATAATTTTATCATAAGCAAAACACAGTGGATTACAGTAAATCTATTGTGGAAGAATTTGGGATCAGATTTCAAAGTCAGAGTACTTTGTAAACTGTTTCCTATTTGGTTAATCCATTTTAGTGGATAATTGGATGTTGATCTATAAAAATACTTGTTCTGAAATGCTAAGAAGAAGAATAACCTATCACATCATTTTATGCAAATAAAATGATACATATACTTAACCTGCAGTTTAAGAAAGGGAGCTTCGATTAATTTTTAGGAGGTTTCTGATCATAGTATGGGTGTATGGTTGTGAAATAACCAAAGGTATTCTCTGCATTTCTTTTTCTAGGTAAAATGTAACTTAGCAGAAAGTGCAATGAATATTGACATCTGAAGTGTTTTGAATGATAGAATCCTCATTTCTAACTTTTTTTTTTTTTTTTTTTTAGAAAGAGTGTCACTCTGTAGCCCAGGCTGGAGTGCAGTGGCACAATCTTGGCTCATTGCAACCTCCAACTCCCAGGTCCTGGTTCACGCAATTCTCCTACCTCAGCCTCCCAAGTAACTGGAATTACAGGAATGTGCCACCATGCCCAAGTGATTTTTGTATTTTTAGTAGAGACGGGGTTTCACCATGTTGGCCAGGCTGGTCTTGAACTCCTGACCTCGTGATCTGCCCACCTTGGCCTCCCAAAGTGCTGGGATTACAGGAGTGAGCCACCGCACCAGGCCCCATTTTTTAAGAGGAAATAGTATCTATATATTTGACTAAGATTACACTTAGGAACTGAATCTTAGAATGCGTATCTTCTAATTCTCAGTCCTGTGGTTTTTCTAGAATATGAAACACACTTCCAAACAGAAAGCCCATTGCGCTAAAACTACTGCAGAGTGTGTACCTAAAGTCTGATATTTAGGCTATTAGTTCCTAAGGGCTCGGGGTTGGGGGATGATTCAACCCAGTGGATAAATGAGCACTTGATAAGGAGTGTGGTTCAGTTCCATTGTAGTGTGTAAGTTAGTGTGACACTGGGGAGGGGGTGGTGGTGTAGGGGTGCCCAGCTGATGTGGAATTAGGGAGGAGAGGAAAGTAGAGGAGGAGATTTCCAGAAGAGAGGTATTGGCCGAGTTGAGTGTTACTGCTTGAGAGTCTTCAACTGGATGCACAGAGAAATATGGAACATAGGGAATGGGGAGCCATCTCTGGGCTGCAGTAGTTCTGTTAGGTTGGTGTGTATGGGGCAGGTGAGAGCATAGTGAGGAGTGAGGTTTAAGATGTAGGTGCCTGTCATCCCAGCACTTTGGGTGGCTGAGGCAGGTGGATCACTTGAGATCAGGAGTTCGAGACCAGCCTGGCCAACATGGCGAGACCCCATCTCTACTAAAAATACAAAGATTAGCCAGGCGTGGTGCTGCATGCCTGTAATCTCAACTACTTCGGAGGCTGAGGCATGAGAATTGCTTGAACCCGGGAGGCGGAGGTTGCAGTGAGCCAAGATCACGCCACTACACTCCAGCTTGGGCGACAAAGCAAAACTCCATCTCAAAAAAAAAGATGTAGACAGCAAACCACAGACTATTTTAAATTACTTGCATTTCAAATAAAATAATATGATGGGACTCTGGGGTAGAGGGTGGCTTATTGAGATGGGATGATAAGTAGTAACGTCAGGGCAAGGAGCTAATTTCTGTGATAGTAGTACAATCATCCAGGTGAGCGATGATGCTTGGCAGTACCAGAGCAAAGGAAGAAACTGTTTACGGGCTTAGCGTCTCTCACACAAAGATGGATGATGATGATGATGTGATTTCTCTCATTAGCACTTCCAGGCTCAGAAACTTGGAATCATCATCTCACTGTGTCACCACTCCATTACCAAGCTTTCTTAATCTTTCCACATGTAATCTAATCTCACCCCTTACTTGCAGTCTAGGCCGGACCCTCGTTATTTAATATCAGAAGGTATTGCTAGTGTCTCCCAACTGGGCCTCCTGTCTCTAGATGTGCCCAGTGAGCTCTGCAGTCACCTTCTGACTCTCACAGCCCCTCAAGTGTCCGTGCTTACCCTTGCCTGTGCCATGCGGTGCACACTTCGTGAGGTGTATCTTCTTTCTTCCCCAGCCCTCTAATGTGTGTATATTATACTGTCATCTTCCTTCTCCAAGAAACTTTTCCCCCGACAATCTAGTTTTTCTTAAGCTCCAGCTGATTCTACACAGTGCATCCGAGACTTTTTAGTATAAATTATTTTTTTAACATCAGGAAATTTTTGCGGATCACTCAATATAGATTATGTTTCATGGTAGGTAAGAACATTCGCTTTTGGGAAGCAGGCATTCTGATTCCTCACACACACAAAAGCAAAGTAAAGCATTGCTAGCCATTCACTATTTTATAATCTCTAAACATTTTTATGCTGTTAATTTTTGTGTTTCACTCAAAAGAGTCTGAGCAGTGGCCTGAAATCTCTTTCTTTGACCATAAATAATAGTTTGTATGTTGTTCAAACAGACGTTGTGTACGTTAAGCTCACTCCTTGATTAAAATAAAATTCTCAGTGGCAATTCCAACTGTAGGGTTAGGAATGCTGTCATTTCGATTGTGTAGCCAGCCCTTTCGGTCAGAATTGGTTTTTAAAAAGCCTTCAGCTTCATTTTAAATTGTCCCCATGGACAGAAAACAGCATCCACTGTGGGCCGTCATTTGAATGTTAAAATCAGTTGGACACTAAAAGCGAATTTGCGAAGGTTCAGAAAATTGAGGGTGTGACCCTCATTGTGCCTGCTCTGCAACATTGTCTAGGGAAGGGAGGGATAATGGAGGTGACATTCTACCATTATCTGTGGGAGCATTTTACCTGCTTCATTTGAGGGGGATGGGTTAAAGAGAAGTTTAGAATGTCAAGTAAAAGTGAAGAAAGGTTTTTGGTAATAACTCTTTAAAAGAGTGATCCTATTGTTTTTCTTCCTTCACCCACATATATTGAAAGGTTTTTTAAAAATGAAATAGAGCTATTTTTAGAGTAGAGTGTCTGAGGAGTCATCTATTTGAACTTTCTCCCAGTTGCTGAAACCACTCTACAATACCACTAATAAATGTCACCTGATTCCTTCATAGCTTTTTTACCTCCTCACAGTCTTCATCATATCAGTTATTATTCTCACCCCATGTATTAGTCTAAAAGCTCTAAAGTCTTCCTGTTTCATGCCAGCTTTGTGTGTGTGTGGTTTCCTTTTTTTGGTTTTCAGGAAAAGCTAAGTTTTTCTGTTGCCAAGAGCTCATCATTCTAATGTTAAAAGTCAGAGTCCAGAAGAGCAGATCATGTTATTCGACACCATCTGTGTATCACTAGCTGTTCATTTCCTACATCTTTCTTTCTCTTCCAAAGTCAAAGTGTTCCACCAAAATAAGAAATAAAAACAATATTTATGTCCCCAGCGTTCTTGATTCCTATGCAGGAGTTTGCAGCGACTGAAAGTCCAGTCCTCATTTAGTTGTATTATCTTTTTACCTAACACTAACAGAAATTGGTAGTGGTCAGTGGATTTACTAAATCCAGTGAAATTTTCTATTTTGAATGTCTCATTTTAACTTAAAAGTTTTGTTTTAAGAATATAGCTTGTGAAGACTGAGTCACCCTGTGTAGAATTTTTACATTTCATCCTTTATCTTTCAATATAAATTGTAAATTGCTCAAGTATCTGTGTTCCTATTACTAAGTATTCCTAATTCTAAGGTAGTTCATAGTTAAATGGGTGCAACAAAGGGCAGTTCTTCATATTGTTGGCTGCTTATTCAGTCCTTCATTTAATTGCTCAGTGAGTATTTAATGATGCTTCTTGGGGCCTCTCCCTCAGAGGAGAGTATTGTTGAGTTTTAAATACAAAGTAATACTATGATATTTTCGTTTTGTATATCTCTATTTATACCCATTGAACAATTCATTTTAATCTAGTAGCAAATCTAAACAAATTATTTAAATCTAGTAAAATTGCCAAAGCTACCTAAAATGATATTTACTGCTAAATTATACACTTAAGACAAATAACACAATAGATATTCCACAGTTGCTCTAACACTTGCTTTATGCAGTGTACCTTTTAGGATGCTTTCAGCTATATGTAATAGAAAGTGCAACTCAGACCAACTCAAACAATAAGGAAATACATTTTCCTACATAACTTGAGTTCTAGAGTTCTTCAGAGAGATTTCTCCAAAGACCCAACATTTTTCTGCCCCTTCTGCTCTGCTATCCATGAGTCAGCTACCCACAAAATAATTCCATAATTCAGCTATCCATAGGGTAATTTTAGGGCTCAGAGGCCTTTTACTGTCTTATTGCTGTCTAACAGAAGGGAATGAGCCCTCTCCCTAAGCATGGATATGTCCATTGAGTCCAACGGGGCCATTCTTGGTCTGATAACCTTGGACTGGCAAGTCTGCAGGGGTATGGCATCCATAAACTTAATAATGAATTCACCCCTTGGAGCTAGGTTGCATTCCTGGACACAGAGTTCTATTAGGAAGAATAAAGGGAGAAATGGATTTTGGATAAGCGGCCAACAGAAATTATAGTATCAACAGTAGCATCACTTCTCAATGGGGGGGGGAAATAGACTCTAATGACCTTGAGGCTTTGAGTCAACCTTGACTGTAAAATGTTTGTAAAGTTTAGATAGAAATAGATTATTTATGGCAGTAGCTGCAGAACTTTGCACTTCAATGAAAACCCAAAGTCATTTTCTCCATCATCATTAACACGTAAATGCCCGATCTTTTCCAAACTTGTTGGTGATCCAGTCCTAACATGATACCTTTCAGAGTTGAGTGCCTTAATTTGTAACATGGACTAGAATTTTAATTGAGCTCCATTTGCATCTGTTGAAAACATGGTAATTAGGTATGTCTTAATTGCAGAATGACTCTGCCACATTAAAGAGAAATAAGCAGCTTCATGCTACACCTTCTTTAAAAAAAGAAACTTGAAAGTGCCTATCTTTATAGGTAATCACATGGAAACATAGCTGATAGTTCAGTGCATAGAGCAGGTTTAAACAGGCAGAAATGTTGTCAAAAATGGAAATTTCTATTTGTTTGGAAGGAGATAATCATCGCTCTTTGTGTAGGGTATCTGCAAAAGGAAAGCAAATAGTCTGTCAAAATGAGCAAAATTAAAGAGAAAAAAATCAAGAAATGTATATAGCACTTAAAATAGTACATTATCTAAATGTAAATTTATGATTAGTTCTTACCTTGTAATTTGCTGTATGAACACAATAGATCAAGCCATTTATTGCTGATATATTACTAGTACTTTTCTTACTTGAAAAATTGTTTATATGCATGTTCGTTTAAGGGAATAAAGATATTTTATGTACCTAATTATAAAGCTAGTATTAAATGTACAGATTTATTTTAAAACCTAAAATCTGACTAGTACATCAGTGACTTTGAATATGTATATTTTTTTCAAAAATTAAGCATGTGTAACCAATTTATTTGAGCTTTTGAAACTACAATATTTCTGCATAGGAGCAGGATAAAGATTTTTCTCTATCAAATAATTTCAGAATTTGAAGTATATATAATTCAGTACTTTAAAAGAACATCTTATGTTTGTACATATGAAGCTACATATTGCTAAATATTTTTAATTAGTTGGCATTCAAAGGGATTAGTTAAATCAGTACACCCCCAGAAGAGTTTCTGTGATAATGTATTATCTAATTTAGAATGTTCAGAACAAGCATAAAGAATCCTCCAATGTGCAAGTGTCATTTTAAACAGTCCACTGGCTTGGGGCAGGAAACAGAGGTAGGACTTTTAATTTTATAAAATGAGGTTACAAAACCTGAAGCTAATAATTGATTTCATACTACTTTATTTCACATACTTTAGAAAATAAGTTGTGTTACATACACCAGAAAATTATTTTGAATATGAAAAGAATTGGCAACAAACGTGACTTCAGCATATAGTGAGTTGTGAAGGCACTGCCATTATTCTGTTCCCAAGCCAAGAGCCGACATATGCCCCTTGAACTTCTGCCAAAACTATTAGGCAGAAAACTAACAGAATCGCTACTGATAGTTCCATTCATGATTTATGATAATGGTTGCTGTGGAAGACTAAATCATTTACATTTATTGAGCTCATTTTTCTGTTTATAGTTTCAGACATTGTAGAGGGTCGTAAAATCTATTAAATGATGCATACAGCACTAACAATAATAGCATGAAAATATACCAGAAACTAATTAGAGCTAAACCAAATATCATGAGCATTCCTACCTAGTGTTACTGTAGTCAGATTGTGGCTAGTCTTGTCAGGCTTGATGAGAGAACAGTAAGCATTTTTCTAAAGCTAGAGGAATGGTGATACCTGGCGATTAGATAAAGTTTTGGTCAGGATAAAGTCACAAGTCAGTTTTTACCAAAAGTCTTTCATTTATGCAGCCATTTATGAGCAGCTGCTGTTTGCCCCACAGTCTTCATTTGAGGAGCTTAGAGAATGGGAGGGAGACATGTATGTGATATCATATGAGAAGTGCAATAATAAAAGATTGTACAAATAAAGAGCTTTGGAAGTATAGGTGAAAGGAGGTTTCCATGCAGGAATTATACAAAATTCACTAGCTTCCATTTATCTAGTTTGAGTATACCAATAGACCTAGGTTTTTATAGCTCCAGAGAACTTCTGGGAATTGTTCTGTAATTATTTGGTCAATTATCTCACATTTGTGGCCACACCCATATCTCAAAAACCTGAAGTACTGGTTCACAAGCAGATAGAACACAGCCATGTTCAAGGGCATTAAGCAACACACTACAGCCCTGCTTGAGCTATGTTTACATTCTTTGGGGGAGCTCTCATTTGAAAAGGCTGCACATAATTAGTAAGCCCTTGGGCCAACTGCCAGGATATTCTTTCCCTGCTCTGTGTACACCACAAAAAATTATAGCCTGAACTCAGTATTATTTGTAAGATTATGGATTTTCACTATGTCCTTCTAGTTGTAACTGGCTTCTTCTAATAAACGTGCACAATTACTATTTATATCTTAATAGCGAGGAAAAGGAGCAAATTTTCTTAAAAGCCACCATGTCCTTTGGAGGAAGACAATGGCTTACAATGAGATAACTCGCAGTTCAGAGGAAGGCTAACGTTTCTGAAGTCATTTATATGCTTGGGCTGGGTGTGACTCACCCCTGTAATCCCAGCACTTTGGGAGGAGAGGCTGGTGGATCATGAGGTCAAGAGATCGAGACCATCCTGGCCAACATGGTGAATTCCTATCTCTACTAAAAATACAAAAATTAGCTGGGTGTGGTGGCGTGTGCCTGTAGTCCCAGCTACTTGGGGGGCTGAGGCAGGAGAATCACATGAACCCGGGAGGTGGAGATTGCAGTGAGCCAAGATCACACCACTGTACTCCAGCCTGGTGACAGAGTGAAACTCCGTCTCAAGAAGAAGAAAAAAAAAAAAAAAAAAAAGTCTGGGTGCAGTGGCTCACTCCTGTAATCCCAGCACTTTGGGAGGCCGAGGCGGGGAGATCACGAGGTCAGGAGCTCAAGACCAGCCTGGCCAACATAGTGAAACTCTACTACTAAAAATACAAAACTACTAAAAATACAAAAAATTAGCTGGGCGTGGTGGTGGGCGCCTGTAATCCCAGCTACTCGGGAGGCTGAGGCAGGAGAATGGCTTGAACCCAGGAGGCGGAGGTTGCAGTGAGTCGAGATCACACCACTGCACTCCAGCCTGGGCGACAGAGCGAGACTCAGCCTCAAAAAAATAAAAAAAATAAAAAAATTCTGAGCTTTGTTTTTTGCATTATGATAAATAGCTGGCTTTTTAACAAAAAAACACAACTGTGTTACTTGGGCGTAGCTATACCACCATTTGATAGTCTCTTTTCAGATTTGTGAGGGTTTAATAGCAGAAATCTAAGATATTGGGACCCTTTTAGCTGGTCTTATTATACCCACGATAATTGTGTATTGCTATTGAAAGTGCTCCTTGCTGGTAGAGAGGAAGGACTGAATTTTACTGAGGATATATTAACTTGATTTGGAGGTCAGTTCTTTGCAAAAGTTTGGGAAGAGGCCGAACCATTCTGTTTGGCTCTTTGTTATAAGAAACTCAGAAATAATGATCTATACTTTCTTTGTTGATGCTGGAAAAAGAAAAATGACTTAAGAATTCACGGAGTAATTAACCTTATGGCCCCCTATAATTCTCATTGTATTTGGAGGAGAACCTTAGGTGACCAGTCTCGAAAGAAAGATTTCTGAGAGTGGATGTTCATACGTGTCTCTCTGCTTCTTATTTAATAGAGAAATGTTTAAGCTCTTTTGGTAGGGGGAGACTTACTTCAGTTACTTGTCGTTCTTTCAACTGCAAAAAGTTTGGGGTATTGAAGTGCCCTTGGACCATGTGCTTACGAAGTGTTGGTTCAAGGAATGGAATATTGTTATCACTAAGCAGATCTTTTATCTGCAAAGTCCAGAGAAGTGCACTTATTGATTTACTCATTTTCATGGCTCCCTCTACCTCTGTTCAGCCGCCATGATGCAGATAGGCATGCAAGATTGTTTAGGATTAGAATATATAGTAGCATTTACTTCTGATGTTGGCCTTATGCAAAGAAGAGTTACAGAGGCTGTGCAGATCTGTTGTAGATATAAGCCAAAATAATCTGCTCTTCTGTGTGAGCAGGATATGTTGGGAGCCTAAGGAAAGAAGTCCTTGTGCTGACATTGAATGGTGTAGTCCAGCAAATTAATGAGGGGCCAGAGTGTATCTGCATTATTCTTACCCAAGAAGAAAGGAAGCACTTTGGGAAGGCCTGCTTATTTTCTTTCTTTTCATCTTGCAAATATAGTACACGGGACCCTTAGAGGTCTGCGCTGTATAACAAGGTCTTGCTGGCACCCCCCTAGTAGTGTACAATCTGATTCTTAGAGGGTGTTTCTGTGGGTGCATCAGCATCCCACCAGGAAGCTGCTGTTTTGCTGCTACTGACTTGGCACACGATCTTCACGTAGGAGGCATCCACATCACATGTTCCATTTTAATTCTACTCAAAGTTAAACAGCATTGCAGTCCATGTTGCTAGCAGGGCCATACTGCAGTAAAAGTGTGGGAAAGTAAAGTCCTTGAATGTATTTTAGCTTTATTATTTTTGTTGCGTTGGTTCACTGTGTCCCTATTTTTTTTTCTTTCCTTCCAAGTGGAAGAAGACACAGAAGAAAGTTCAAGATCAGGGAGAGAGTCTGTATCCACAGCCAGTGATCAGCCTTCCCACTCTCTGGAGAGACAAATGAATGGAAACCAAGAGAAAGGTGATAAGACTGATAGAAAAAAGGATAAAACTGGAAAAGAAAAGAAGAAAGATAGAGATAAGGAGAAGGATAAAATGAAAGCCAAGAAGGGAATGCTGAAGGGCTTGGGAGACATGTTCAGGTAAGTCGTTACCATCCCAAACCAGAATCTCCTTAAACATACAGGAGTGTGAGCTTAGCAAAAAGTACTAAAAACTGGACACGGTAGTGCACACCTGTAATCCCAGCTACTTGGGAGGCTGAACTGGGAGGAATGCTGGAGCCCAGGATTCCAAATCCAGCCTGGGCAACAGATCATTCCATTCTCTCTCTAAAATAAATAAATAAATAAATAAAAGCACTGAAAGCACAGATTTGAAAACATTATCTTTGAGATCAACCAAAATTCTTGTATAATCTTTTCCTACCTCATTTTTACTTTGTTATGGATTTCATGTTAGCTATTTTCAGACTATTTTAGCAGCCTAAATGATTATATCTTGCCAACCATGTAAATAATTGTTGAGAGGTAGGAGGGACATGTCTGTATCTTAGTTATGCATAAGAGTGAAAGCCCCATTGAGACAAAGGGCTATTAAAGCAGTGTTTGTTCTTTTTTGTGTGTGAACAATGGTTCATTATTTAAATTTAAACATAGAGCTCAAGTTAGTGGTAGCATTTAAAGGTTCATTAATAACAAGTCTAATAAAAAAAGTTACAAATAGAGCTTCAATTAAGCTGCGTTCATTAATTTAGTACTTATTACTTCGGTCTGTAAAGATTTCATTAAATGTGGTCTCTGGCTGTTTCTTGACAGTTGTTTTTGTGCCCATAAATTATACTCTAGGATTACTTAGCATATCATTTTTTACAAATCATTGCCATACAATAAAAGTGACAAGTTGTTCAGAAGTTGCACTGAAACTCTCCCATAAAAGTTCATCTAAGATGATTTATAATATTCAGGCACTTAATGTTAAATATAAAGATTGCTTGATTGTTCCATAAATTAAACCCCTAAACATATCAAGGTGATGGTTTAAAATTGAAAACATACAGCACAGCCATTTGACTTTTCAAAAAGTAGTTATCCTGCATTATGGATCCCCTCTTTTTAAAAACTTTTTTTTAAATTGCAAAATGTGAACAACAGTTTTCATTTTCATAGAATTAGTTGATTTACAATCCTGAAATTGACCTCCATAACTCAGGGAGGTATAGATAAGTCAGACCTGGAAAGTCGAGGAACCATGGCCCAGCCTGAAGGCTACACAGCTCAACAGATGTGTTCTGTAGATGTCTGATTAAGTGCATAGAAGAAGGAGAGTTAACTCTAGACTTATATTAACACAAAGCCTGGCCTATGAGCAGTATTTTCTTTCAATGTGATTAGATTTCTGTCTCTCAGTGCTTCAGAACTGTGGGATTTTCATAGTTTTTCATTAGAGTTTTTCTAGTTTACACAGGGCCCCCTCATCATGTTTCTTCATTATACTCTGTGTTCAAGAATCATATAGGAAGAAATTGCTCTAACTGCCACTTTATTTCAATTTCTGTGTTAGCCAAGGGCCTTTTTGTTCCATATGTGCAGACTGACAGCTCATAAACTGGCACCTCCACAGTGCACAGAAATAAGGCTGCTGCCCATCAGTTAACATGGAAGGAATCTGTACTACTGTCTTCTTCAAATTACAGGGTTAGAGATGGGAGAAACCTTCCCCTGAGACTTGTAGCCCACTCTCTCTTCCAGGGGCTCTCCTGACGTCTTACTGAAAGCTCTAACGGCTTGTTAGTTTTCATTCATTGGCCAACATTTATCTGTTTAAGTGCTCTGTTCTGGTCTTGGAGTAAAAAATATACTTCTAATATCTTAGAATTCCATTAATTATAAGTGATCTTTTTCTGTAACCTGCAACTCCAGAAGAAAGAAAGGCCTATGGTAGAGCTTTCTATCTGGGGCCAGAGGAGCAGAGTGTGGGAGAAATGTGTATTGTTTCTAAGGGACCTTGAAGAACACCACCACACAACTCTCTTTTTTCTAGGAGTCCTATCAAGCATTACATGATGCTTTCTCTAGATCATTATCTACAGCCTGTACCCATAACCTATAATGAAAGCCAGCTTTATGATAAAGAAGTTGACCCTGCATATTCTTGGAAATAAAATTCTATATGCAGGTGCAGGGGCTGAAGGTTTTTTTTTCCCCCTAAAAATTAGGCTGATATTCTCCCAGTGTTTAAGAATGACTGTTAAGAAAATAACAGACATTCATACTTTTTTAGGTATGTGGAATCATTGGTTTATTGGAATCAGCCCACCTTGGCTGGTGAGAGCCAATTGATCAATTTTTAGAAACTTTGCAAGCTGGTTGTCAAACACAGCCATTATTAAAAATTAAATACATTATCTAAAAAGCAAAGGTAATTAATACTTGAAATGCATCACTTCCTAATTATTTTTGCTATACTTTACTATGATCTCTGCTTTTGAAATTATTTACATTTATGGCATGGACATAGGGCTAATACTATATAATGACGACTGTGCAGCTTTTCCCGGCCCCGTGTTTAGTGACATCATGCTGGTAGCTGAAAATTTGCCATGGTGGCAGTGTTTACACCAGGAAGTCTATGGAATTCCACAAAACAGAGTTCTTCTCCCAGCAGAGCAACATAGCACCCCACGGTGAACATAAATACCTTTGACCAGAGTGGCAGCATCTTGTCTAGTGCCCCTGGGCATGGCTGGGTTCTATCAGATTGCAAACCACTGCGCCAGCCCTTTCCCAATGGGTTGCCACATATTGCCCCTTGAATATGAGTTCAGAATAATATATTAAACACGAAATAAGCTTTTTTGTTATTGAATGTTGGCTCTTGATCCTTCCTTCACACGATGAGGATAGTCATTAGTCTTTGAGAAGACTGTTAAAGCATTGTTAGATTTTTCAAAACATTCTTTTAAACTACCTTCCTTCCATACCTTCTGGATCTGATTGTTTGAGATGAATATACCCTCAGGTTGATTCTTTTACGTTTCCTTCTTTTTTTTTTTTCTCCTAACAACATAGGGGACTACAGTAAGATTTAAAAATTGGTCTCTTCCTTTCTCTTTGTTCTTTTAAGAAAACTAGGATGTGGTTTCCTTAGCAGTGCTGCTTTTAAACAGCTTAATCAGAACATGCATGTGCACATATATTTCTTAGTACGGTTTGCAAGAGGGTTCAAGTATGGAGGACCGTGCAGGCCTGAAGTATAAAGTAGGGGTGTGTCTGTGTGTGTGATCCTTTTCTTTCTATCTTGTAGCTCAGAAAACAAAAGGCTAAGGGACATTCAGTAGTGGGAGTCTAGTTTTGTAGGTAAATATAGCAGCACATGAGCTTGTTCTCTTTAGTCTGCCTGAGGAAGTAATATGTTTTCCTTTAAAAACAGGCTCACAGGCTCTCCTCCCTCTACCATCCTGTCCTACCCCCATCATCCTGTTGCCTCCCTGCAACTCCCACTCATACACTATTCCTACCCCAACAGGTTGTCTGTGATATTTGGTTAAATATGATGAGGGTCAAATAGATAGGCCTTGTTTTAAAAACTCTACCAGAGGAAATGATGGTACCTTGAGTAGATATTTTTAGTCATTGGCATATACAGACAGCATGGTTTTCTGTTTGACACATTGAATGGTAGTCACAAAGATGATTTAATTATTAATAAACAGCTCTAGGAAAGAATGTGAGTCATATGAATCACTCTTCTGTTTATAAATTATGGAGTATATGAACTACAAAAGCCGCCTTAATGCAAGTCTTAAATCAGAAATTTAAATCTATAAGGAATCAAATAACAAATGCAAAGTTTTTCCTGTTTGTATTAATTTCTCCTCATACATACTACATCTTTTGCACACAAGGAGCTTCTATCACCTTAATTAAAATGGCTTTGTATCTAAGAAACCTGAGTGTGCTTACAAAACAGGTAAACATGACTTGTAAATGTAATCATTCTGTGTGCAGATTGCAGAGCAAAGCGGGGAGCACAAAGTTTGAGTCTGTGTATGTTTGATTCTCAGACACTCGGCTATTCAAATTTAATACTGGAGGATATTTCTGAGAATTCTTCAATTGTATGAAATTGTCACGAAAGAGGAAATTGAGTATGTACTTTAGGAGGAGGGAGATATGTTTTTTAATGTTTTAAATGTGTTCGTTTTTAAAGGAAAGCAGCCTTCTTAAGCAACATGGTTTTGCCTTAGTTTTTAATCTCCAAATTGAAATAACCAGCAAGATAATAAAATACTGTATTGTCAGATATTAAGAAGTTAAAATCATGTGCTCGCTTTTTGTGAGCCCTAGAGTAAGTGTAATTTGATATTGCTTTGCTGCAAAATTGGAACTGTTATCGTTTGAATATCATAGAATTGTATGTACTCTAAAACTGAAGGTTCTTAGACGTGACCTTATTGTACATGTCTCAGATTTATTTCTAGCTGTTGTCCATATGTGATAGCTGAGAACCTATCACTGCAGAAAGCTAAAGCAAAAGAAATGTTGCAATATTACCATTAAAATTGAATCCTCCAATTACATTTAAAATGATTACCTGGGTCCCCGAAGCATTGTTTTATTCAGTTTTGAAGAGGAAATAGATAATTTAGTTTGTAACCTTGTTTGGCTGAAATCAGATTTATTGCTCTCTTTTCCTTTTTAGAATATGATCATTTTCAGAACACAATGAACATAATCAGGTTTTAAAAACTGAATGTCGTAGTTTGGATTATACATCTTAGGCATTTGAGAAAAGAACAAACACAGATTCTTGTTGCTTTCCTCACCTGTACTAACTGTGTGTCTGTACCGTGTCTCTCATTTAGCCTTGCCAAACTGAAGCCCGAGAAGAGATGAACAACAAAGCGATTCAAAACATGTCTTGAACAGCACATATTGCACAGTTGTTGTTTTTTTTAAACAAACAATAAATTTACTTTTAATGAATTCTTAGTGGCTGTTGACGAATTTTGTTTACGACATCAGCAGTTTGATGGTTTAGTAATTTCCTTATTAATCCATTTGGAACTTTTGGATCTTGATTTCAAGCTTGGGGTTTAAATTACGCTTGAAAAGGCAGAGACGTGTTTTTTTCTCTTTCCTTTCTTTATTGGCCCCTTTTCATAGTGGAAAACCATAGTCCTCTCACTGCTGGCGTATTCAGAAATCATCAGCACACACCCATTGGATATTAGAATCAGAGTTTTCAAGATTCTGTAAAGGGCCACCACCCATTTGGTTGTGTTGTGTAACCACCAGTGACTTTGGGACACAGGCAGATGTTACAGGTGATTCAGGGCAGAGGCAAAGAGGTGTGTGGGCTGGTACAGTCACCCATCAGGGATGAGATGCAACGGATAGATTCATGACCAGATGGACCAGTTTGAAAGGGCCTTTTTGGCAAAGGTTTCAGTCCCTTTGTGGATTACAGAGTTTAGACCAAAAATGGGTGGTTGGCAGGGGGGTGGTGGTGTAGGAAAATAAATTTCTGTGCTTAGATGGCTGAACCAGCAGGTTCTTCCCGTGTGAAAAAAGCAGAGCTACTTTGGCATATAGTAATCCCAAGGTTTGCTGAGACCACGTGTCGAGAGAGCACACACTCTTTCATAAATGTTTCTGGAAAGAGTCTGCCCGGCCAAGTGTTCGAATCACAGATCCAATGCTAGTGCAGGTGGATCTCCAATGGTCCTTACTGTGGTTTGAAGCCTTCTCTCTTGTAAGAAGCCTTAATTCACAGTTTCATTATTCATGGCTTCCCAGGATTTGAGACAGAGACTGTATATTTAATTAACTCTTTTTCCTGAAAATGTTAGCATTGCATTCTTACTGAAAATAAACATGGGTTGGGTTCATTGGCTCACACCTGTAATTCCAGGCACAGGAGTTCGAGACGAGCCTGGGCCACACAGTAAGGCCCTGTCTCTATTAAAAAAAATAAATAAAAAAAAATAAATAACTGAAGTCTTGAAAACCATCTGATAAAGGGTATTGTGGATTGGGTTGAGTGCCTGTGAGAAGGCTTGACCTCTGCTCTGACTTGAAAGCAGTTTGCAGTTCTACCCTCGCCCCCGCCCAAGTGAAAGCCCTCAGTTCTAGTAAGGAGACACACAGAAGAGTGTTTATTTGTCATGCTAGTTTTTTATGACTTGGACCTAATTGCCATGGGGATTAATGTGACCAGTTTCACATTGGTACATCAAGTGGCATCCTGTGCAATCTGCTGATGATTTAAGGAATACAGTTAAAGTAAGCACATAGAAAACAATGCTTCTCCAAATGAAACACAGTGAGATTTTACATAATTTTATTTGCTTTCTTGTTTGTCACCTGGACAAAGAACAGCTCTGTTTTGTGATTATACACCCTGGGAGGTTTCCTTGGAGTGAGTTCTGAATTTGTAAATCCTAAGGACTTAATGTATGCTTCTATTAATTTGAATTGAAACAGAGGTTCCCATTTTTAACACAGGAAAATAAATGTCCAACTGACCTGCTAGCAAAGACAAGTTCTAAGGTAGCTGATATCATATTCTTCAAGTATTCTTCTTTTCCTGGTTAGCAGTTTTAAATAGAGAACCTCTGACATCCACAGCGCCCAGGCTGAATGCAGAGGAAGCTGAGGAGGCACAAAGCATGACGGCTGGGCCTCTCTCAGACCTTTTCTGACATTCTTTAATGTTTCTTTTCCATAGACCTGTGGCATGAATATAGAATGCAGGTGTCAAGGATGACACCTACTTGATAGTCTCTCTAAAGCAAACCTTTTCGCAAAAGAAATTCTTGACAGTTCTGAGATGCTAAGTCAATTTCAATTCCAGGCTGTGTGGAAAATGGAATCTTTTTTCTGCAATTGATGTGAAAATTGAAGGCTACTGACTATTCACTTTCTAATAACACAGGGTAAATAAATACTATCGCACCATTGAAAAATGCACTTAGAAGACAAGCTCAGCTAATGATATTCACCACAACATATGTTGGAAATATTCCTTGTGAATGCTTTTACTTGTTACCATTAAGGTTCCATATTGTTTACATTAAATATAATAGATCAAGTACATGTTACTCCTAAATGTACTTGTATCAAGCCACAAATTAGTATATAAAGGTAATTGTTTTGTCCTGACAATCTTTTAAAGAATTCACTGGGGGATCTCTTTCCTAATTGAGCGTTGAATGGTTTTCTTCTGACCTATGTTTAATAATAGCCAATTTAGAAGCAAAAGACTAAAATCAGATTAAATTTTGGATCATAGTGAAATAACCAGGTCTCCTATTAACCTCTCTGCTTGCAGTTTTTTTTTTTTTTTTTTGGATGGTTGATCCTTTTCCCCACTTGCATCTCATGCTTTAAGCCAAGAGCCAAACCATTCTGGTCCTCTCTTGCCTCCTGCAAGCAATTCATAATTCTTTCTGCATCATCCATGACTACTCTTTTCTTCTTGGGGGGGCGGGGGGGTGGGGGAGATGGTTGAACCTCTGCCCCCACCTCCATCCCATGCTGTAAGCCAAGGCCAAGCTCCCAAAAAACCATTCTGGTCCTCTCTTCCCTCTTGCAGGACATTGCCCCAACAATGTTTAATTATTTCTTCTCTCTTCTAAATCCATCTGATCCATCTGTGTCTGCCTTTTTTTTTTTTTTTTTTTTTTTTTTTTTTTTTGGAGACAGGGTCTTGCTCAGCAGGAGTACAGTGGTGCAATCATGCCTCACTGCACCTTGAACTGCTGGGCTCAAGTGATGCTCCCACCTCAGCCTTCCCAGTAGCTGGGACTACAGGCGTGCACCACTGTGCCTACTACTTTTTAAATTTTATATAGAGGTGGGATCTCACTTTGTTGACCAGGTTGGTCTCAAACTTCTGGCCTCAAGCAATCCTCTGGCCTCTGCCTCCCAGCATGCTGAGATGAGGCATGAGCCACTGCCCCTGGCATTGCTCTTCTCTCTACAGGATCATTCACATTGTTTTGCACCATGCTGTTACCTCCTCCATCTTAGAGAAAATTCTCTCTTAGCCCTACTTACTCTCCAACTACGATCTCATGTCCTCTTGCCCACCACAGCAGACCCTTTGATATATTTGCTGTCTCTTTTTTCCGATTCTCTCTTGAACTTGCTTCAATGAATCCTTCACCCCTTCCACTCAGCAAATCCTGTTCTCGTCCAGGTCACCAGTTCCTCTTCCTTGGGAAGTCGGGGTCCATTTTCATCCCTCATCGTGGTCCACTGGCAGTACCCAGCATGTTAATCATGGCTCTCCTTTGAGACCAACTTTGCCAGCTTTCCCTCCTCCTCCCTGGCCTACCCTGTCTTGTCTCCTTTGCTAATTCTGTGCCATACTCTGTCCTCCAGGTCTTGTGCCCCAGGTGCTCAGTCCGAAGTCCTTTTGTTTTCTCTTTTTGGTAACACAGAATTTTGATATTCTCAGGAAACAGCCTTTGTGATCCAAATACAGCCTATAGGCAGATGACTCTCAAATTCACCTCTCCTGCCTGGACATTTTCTTGGAACTCTTCATTTGTAGTTTAACCATCTTCTTGACACATTCACTTGGAGATCAACCAGACACTTGAAACTTCACACGCTCCCAACTCACTGCTGGATTCCCCCTCCCCGCAAACTGCTCCCGCGAGCCTTCCCTTTCTCAGATAATGGCAGTTCTGTCTTCTCAGTTGGTTAGATCCAAAGCTTTGGAGTGATCCTTGACACCTGATTTTCCCTTATGCCCCACAAGCAGTTTAAGAATGTATAAAAGCAAAAGTCCATTAGCTCTGTTTTTGGTACACATCTGCAATCCTACTTTTCAGCCCCCAGTGCCGCTGTTACTGTGCCCCAGTGGTCCAAGCTCTGTGTGCCCTCTTCCTGGCTTAGGCAGTAGCCCTCTCACTGTGCTCCCTGCCTCAACCCCTGCTTCCTGCAGTTTATTCTCACCACCACATCCAGAAGTCACTTTTCCCTCCTCTGTTCAACCCCCAGTAGCCTTCGGCACCACTCAGAGCAAAAACCAAATCCTTAGGGCCCTACAGAACTTGGTCCCCCACCCCAGCCTCTTTGACCTTGTCCCTACCGCTCTTTCCTTCAGTAACTTTACTCTTCCCTGAACCTACCGGGTCCACTAGAGCCTTTTCCCTTGATCCTGCCTCTACCTGGAATAGCCTTTTCTCAGGTATTCCTAGGTTCACTCTTGTACCTTTAACATCTTTATTCAAGAGTCAGCTTTTTAGAGGGTCTAGCCAAAATTGCAAACTCTGCTCCCTCTCACCCTGACACTTTTCTAACCCACTTTTTGGCATCATTTTTCACATTTGCACTCCTACCTGAGCTATGATAGATCCCACTCATTTGATGTAAATATACATTGACATTGACAGAGAATGTTAACCCATTTTTCCCCTGCTGTATCCCTGGCAGACTGCATGATGCGTCCATCATCAGTGCCCAGTAAGTGTAACAGATGCCCATTGCCAAACCCCTTCAGTGGCCATTCTCTGCCTCTGTGTCTGAGGCCTCTCTGAAGTCTTGGAAGGCAGCTCTGTGTTTCCATCTGTGCCTGCTGGATGTGCCCAGGAATAACACCTTGGAGCAGCCTTCAACGCCAGTGTAAATGTACCCCAGTCTCCATGGCCCTTGGGTTTATAGCACTAAGTCATAAGGTCTGCACTCTTCACCCTCAGACCAGGAGCTTGTTGGAAATGTGGAATCCCAGGCCCTGCCCACATCTGCTGACATTAGAATGTGCAGCTTAACAACCCTGGGGATTCCTGTGTGCATTTCAGGTCGAGAGGCAGCAGCCCCTACCCTGCTCCCAGAGTTTGCCTGTGGGGTTGTGTTCCCCATACCCACAGTTTCACAGGCTCGGTAACATCCCTTTGTGACAGCCTTTCCTCCCCACTGTGGCATCTCCACTTCTCTCCCAAGTGTTTCTTCCCTTAAACCACTGTCCTGAATCCTTGTCCCAGGGTCTGCTTGTGATTAAATCCAGACTAAAACAGTGTTGAGTGAATGAATAAATAAAACTTTTGAGCCGGGTGCGGTGGCTCACGCCTGTAATCCCAGCACTTTGGGAGGCCGAGGTGGGCGGATCACGAGTTCAGGAGATCGAGACCATCCTGGCTAACATGGTGAAACCCCGTCTCTACTAAAGATACAAAAAAAAAATTAGCCGGGCGTGGTGGCGGGTGCCTGTAGTCCCAGCTACTTGGGAGGCTGAGGCAGGAGAATGGTGTGAACCCAGGAGGCGGAGCTTGCAGTGAGCCAAGATGGCGTCACTGCACTCCAGTGTGGGGGACAGAACGAGACTCCGTCTCAAAAAAAAAAAATACTTTTGGAATCAGCGGTGAATAGTGTATGCTGGAAACTTCTGTTGGGGGTAATTTTGCAATTTATGACAAGTCTTCATACCAGGACAATGCTGGCGTTCCCATCTTTGGAAGGCAATGTCACTGCCGTCTCTGCCTTTGTATACGTACATACCTGTGACTGCACACACAGTCCCCAAAGAGCAGCCTTTCATGCTCCATGGATCTACGTCATGGTATTTGAATTATTGTTATTATTATTTTGAGATGGAGTTTTGCTCTTGTTGCCCAGGCTGGAGTGCGACGGCACGATTTCAGCTCACTGCAACCTCCGCCTCCCAGGTTCAAGCGATTCTCCTGCCTCAGCCTCCCGAGTAGCTGGGATTACAGGCATGCACCACCACACCTGGCTAATTTTGTAATTTTAGTAGAGATGGGGTTTCACCATGTTGGTCAGGCTGGTCTCAAACTCCTGACCTTGTGATCCCCCTGCCTTGGCCTCCCAAAGTGCTAGGATTACAGGCGTGAGCTGCCACGCCTGGCCCGGTTTATTATTGAAGTTCTTTTATTCTGCTAAAAATAGCCATAGATGATTTTTGTAAATTAAAAAACATTAATTTTGATTTTTTTTTTTTGAGACATTCTTGCTCTGTCGCCCAGGCTGGAGTGCACTGGCGCGATCTCAGCCCACTGCAACCTCTGCCTCCTGGGTTCAGTCAGTTTTCCCTCAGCCTCCCAAGTAGCTGCGATTACAGGCATGAGCCACCACACCCACCTAATTTCGTAGAGATGGGGTTTCACTATGTATGCCATGCTGGTCTCCAACTCTGGACCTCAAATGATCCGCCCACCTGTGCCTCTCAAAGTGCTGGGATTACAGGCGTGAGCTACCGTGCCCAGCTTAATTTTGAATTTTTTTAATAAAAAAATTTTTTTAGAGACAGGATCTTGCTCTGTCACCCAGGCTGGATGGAGTGCAGTAACATGATCCTTGCAACCTTGAACTCCTGGGTGATTCTCCTGCCTCAGTCTCCTGAGTAGCTGGGACTATAGGTGCATGTCACCATGCCCAGCTATTTTTTTAAATTTTTTACTTTTTGTAAAGACACGGTCTCACTTTATTGCCCAGGGTATTTTCAAACTCTTGGCCTCAAGTGATCCTCCTGCCTGGCCTCCCAGTCTACTAGGATTGCAGGCGTGCACCACTGTGCCCAGCCATGATTTAAGTATTCTCTACATAAGACTGTCAGAAAAGATAATTATGATTACCAGATTAAACATTCCATGTTGGGAAATTCCCTGTTTTCAGGCTGAGGATTGTATAGTTGAGTGGTGATAGATTTAAGCAAAGAGTTCGTGTTAAAATTGCCCTTTCATGTCTGCCTACGCCTGAAAACGTCAGAGTCTAGGAGTTGTGTAAGATTCTGTTTCTAAAGAAGTCAAAACTGGTTTTACTCCTTACAAGCTTTGTGGGCAGCTGCTGCAGAGCAAATGAGCAGGTGGAAGGCCTCCCTTCTGAAGGCCCCAGCCATGGGCCACTTACAGACAACCTCTGCCTCGCCCACTGGAGGCGCTCTGGGGTTTCCCTTTCACTACCGCTGCTAGGTATCCACACATTTCTCAAGAGGCACCAGGGCCCAGCCCATACCTGGGGCCTGGAATCTGAGGTATGCCTTGACAGGCTGATGACAACCTCACCTTCTTAGTTTCTTCTCCCATGACATTTATAATATTTATATTGTGCCTTCCATTTCTTTTATAATGACAATATTATCTAACAATGTTAGTCTTTTTTTAAAAAAAGGAAATGAAGAACTTTACAGTCTCTGCTCATACAAAGGAACAGATACTTTGAAATGAACTGAACAGATACTTTAAAGTGATGGAAACCAACTACAAAATTTTTCTAACTTGCTATATTAAGGTTTCTCAATTTCCACTCTCCTGGCTAATTTAGAGGATGATCTATTATCAGTTTTTATTCCATTTCTGATTTTGTCAGGTGGTATGTTGGTCATTCTGACTTTTTAAGGCAAACAATAAGCTATTTCTCATGTAGCCAATACTGTGGCTAGCAGTCAGCATTCATTCATTGCATGTTGATACTGGTGGACACTGCAGAGAACATTGTTTTCAATAACCCCTTTACACCTCATAATAACCCTATAAGGTACTAATTTTAGCCCTGTTTTATGAATGAAGAAACTAAAACATAAAGGTGTGGAGAAGAACTTACCAAGGTCACAAGGTAATTGGTGGTAGAGTCACACCGAATTTGAACAATGGTCAACCTCAAAGGCCGTGTTCCTAACACTCTCCTGCACCATCTGAGCCGTCTTACCCTTCCGGGTAGGTTTTGCCACCCCTAAAACCTATGTGGGAGCCAAGATTGCTATGCGACATGGCATTGCTATTGTGAGTGCTATGGAAAAAAGCACTCACATGTTACTAGCTTGGAAATGCAGAAGTTAGTATTTTTTGAACCTGACTTTCACGTTTTATTCCTACTTGATTTCTATAGCTTTCTCTGTCTATGGTCTCTTCTCTTCCCAAAATAATTCTTTTTTTTTTTTTTAATTTTGTAGAGATGGGGACTCACTTTGTTGCCCTGGCTGGTCTCAAACTCCTGGCTTCGAGTGATTCTCCCACCTCGGCCTCCCAAAGTGCTGGGATTACAGGCATGGAACACAATGCCTGGCACCAAAATAATTCTTAAGGATTTTTACTGCTAATGAAAAACTTACCAGCTGTCTCATTCCTCTCCCTCTTCACAGACTCTCAGACCTGTCTGTGTAGGTGCGATGGCAGCCATCCCTGCTCCAGAACACAAACGAGGACGATTTTAAAACAATGCCCTCTTTCCTCCGGCTCTCTTCCTTCTAGGTGGCTCTGTGCTGCGCATTCCCTGCCTCTTCCTGTTCCCACCCTCATTTTCCCCTTTCCTTACTGCATGCCACCTTGTACCTCTATCTTGCTCCACCATTGCTGCCTCTGATTTTTCCCTATCAAAACAATTATGAGGTCTTTTCCGCAGACTGTGTTAGCAGTTTTTGCATCCTCTGCTCATTCCTCTGTCTCCTTGTCTTCCTCTCCACCTCAGCCCATGCCCTGTCAGTGCCGCCCAGCTCACAATTGCCTGATCCTTGGTGGGTACACTGGCTCACCTCTCAGGGCTTTGCTCCTTGGGAGGCTATTCAAGCTCAGCATCACCTGTCTCACATCTGTCTGGGATCCTCAAACCTGACCTTTGTAAATTTCCACTAACTGAAGATTGTAGAGGAAAAAAAAAAACATCTTATCGAATTCCTGCTCTTATAGCTGATTTTAGCTATTAGGAAAACATCCCAAGTTGAGCTTTTCTATTCCTAGAATTTCAGATTTCTTTCCTTTTTAAAAATTTTATCTCCTTTTATAGTAGTAAAAATATTTTCCTTTTTTTTTTGGAATGGAGGTCTTAAGCTCAGTGTCAAAAATAAAATCATTTTCTTAATTGAGAAAGTGATGACATCTGTTTAATTTATCTCAGGATATCTTGATTCTGGAACAATTTTGAGAAAGTAAAGTTTAGATCAACTGCAAGTAGGTACTCTAACAGGATGGAAATTTTCCTTCGATGTTCTTTCTAGGCCGTAGCAATAGCCAGTTGCCTGATGTTACTTTGAGCACAGTGGCAAAGCATTGATAATCACTTAGGCAGAACACATTCACATAAAGTTTTACCTGCCTTGCACAAAAAAAAAAAAAAAAAAAATTCACCTGGGCAGTAAAATAAATTCTGAGGGTTTTATTTTTCACCTGGCAAAAATGGTTTCTAATGATGGGCAGGTGGATTTTTTTTTTTTTTAAAACTTGGTTTTGGAGCAGGTGTGATGATTTTAGTAATTGAGAGGTAAAACCATTTGTTTCATACATTCAACAAATATTTACTGGAGTGCCTACTACATCCTTGGCAGTGTTAGAGGTGTTGGGGATTTAGTGGTGGATACAGGAGACGTGGCAGTCACTGAGTAAGTAGGTCCTGCTCCAGGGCCTCGTGAAAGGGAGATGGGGACATTGTGGGAACTTGCCACAAATGGGCCTAGCGCAGACTAGAAGCCATCTGCCTTCTTCTGAAAAATGACATTAAAACAGGTCTGAAAGAGGTTTTGACTTCTTTCTCTGAACTCAAAGGGGAAAAAGGAGTGTTTTGCAGCAGTGGGATTTAACCTTTTTTGATATCATCTGTAAGAAGAAATACATCCTACCTTGCAACCTCGTGTACAGGTATGGGCACAGATAGCTAAAGTAAACATTTCACAGAACAAGTGATACCTGCCCTTCTCAGTGTGATGGAGTGTGATGTATTTATTGAGCAGCAGCATAGGGTAGTGGCTAAGAACCTAAACTCTAAATTTAGATGTCCTGAGTTCAAATCCCAGCTGTATGCTCACCAGCCTTGTGTGTGGGGCCAGTTAATTAACCTCTTTGTGTTTTACTTTTTTCAGTTGTGAAGTGTGGATAATAATGGTACCTGCCTCACAGGGTTGTTTTGAAGCTAATGGGAATTAATAGATACAAAGCATTTTAGAACTCCTCCTGGTACAAAGTAAGTACTTTGTGGGTATTAGCTGCTGCTGTTGATACTAATATTCTGCAATTCATTTTTTTTAAATGGTAAGTAAGTGCCACTAAATCAATTTCAGGTCTTCAGTGAGTTCCAAAACAAAATTTGAAAAACACCATTTAGATGGTGGAAATCCTCTCGGTTTGCGAGGGTGGGATGAGGAACCTGGAGGCATTGGAGAGGCAGGTGGCCTCTCATAAATGACTCGATATGGCTTGACTCTGCTCCTAAAGATAGTGGGTAGCCATTCAAGAGAATAGCTTGATAAAGTTTACAGTGTTTAGAAAATTAAAAGATTCCTCTAACCACAGTGTGTAGAGTGAACTGAAGGGCTAGACCAGAGTGATGTCAGGAACTGTGAGGCAGCTTTTGTAAAAATTGTGGCCAGTGATGGAGGTAGCCGTAGGGACAGAGACATATAGATGTATTTCTCAGGTAGACTCTAGGGGACTTGCTTATTTGATTTGATGTTAAAAAAAAAAAAAAAAAAAAGAAAGGAGAAAGAACAATAAGAAAGAATTGCCACAGTTTTAGCCTGGTCAGCTGGGTGGATAGTCACACACCGGCTAGTAAATACTGGAAGAGGATCCTATTTGGAGGACATGTGACATGTTGCATCTCATAAGCCTGTGATATGTCTACCTGGAGGGAACTGGAGGGTGGAAGAGGGGGAAGGGCTGGCACTGTAGAGATTTGGAAATCAAAGACATGTCAGGTGGTGCTTGCAACCATGGCAGTGTGAGTGAACAGATGGTCTGGGAAGTGCGTATAGAGGGAAGGAGTAATAGAAGGTGGCCAGAGAGAGTTCTAAGGCCCCTTTGAATATCACTGGCGCTCAGGGCAGGAATGGGGCAGAGGAAGGAGCTGTTGGTAACTGAGAAGAGGCCACTGCAGAGAGAGGAGGAAAACCAAAAGAGTGCAGTCACTAAAGCCATTAAAGCAAGGATGTGTTTTTAATTAATTAGAATGATGTGGTCAACATTGTTCCTGCTGAGAGGTCAGAAAGTCCTCCTGGTCTTGGCTACATGGAGTGATTAGTCAGTAGGTGTCAACTGGACCTATTTTGAAGGGTTACCCAGCACTCTGTGATATACTTGAATATTTCTATATGATGCAGGTGTGGCTAGCATCTCTGATGCTAATGCTTGTTCAAGTTGAGAACATCGCATATCCCTGTTTTAAGAAGCAGAGCTTTTTTCGTGGCACTGTGATACAAACACAAGCGCAAAACCTGTGCCAGATTTCCATAGTTTTTGAGCAATAGAAATGACCTTTTAGGTGACATTAAGTGAATCCTAATTGCAGATTCTCACAAAGGATTGTAGCTATTAGGATATAAGGAATTAATTTGTAAGTACTTAACAAAAGTTGCAGGAAAAATAAATTTGGTGATTGATTTTGCTGCCTGTAGGATCACTTCTTACCCTCCATGGTGAGAGACTGTCATTCACTGTCTCTGCCTTTCTCTTGTATGTTGGGAGTTGTCCTGCTGAACACGACCTTCCTAGAGCTATCTGTGGGTTAAGGATCTTCGTGGCATTAGCTACTCTAAATTAGCTGCCTAGTTCCAGTCTTCTCTCATGCTTACAGAACAAGAAAAGTACTTATAGTCAGTAAATTGTTTTGTCAAAGTCCAAGCTTTAAAATTGCCCCCAGCCCTGCCATTTTTTTTTTTTTTTAAACAAGATCTTGCTCTGTCACCCAGGTCGGACAGGCTAGAGTGCAGTAGAGCAAGCATGGCTCACTGCAGCCTCCTGCCTCAGCCTCCCATGTAGCTGGGACCACAGGCATGCACATTCATTCATTCATTCATTTATTTGTAGAGATGGTTTCTCACTTTGTTATCCAGGGTGGTCTTGAACTCCTGACCTTAAGTGATCCTCCCATCTCTGCCTCCCAGAGTGTTGGGATTACAGGTGTCAGCTACCATGCCTGGCCAAAATTACCTTTTTAGGAAGCTTTTCTTTTCCAATATTGTGACATTTAACCATTATAACACATAATCAGGAGCCCCCACTATGTACTCACATACATTTCCAGACTGTGTTTTCCCAGGGTTTGTTTTTTCCAAGATTCGTGAATGCTTCTATTCCCATGACTTCCAAAAAAATTGTAATATACTATGATTTGTGGATATCTTTGTTTTTCAGGGCAACAGTGTCCATCTTTCATGTCTATCCAAAGAGACATAAAGTCCTTGGTATGTTCAAACTATTAATGTGAACTTTTTATTTGTACATGCATTTTTAATTTCGTGAGTCACTCTGTGTATGATGTACTCTCCGGTTATTGCATTCGGAAACATTTTAACTGGAATTATTTCTGAAAGTGTATTTCCCAGGAAAGTGTAGACTTATATGTTTTTCCTACTGTGACACAATTTTGATTTTCTTTTATATTTTCAGTAATAAAGTATTATGAACTAATTATTATTTTTAAAAAGGTAGACCATGTAACCAGTTAGCTATTGTTTGGTAATTTTGGTAATAGTTAGATACCATTACAGTCTTTAAATGGGTTACCACTAAGATTTTATCTTTCTTAATTTTAATGAACAAACAGAAAAATTTATATAGCATTTTTCCTGTGGAACTCCTTTTTCAGAAGGTCCCACATTCAAATTAGTTTTATCCATGCAGGTCTTATTATCTTTTATTCTCAAAGTTCTATGCTTTACTCTTTGGCTACACTCCTGTCTATCTGACAGAATTTCTTTAAGCATTATTTATCTTGTAAGACAGACATTCTCTGAGTCATAAAAGCAACATTTTTATCCAGTTTCCATTTAGTCTGGTCAGCAAAGGGAAAAGACCTCTCCCTTTAGAAGTGTCTTCCACCGTTGTCTATACATACAGCTGGTGGACAGCCGTCTGATTAGAGAGAAAGCTCTTATTAACAGCCAACATAATAGAAAGTGCATGAAGCCATCACCAACTGGAGAGTACCCAAATAGCATCAGAAACAATGAAGAGAAAATGAAAATCAGTTCTGACTCATGGATTGTTGTTTTCCTTTTGTCTTCAGTACTGACAGTCTTTGTCAGCTGGAATAGCAGCCTTGGCCTGAATATCTATTGGTGTTTATTTGCAGTTGTCTCAATTAGTTCTGCTCTTAGCCTTTTGGGAGGCACTGGGCTCCTCCTCGCACTCTGTTGGCCACTGTGGGTTGGCTTTGAGGGTGCCATCCTGACAAAATCAGTTGTTGGGGACTATAAGACTGAACAAGTTAGGTATTGATCTGAAGATGGGAGCATTTCCAAAGATGTTACAAAGGATGTATTATTTTCTCTCACTGGGAAGCCAAATAGATGAAAGCAGACACTCCTTGCTTGCTTATCTCCATGCCTTGATCTGTAAGAAATTGTCTTGGTTGTAGCACAGACTCAAATACTTGTGGCTTAAACAAGCCAGAGTTTTATTTTCTCTCATTAAGTCTGGGGATTGGAAGTCCAAAGATCATATGGTCGCCTCAGAGTGTTGTCAGCATCACCACCTCCTTTTTATTCAACCATCCTTAATCTGTATTTTATTGTTGTTATCATTTTAAATCGTGGTGAAATATACCTAATATTTACCACTGTAGCCATTTTTAAGCCGTTTAGTTCAGCAGCAGTAAGTGTGCTCACGTTGTTGTGCACTTCACCGCCACCATTAGTTTCTAGAACGCCTTTCGTCTTGCGAAACTCTGTACCCATCAGCCGCTATCTCCCCAGTTCCCTCTTCCCCCGTCCCTGGAAACCACCACTTTACTTTCTGTCTCTATGAGTTTGACTACTTGAGCTACCTCATATAAGCCGAATCGGTATTTATCTTCTTGCCATTGATTGATTTCACTTAGTATAATGTCCTCAAGGCTCATCCGTGTTGTAGTGTGTGTCAGGATTTCCTTCCTTTTGAAGCTGAGTAGTATTTTATTGTATGTATATACGTCATTTTGTTTATCCATTCCCACGTCGATGCACGCTAGCGGTTGTAATAAGGCTGCTGTGAACGCGAGTGTCTTAACATGTGTTTCTATCCTCAGTGTCACAACTCTCAGAGTTACAACTCTAGCTAAGTCAGCTTCTTTCTCTGGATCTTTTCCAGAAGTGCCACTCATCAGTTTCTGTGAACCAGAAATTAAGGATAACAATGATAATAAAATAGCTCATATTTATTTAGTGTTTTTATGTGCCAACACACAGGGCTGAATAATTCATTTCATCTTCACAATAAATCTGTGAGGATGGTTACATTTTACCAAAGAGGAAATTGAGGTTTAAAGAGGTTAAATGAGTTGCCCTTCACAGCCAGTTAACAGCATAATGCTAGGAAGAGGCAGAGCTGGACTTTGAACCCAGGATTCTGGCTCCAGAGGCCATGCTCTTAACTACTGTCTTTTATCTTCAGCTCCTGTTTTCAAGGGAAGCTGGGGAATGTAGTTTAAATCCCGAATAGGTACATTTCCTCTCCCAGCCACATCAGGGTTTTACTAGTAAGGAGAAAGAAGAGAATGGATGTTGGGTGAGCAGCTTGCAGCACCTGCCTCTCTAGCTCACTGCTCTGAAGCCAGGTGGCCTCGGGCCTCTGAAAGTGCAGCTGCTTTGTAACTCTGGGCTGCTGTCCACCCTTACTTTATTGTGCTGGCCAAGACTAACCATCACTGGCCAGATCATTTTCATTTAACCAAAAAGACCCACAACAGACCACAAATGATGGAAAATGCTACCACTGAAATGGTCGTGGGCTTCCAAACTGAGGTAGACTAGAGTAGCTACCTGGAAATGGAGGAGGAGATGAATGTTTAGATATTCTTGTTAGGAAATAGTGTCTGTTACATATTCAGTGATGATTTCTGCCAGCAGTGTGCTACGTGTTTTAAAAAATGATTGCATTTTATCTTTGCTATTACTATTTTTTATACAGTAGTTTTATTATAATTTAATAGTGCCAGTTATCACACATCAAATACCCCAAGTCTTTTTGATTTTAGAGTTAAGCTCTTATTTATTTACTTACTTATTTTTTTAGAGACAGGGTCTTGCTTTGTCACTGAGACTGAAGTGCAGTGGTGTGATCATAACTCATCACAGCCTCAAACTCTTGGGCTCAAGCAATCTTCCCACCTAAGCCTCCCGAGTAGCTAGGACGACAGGCGTGCGCCACCGTACCCGGCTAATTTTTGCATATTTTCTAGAGACGTGGTCTCACTGTGTTGTCAGGCTGGTCTTGAACTTCTGGGCTCAAGCAGTCCTAAGTGCTGGAATTCCAGTTGTGAGCCACAACACCCAGGCTGAGTGAGGCTGTTTATCATGGTGTTTTAATGTTGGTTGTAGTGACCTAGGTGTCTTTTTAGTCTTGTGGGTCTTGTTTGTTGGTCAGTTGGTTGGTTGGTTTTTAAGAGATGGTTTTGCTCTTTGCCCAGGCTGTTCTCAAACTCATTTGACCTCAGCCTCCCAAGAATCTGGGATTATAGGAACATGCCATGGTGCCTAACTCTCTTGTGATTACTTTGAAATTATCCCCCAAAGTATTCTTGTTCTAGCATGTTAGATCTTGTCTTCTGGGACTTAGATGGAATGCTTTGATACTTTTATATCTGATACTTTCAAGCCCATCCACCATCAGCATGTACTGATTGTTACTCTGTATTGAGAAATAATCACATCATGCATTTTGGTAGACGTTTAAGAGTCCAAATTACATTTCCCACATCCACGTATTTTATAGTCTAGTTAAAGATTCTTACATAGTGATCTTTATAAAGTTCATTTTAATATAATTTTAGTATAATAAATAATGAGTTGGTCAGGTATGAGCTCATGCTTTTAATCCAAGCACTTTGGGAGGCCGAGACAGGGATTGCTTGAGCTCAGGAGTTTGAGACCAGCCTGGGCAACATAGCAAGACCTTGTCTCTACAAAAAACTTAAAAATTAACTGGGTGTGGTGGTACGTGCCTATAGTCCCAGCTACTCAGGAGGCTGAGGCGGCAGAATTCTTGAACCCAGGAGTTTGATGCTGCAGTGAGCTATGATTGCACCACTGCACTCCAGCCTGGGCAACAGAGCAAGACCCTGTCTCTAGTCCAACATGTTCTTTGTGCAAAGGCTAATAGTTGGGCCATCAATAACTTATTTTAAAATATAATATAGTTTACTTCATGAACTCTTAATGTGTAAATCTAAATGAAGAACCTAGTCATTGAAAGCAGTGGAGGTAAATCAGAGAGAGATAAGTATACTGTAGTAGAGAGAATTTGGGATTTAGACTTTCTAGCCTTCCCTGCCCAACCCAGCTAGCTCAGCCCCATCCTGCCCCACTGCCTCTGGCATTTAAACATATCAGCCTCAGTTTTCCTTCTTTCCGCGTTCTTCACATTTAATTTTAAGAACTAAATGAAAGAATGGGTATGGAAGGCTTTTGAAATTTTAAGGCAGGGTACATCTGTCTGCTCATGTTGTTCACTAAGTTCCTCTTCACAGGGTTTTCTACCCTTAACTTAATTATGCCTGAATTATTTCCTCAATAGAGTCTCTGAACTCCTTTGCTAAAAAAAGATATATAGGTTATTTCTACCCACTGAGATTTGTGTATATACTGTCCCCAGTGAAGTGAGTTTTGCTAATACGTCATGAGTATACACACTAGTTTAGACAAGATAGTTTCCACCTGCAGCCAGGGAAAAGCAACATAATGATATCCTGCAAAAGCAGCTCTGACTGGAGGAGACTCAGAAAATGAGACTGAAGGCAATGATGAAGCATTGCCTTCAGTTCCAGGATTCCGTCTTGGATAAACAGGATCTGCTTCCCCCAGAACTTTACCCTTGCTTGTGATGGCCAGTGAGCCTGTCTAGGGACTGAGACCACACAGCAGGCAGTGCAGACGTGACAGTTCTGAGAAGATGGAAATGGGATGAGAGGAATTCCAGGCCAGTGCACAAATCAACAAGTTGTATATTTGGACGCTTGTTGAACTATTTGGTCAAATAAGGAAGAATGTGGAGGTTTGACATTTGCCGAATTTCTTGTCCCTTTTACATGAGCAGCATTCAGACTGGAGATGAGACAACACATCTCCGTGTTCTGACCCCTTGCTGCTTCACCCACCCCAGGATTTCAGATGGTTTCTTAACCACAGTTGAGTCGTAAATAATATTTAGTGCTGTACATCCTGGTAGAGAGAAACCACAGCACAAAGAGTGAAGGATCTTTTCTGGAAGAGAGCCATTGACATTTTTTTTGGTGGCTCGCCATCATTTTCTGTATGTGTTTTTTAATTTTTGAGTTTTTGTGGAGGTGGGGTGTCACTATGTTGCCCATGCTGGTCTTGAACTCCTGTCCTAAGGGATCCTCCCACCCCTGTCTCCCAAAGTGCTAGTATTGCAGGCGTGATCTACCATGCCCAGCTTTCTCTGTGTGTTAAACTCTCCAGGATACAGGCATGCTGCACAGATGGTGACTTTAAGCAAATATGTGACCTCTAGTCCCTTTTTCTTCAAAAGGGCATTGTGACACAGGTAGATGGCGGGTGTTTGCCTCTTGACTTGAACCTGCTCCCTCTGTGGGAATCTTTTCTTTCCTGTTCTAAGAATTAGGTTTAGTTTCCAATTCTTAGCAGTTTTTCCACAGAGCCCTTTATTGGGCCTTAAAAACATGTCAGCTCCCTAATGTAGAATCTGAATATGCGAATTAACTTAAAGATAAATAAAAAGAAAATCTGCACCTCTTAATTTACTCTGTAGAGAGCATTCGCTAAGAAATGTGAATCAAAAGGAATTGTTTCCTATAATCAACAGAAAAAAGTGCTGACGGTCACCTTAACTTTACAGATAATGAGATCTTTAGGGAAGCTTTAATCTTTCAAAGTTTCCAGAAGCTATGCAAAGAGCCTGGGGCTTCCCCACCACCAATCCCAAAACTTTAATGATCACATTATTTGTCTGTCTTTGTGACTTTCGTCTGCTCTATGAACATACAAGGGTAAGAAAATATTTGAAGGTGTTTCCGTTGCTGTAACGTATGTATGTGTATCACTTCCTGTCAGTAGTTGAAACATAGAATTTGAATCACAATGCATATTTAATTGAGGGTGGATGTTTATAACTCAAACAAAGATATCCTTACCTTGTGCGTGTGTTTGTACTACCTCATAAGCATTTACAACCTGGATAGCCATTTGATTAAGTAGGCAGATGGCAACCCGAATTATTATCTTTGTTACTGAATACCTCCTGTTGTTTGTCCTAGAGAAAGGTGTGTAGTGAAATATCATTCCACCTTTTCCTTTTTCTTCCTTCAAGTGCCCTTTTAAATGGATGTGTTTTTGTGACTTAGGTCTCATTAGCATTTCTTATGGGGACTGCCTTCAGGGCAGTACCACTTACTAAATTGTTCCCTTGCTTTAGGAAAAGGAAAACCATGGTAACCAGATGTAGGGTATGATTATTTGCCTCTGACCTGGCAAAGTGTTGGGTTTAACAAAAGAAGCTTAATAGAAATGTTCAAATTGACCCTTCTCATCACTTGAGCTGCTTAAAGCTCAATCAATCTCTCATTATTATCAGAGTTATTTGAGCAAAGGCAGCAGTGATAGTATTTTTCATAATCACTCCTTGAGCCAAATGTAATTTGCAATTTGTAGTATTGTATTATGAAACAATAATGCATTAAAATGAACAGCACAAGAATTAGGAATATAGTCATAAAGAAAGGATCCACAGAAGTAGTTGTGTGAAAGACACTCTCCAAATCATTTTAAGTGGACATGACCGATTTCAATGCCAAATTAAGCATTTAGAAAAATCAGAATTCTGTGCTTTTACTATATTTAAAGTATATATATAGTATGTTTGTATATATTTTATAATAACGTCAATTTAGTTGGGAGAAACAGAAATATAATGTGATTATTATTTGCATTTGGGTATTTGGGGTTATGGGGTTAGTGTGGTTTGATTACCTGGGTAGGTATAATTTGAAAAAAATAAAGTGCATCAAGCCAAGGTATATCTTTTGCAAAGAGGGAATATTTTGCCGCAGAAATTATGTCTTCTTGTCTATCAGCTAGTTGATGTCCAAAAAGCTTCAGCATCATAATTAAGATATGCTTTCACTCATCTTCTTTCATTTTACTAGAATGGCTGTAAGTATAGATTATATGTATTATTTCAGTGATTTGTGTATTTATCTTGTGTTTTGAAGGATTACTGTGTTTGCTTTTATTTCTCTTAAATCTTTATATTTGAGTCCCACAGTTTTTTGTTTATTTGTTTGATTTTTAGATCTGTGGAGTTTGTGGTGATTCTTGTAAAGTCAAAATTGATTTTGTGCTCGGTTCCCTTTGTCCCCCCTATTTCCAATTCCTCATCTATTGCTTTAATATTTCCTTGTTCCATATGGTTCTAGGACTTCTGAAGTGTCAGGTTACGAGGCATATCAGTGCATCCTTGATTAGCTAACACAGGCTATGCTGGAGTAGGAGTGCACTTATAAGGACATTTAATGGGAGTCCTGAAAGGGATATGTTATTCATTAAGGTTGCATTGCACATTTAAAGATTGTTCTAGCTTGGTTAAGTAGAAGGTGCTTTTTCTTTAAAAAAAAAAATAATAATAATAAAGTTACCTCTTTTTCCCAAGATGCCAAGCAATACAAATTTATTTTATTTAAATCTAATCAGATTGGCACTGATGAAAAGTACACAATCAAATAATTATTCTCAAGTTTGTGAATTTCCTTTTAAAGAGAACCTCTGCCAAACTCCACCAACTTAAAACAGCATCCTGTCTTACAAAAGCGCTATCAAGTTGTCACGTACCCTTTCTAAGGCTCCTCTCTCATCATTGTTGATTACCAAGATGCTTTTTTGCCTAAATAGGAGCTTTCTGCTTTTCATAATCAACCTCCTCTTCGCTGATTCATCCAGCATTGCCACAATCTACTGCTGAGCAAATCAGTACTCTTTCATGGTAGCGATTTCTTAAAATGACACTAAAATATGTAAGATCCTGTACAGGAAGGACATATTAGAAGTGACTTATTTTCTTTTCCTTTTTCCCATTTGTAAAATGGAGGCTGAGGTACAAAAAATGTGGCCAGAATCCATGAGCATGTCATTACAAATGATAACTGCATGCAGTGAATTCCTTGTTATTTTACCCTCTGAATGGGTTTGGGCAGTTTGACGTGCTTCTGCTGTTGCCTGACAGTATTTGCATATGTCAGCACAGATGATTTTGACATTTGGAGTGTCACTGCATTTAGAAAGGTTGGCAGGATCCTGTGAATGGGTATGTGGGCAGTTTTTCTGATCTTTTGCAATGATTAGGAGCAGTTCCTGACCTTGCCTTCAAATCCCTGGCCTTCCGAGATAAGTTCTATTCAGGAACAATGTCCTTTGGACCTAATTTCCACCGGCAATGCAAGATTTACTCATTGATTGATGGTGGAGAGGGTAGCCTCGCTCTGTTGCCCAAGCTGGTCTCGAATCCCTGGCTTCAAGTGATCCTCCTGCCTTGGCCTCGCAAAGTGTTGGGATTACAGGCATGAGCCAGTGCACCCAGTTCTATCTCATGTATTTAAACATAGATTTATTAACCAGCTACTTTCAGTATGAGAGCACAGAGTCACTGTCTTTGGTTCCTAAAGCTTATGAGGTGTCTGGCTGTGGTAAAAAGTGTCTTGGGTATGAATTCTAGCTTTGCTACTCACTCACTATATGACCTAACAAATCCTTCAAGCCCCTGTGCTTACTGAGGTTTCCCCTAAGCATGAGGATGATAACACCTGTCTTGCATGCTGGTTGTGGGAATCAATGAGATAAAAGCACATAATAAGAATTCAATAAATTCTAGCTAAGTGTAATTAAATAATCAAAAGAACATTCAACAAGTGCATAATTATGTCTCACTTAGGAATTACACAAAGTGAACTTCATAGGTCTTGGAATTTCATTTTCTCTTAGGCATATCCAAGTTCAGACCAATTAAGACCTTTTAAACTAGCTACAAGCTGAACTGAACCCTTGTCCTAGCTTGCAGTGGGATTTTTAATCTTTGATTTTCAGAAACATGTGGACATACATCTTCAGTGCATATGGACAAGAGTGTAGTAGGACAATCTACAAAGATATATGGCTAGATTTTTTTTCCTTTGAATAAAATCTATAGCAATTACCTATTAGGACTTTAAGCAAAAGTAAGTTTGTTATTGTGTTAGAGACCAGGGTAATTGGTTGAGGGAAGTTAGTTCTGCACCAAGAATGTGGAAAAAGCACAAGAATCAATTAAAAGTTTCCCAGAGAAACTTGGATCAAAAACCATTTAGGTGATGTATGACTCAGAGGAATAGAGGAATGATATGAAAAGTTCATGGGTTTGTTTTGATTTGAGTGAATAATGTGCTCTGGACTATGCAGAGAACTGGATTGAGACACAGGAATGACACAGGACAGGGTATGTGCTTTTGCTGTACAGGATCTTGAGGCCAGCTCATTGGGCAGCTGGTATCTCTCAAGGATCTTTAGGACAAATGACAGCATTACCACAGCTGGCCATGGTCAAAGACAGGTTATGCAATGGCTGTACAAACACATGGTCTTCAAAAACATCAGGAAAGTTCCAGAAAGAAAAAATGAATTCCTGAAGAAAGGGACAGAATGGATCATGTGATAGTGCAAATATGTAGAAATGAGGGTCAGACACAAGGCAGAATACTGAACTAGTGACTATATTGACCACGCCAGGGCAGGAGTTGGGCATTTGCAGAGGATATGTGGCTTCTGGTAGCTGACATTGAACTCATATTTGATTCATTTTAAATTCTCTTCCCCAGCCAAGCAGTATCACATAACCTACAAATTTCTTTGGGTAAATAGACATGCGGTGTAGCAAAGACTTCTTAGACATGAAGACCTAGGTAATTAGCAGTGAGAAATAACAGATTTCTAGGTGACATTTCAGTGGGGTGTTTTGAAGAAAAACTTATTTTAAAGACTATTGCTAAACCTTACAAGATAATTGGTTCCGGATATTCTGTTCATCTATTTTTAAATATGGCAGCAGATTTTTAAGACTTTTTTAAAAACACTGTATCATGTTTCAAAGTATGGTATTAGGAAAAACACATTCATTACAAAATTAATTGTATTTTTATTTATCGCAGGATGCTATGCATTATTATTCCGTGTAATTTTTTTCTAAAGACCTCTAATTTTGGTAGCAGCAGAAATATTACTATTTAAATAGTAAAATATTTCAATAGTATTCATACTGCAGAGAGAATTATGTTGCTTTGCTGAAAACCCAAATGATGGTTTTAATAGCAAGGAAACTTGCCAGTAGTTACTTTTCAATGACACTTATTTCATTATAAAAACAGTAGAATTTGTTGTCATCCTTTGTTGTCATTTTGTTTGCTTTTTGCTATCCCCATTCATCCTCCAGTTCAGGTTTTGTCCATCATTGTTGACTGTAATGGTACATATGGCTGATCTGGCAGACAGCAGTGATCTCATTTGTAACGCATTATTGTAAAACCCATTTAGCAGATTAGTTTGAGATTACGTTAGCTGAATGAAGACATTGCTGTGTCCTTTATGAAGAAAGCCATACATTTAAGACATGTTAGAATCAATTCTGCTCTGAATAAGACAGGATTAGCTCACTGCATCTTTCTGTGAAGGAGTTTCTGGTGGAGTGTGGCATTTTTAAAAGTGTACCTTCACTCCTAATGCAGCACTACCTCTAAGCAACTAAGCAATTTTTCATTTATCTCAACATTTTAAAGGTATTTTCTTTTTATCCCTCTACTTATTATTATTATTATTATTATTAAGATCTGGCCAGATGCAGTGGCTCACGCCTGTAGTCCCAGCACTTTGGGAATCTGGTGCGGGTGGATCCCTTGAGGCCAGGAGTTTGAGACCAGCCTGGCCAACATGGCGAAACCCCGCCTCTACTGAAAATGCAAAAATTAGCCAGGTGTGGTGGCGCACGACTGTAGTCCTAGCTCCTTGGGAGGCTGAGGCAGGAGAATCACTTGAACCTGGGAGGCGGAGGTTGCAGTGAGCTGAGATTGCGCCACTGCACTCTAGCCTGGGCAACAGAGCAAGCCTATGTCCCCCAACACCCTCCCCTCAAAAAAAGACCCGCAGGGACAATATGGGAAACCGCATCTCTACCAACAAAAATACAAAAATTAGCTGAGCATGGTAGGTACCATGCACCTGTAGTCCCAGCTACTCAGGAGGCTGAGGTGGGAAGAAGGCATGAGCCCAGGAGGTTGCAGTGAGCTGAGATTGGATTGCACCACTGCACTCCAGCCCGGGTGACAGAGTGAGACCCTGTCTCCAAAAAAGAAGGTCGTTCTTCTATTTTAATATGACTTAAGGCATGACTAGCAAATTCTTCCTGAGGTACCAGTGTAGGTGGCCACTTTACCTTTCAGCCTGACACCTGCTGGGTAGTAAAGTTTTCTCTTTGAACGTTTGTGTGAGTCAGAGCAGATTGCAAAACTCTGATTCTGTGCTGAGAATGGGTTTGGTCCTGGAGCAACTATTAACACAGTATTTCTTCAGCTATGCTGTTTCTTGGAAGGTGGCTCATCTGACATTCATCCATGGCTTTTAAAAGATAACATACAAATAATTGATATCTTCCAGGTTTTTGAGCATTTTGCTATTAAGTGATTGTCTTCATAGGTTGATTGCCAATTTCAGCTGTGAAACTGTCTTTGCGAGTATATGTATAGGTGAAATTTTTCAATGACTCCCTCCCCTTTTCAGGAATTAAGCAACTATAAATTAGGAAGTACAGTAATATTGGCTATTAGGGTGAATATGGGTATAGATACTTTTTTTTCTTTTTTACATTTTAGAATGGCTAGTGTATTTTTTATTTACAGTTGATTTCATTTGTCAGAATATTACAGCTGTGAGTGATCCATTTTTGTCCCAATTATAAAGTAATATGCTGTGATTTTATAGTATACCTTAAAGAAATCACATAATTTATTAACTAAAGCAATTACTAAAAGAAATGTCCAATTCTGACCTATAAACGTTTTACATATGGTTTCTTTAATTTTCATACATTCATCTTGAATCTGTATTCTTTTTTTGAGACAAGGTCTTACTCTGTCACCCAGGCTGGAGTGCAGTGGCACAATCATGGATCACTGCAGCCTCCATCTCCTGGGCTCAAGCAGTCCTTACACCTCAGCCCCTTGAGTAGCTGAGACTACAGGTGTGTACCACCACACCCAGCTAATTTTTGTATTGTTAGTAGAGACGGGGTTTCATCATGTTGACCAGGCTGGTCTTGAACTCCTGACCTTAAGTGATCTGTCCACGGCGACCTCCCAAAATGCTGGGATTGCAGGCATGAGCCACTGCACCTGGCCAAATCTATACTCTTAAAAAAGGAAAGTGCGTTATAACAGTTTGGTAATACATTTACAAAAAATAGTTATTCCAGTGATTAGGGGGTGGTCTAGGAAACTAATTAATATTTTAATACCAAACACAGTGGGAAAATATGCAATCCTTAGGTATGAATCAGGAACCTACTCTTTAAAAAATGTCATACGTACTTAAGAGAAAAAGATGAAGGTTGATTGACTGAGTTCATATATATATGAGACTATGTGGGCAAACTGAAACCTTCTTAACAATGTAGGACCAATACCATTTTCTACAAAGATTTTAACATAGCTAATTAACTCAACATTAGCTTTTGGCTGAAAATATCTACACTGTTTTAAAACTTGCAAAATCAACCAATCTAAATCTTTCCTCACCATTACTAAAGGAGCATATGTACACTATTTCTTAAAGACTAAACTGTACCTTTTGGTACAGATAGAGAGTAGATTGTTCTCGGTGTCACAGCATGGTGTTTCTCAATTATGGTGCAGAGTTGTATTTCTATCTTTTGGGATGTAGGAATGTGAGCCAGCACAATGTCTTAAAAATCAGTAAGTCAACATGGCAACATTGTATCATTTGAAAGATTTATGAACAGAAACACTAAATGGTTCAAATGGTTTACCTTCGGAATACCTCATTATAAGTAAAATGATGTATTAAAATTTGAACTTATACTTTTCTGGAAGTTAGGATTTGTACATCTTATACTTGGAGATGCCTCAGTGTTGCAGAACTTCCAGGATGAAGTGAATGCCCTGGCTTTAAATGCTGTCTGCTGACACTCAGATTAATCCATCCCGCCTTATGCTGTCCCTTGAATTTTTGCCGTTATGATATCTTCACCCCCAAGTCCTCCAAACCTTTTCCTTCCCTGGCCCTGTATATCTTGCTGGACGGTAACTCCTTTCTTCCAGTTGCTTGGCTAAAACCCTGGAATCATCAGTGACTCTCTTTCCCTAACGTCCATGACCTCCCCATCAGCAAATTTTATTGGTGCTGCTGTGAAAATATGTCCAGAAACTAAGCACTTCTCTCACTGTCCTCCATTACCAGCTGGTTCATCACCATAGCCTCCTGACCGTTCTCCCTGGTTTCACCTTTTCACCTGCAGTTCTTCACATGCATCCAGGGTCATTAAAATGTCACCAGTGCTGCTCCTCTGTTCCAAATCCTTCAGTGGCTTTTCATGTCATCTCAGTAAAATCCAAAATCCATGTGGTCTGCCCCCTGATGCTGCTCTTCTTCATTTCCTGCTGCCTTCTCTTTTTCTCTCCCATTCTAGCCCTATCACTGGAATAGGCAAGAATGGCCCTTGCCATTCCTCAAAGACACTCAGCCTGCCTGTGTCTCAGGGCCTTGGCACTTGCCTGCTCCTCTGCCTTGCTGACTCATGCCAATGTGGCTGGCTCCCTCTAGCTCAGATCTCTGCTCACATGTCGACTTAGGAGAGAGGCCATCACCCTCCCCGTCAGTCCTGGTCTCCTTACTCTGCTTTGCTTTCCCCCTTAGCACTGTGCAGTCTGATGTTGTTATATGCTAATTCGTTACCTGAGTATAAGCAGTAGAAGCTCTATGGCAGTTGAAATGACCTAATGTGCTCTGTTTACTGTTTATAGCCTGGGTGTCCCAAATAAGCCCTGACTGCATGGTAGATGCTCAGTACATTTTTGTCTGATGAATGAGTGTGAAGTTTTAGTTGTTGACTTCTCCTGAGATGTATCAGTTTTTAATATTTTTTCATTTATTCATTCATTCTGTAAAGCCCATCATTATGTGTAATTCTGAGGCATTATTGATATATTGACAAAAATAGTGCAAAGTCTTTTATTTTTAATGTTTTGTATTTATTAGTTTTAAATGCATAGCATGTATTTTATACCTTGTGAAATGTGGTCAGATTCTGGATTTCAGTTCTGGAGAATTTTCTATTTTTCTTTTTTGCAACTGCAGTGATCAAAAATTTAATTTTAAGGATAGATTTGCTTTATAAAGTTAATTTACAGTCAGTTTTTGATTACTGTATAATAATATATGTAATTTTTAAAGTAGTGGTGGTGGTGTTTTACCTTTTTTCTGTTTTAACATTTTAAGAATACTTTCCTTTCCATATTTAGAGACCCCTTTCAAACATAGTGTTACTTTAATCAACAGATGAGATATGCCCACATATACTTTAATTCATATGTAGACAAGTATTGGAAATCAGATTTGTATTAATAAAAAAATCAATGCTATCAACCAAGCCATTAATAGAAATAATTTTTTCTCTTTTATGTCAACTTTGGGACCCTTTTCTCCTCTCTGTTTCTTTCTTTCTTTTTTTTTTTTGAAATAAGGTCTCCCTCTTTTTCCCAGGCTGGAGCACAGTGGCGCAATCACAGTTCACACAGCTTCGAACTCCCAGGCTCAAGCCATCCTTCTGCCTCAGCCTCTGGAGTAGCTGGGATTACAGGTGCACACCACCACACCTGGCTGATTGTTTTGGTATTTAGTAGAGACGAGGTCTCGCTATGTTGCCCAGGCTGGTCTTGAACTCCTGAGCTCAAGCAGTCCTTCTGCCTCAGCCTCCCAAAGCCTCAGCCTCCCAAAGTGCTAGAATTACAGGCGTGAACCACTGGGCCTGACCCTCTTTTTCGATATGAAATTGTCACAGTACGCCAGATTGATGTTATTCTTCAGAAAGAAATACTCAATATACTTTAATTATTTCTGAATGCTTAGTTGTGTGACTGTCTATAAAATATTTCTTTTTTGAAACATCTGGTGACCAGTGCATTACAGACAAAGATTGCTTATGGATATAGAGTGCATGCATTCCAGGCAATATGGTCTTTTATAGAGAAAAATAACAGAGCAGGGAAAGGAATTGATACCAAGTTTGAGTATCAAACTGGGATATTTTGGATGCCAGAAGAGAATAATGTTAGTGTTTTCTTAAAGAGCTCAGCACCCATCTGCAGAAACTTGTGTGGACTGTTTTTCAATAATGGGTTTGTTCCGTGTGTTTGTTTTTGATCAGATGTGGATTTATAAGTCATAGATGCCACATTCAGCAATTGCTTTTTATCACATTTAGGAGAGTATTTGATGAGAATACCTTAAACCTTTCAATTTAATTAAAGTGCAGTGTAAATGATCTGTTGTACTTTAAACCTTGCAAACATGGCCTTTGTCAGTTTTTAAACTATGATGAATGTTTCCAATAAGCCTGGCTGTGAAAATAAAGAATAGTTGTTTATGGAAAGATTATTAACTAGATGATTGTGGATTATCATTCTTTAGTCCTAAGAAAAACCCACTCCAATGCAGATCTTTCTTCCTCTAGCATCTAAAGTATTCAGCACTTAGTCCTACAGATGTATTAATTGTTTAATAAGGATAAACCACAACTCTTGTTGTTTGTTTTTGTTTTGCTAAAGGAAAAACTGCTATTGAGATCATTTCCCTCAAGAGTTTTCTCTGGGAAGTTCTAATTAAAAATGAATAAAATAATCTGATTCAAAATACTAGTCCTGACCCAAACTACTGACTGCAGAAGACACCTGATCCCTGTTTTGAAGAAGCTAACATTCATTTCATTGGGTATATGTCATTACCACAAACAAAAGAAAGCTCATTTTGTATATATTGACAAGTTAGAATTTTTTGTTATTAACAGGTTTGGCAAACATCGAAAAGATGACAAGATTGAGAAAACGGGTAAAATAAAAATACAGGAATCCTTTACATCAGAAGAGGAGAGGATACGAATGAAGCAGGAGCAGGAGAGGTAGACTTCAGTTACTTGATTAAACCTCCTTAGAAAGAGGTTCTTTTTTTTTTTCTTTCTACTTTCTTCTTTTTTAATGTAAAGATTTTACATTTAATTACTCTTCATATTTCCTGTATCAACCCAAATATTGATGGTTGTGGGTGAATATATTGTAAAGAGAGATTTAAAAAAAAAAACCTTATATGTATTTGTGACATCAAAGTGGATTTTAATTGCTTTAGTTAAGATCTTTTGCATAGGAAATAGAACAGCATATTAGATGAATAAATAAACATTAATACTGAATTTATGATTTTTTAAAATAACACAAAAAGTACTTAAAATCCTGCCTGATATATGGATATTTAGTATATTATAATAATTTTAAAGAAATACTCTTCTGAAAATAAAACTCCGAAGTTTTATATCACATTTTAAATATAATAAGAATTCAGGAGGCTGTTATTCATTATGTTGTTTTTCTTTCAAACCTGACACTTATTTCTTGATTCTCCTTCTATTTTACCATCTTCACATTTTGTGACATTTTCCACTTAAGTTTTCCATGTCTTCCGGATAGATTGTTACCTATTGTTGAATCATTTCCATGTTGAGAACTTAAAGACCAATGAAAGGAATGAAAAGAGTTACTCTAAGCAGGCACTCGAAAACCGTTTTTCTAAGTGATTAGAATTTTTCTCATTATAATTCCAGGGGGTGAGAAAGCCATCTCACACTTTTGTTATTAGAGTTTACAGGTTCACAGTGAGCTTCTCTCTGTCATCACATTTCATTTTCTGAGCAGCCACAGCTAAGAGGTACTATGCCTGTTTTACTTTGAATAATCTGGGATTTCAGTGAGTTTCTGGTACCTTGATGAAGGTTATAATGCTAAGTACTGTCCATAGCTAGGACTGTAGCCCAGCATCTTTAAGATTAAGCCCAGTATTCCTACCATAATTCTAAAGCTAGGCTGCTTTTACTCTAATACTTAATGAATGAAATAACTAAAAATAGTATCCTACAACAGTTTTATTTAAAAGAGATTAGTGTTTGGGTATTTTTTCATTCATCCTTCTAATACCTCTGAGGTTTTTCTTGAATAGAATGGTTACTCTGAGTCTCTGTAGCTTTTCAGGGTAGAAAATGTATGTGGGAAAAAATATGGATTTTAAATTTATGAAGCAAGACGGCTGGTTCCTCCTCAATTTTTATTTTTAAAAAATCATTTCACCTTGCTTTGTAGGACTCTTTCTAATCCTCATCAATTTTGGGATTCCCAAACTTATTAGTAAATTCACTATTTTTGGGTTTGGGTGCATAGTGTTCCTTAGTGTGTGTGCCATAGCATTTAGTGACTCAGAAGTATAAACTTCTATCCTAGAAGAGTTTCTTCTCCCTAAAGGAGGAGACTATACCAGGTAAATGTGTGAACTCAGATTCATCCACAGGCAAATATGTAATTTACTTAGAGAGTAATCTGAGCGACAGAAACATTATACCTCCCCTATATCTTGATACCTGCCACAGGGGATAGATAGCTTCATTAATCCTGTACTATTTTTCATCTTCTAAACATTTCTTCCTTGCAGTTTAAGGTGACTGCTATGTTTCCATGCAGAATTCTATCAACATTTTCCAAAATACTTTTATGATGCTTAGTCAAATATTTCCAGCCAAACAATGATTTTTACATAATGGTTTCACTTGTATTATTAATTTGCCTAAGGCACAGTTCACTTCTCAGTTTTGCTTTTAATTTCCATCTCTGTACCTCTAATGATGCAATACTTCTGGGAACTAGGTTGATCATAATGAATTTACAATGTACAGGAGGCCTAAAATAAAAATCTTTCAGGGTCAAGGAATAAGTGAATGGTCCATTAAAAAGTCAATTAGGCTCATAATTTAAGAAAATTATTATACTTTGACTTTGTATTTCAATAACAACTTTTTGCAAGTATGTTTTATTTAAACTTATGGATTTTGTAATAGAGCAAGTGAATGCAAGAAACGGACTGAACTAGGAGGTGGAGTAGGTTTGGCACTTGTATTTTAATAGGGCAAGCATTCTTCCATATGTCGTTCTTTCTGTTCTGTCTGTGGTATTGGCAGTGTTCTTTTTGAGAATGGAAACTGCAGCTTCCTTGAAAAAATTTTGACTGGAGTAATCAATAAAAATAAATAAACCACTACTTATATTCTCCTTACAACCTTTCCCTCACTGCTGACTAGTAGTGAAATACCTCTCGGGATATTATTTACCACTGTAGCTATTTGAATTCCAAAAATTATTTTGGCTAATTCCATATAAAAATAGAAAACCCAACATTCCCCCATGAGTTATGATTGTCCACAAACCAGAACTTTTTTTGCCTGTGTACATCTGGGAATCTTGAATATTGCTCAAGATATAAATATTGAAAAACTAAAAGGGCTATGAATATAATTTTAAATGTTTTTTCTTCAATGTTAAGATCTATTTAGATGGTGACAATATACTAGATTGTTCTGAGCCGGGTCCAAGATTAAGTTTGACTTCATTCTTGCTAACTTCCTTCCCTTTCTGTCACTTGCTACCAACACTGTGAGGTTGGGTCTTGAGTAAATGCCATCCATATGGGAGAAATGGACTAGGAAGATCACTGTATGGATCTGTGCTCTGCTCTACTAGCCCTGCCCTGCCTCAGACTAGAGCCTCCATGAGTATGGTCTTCTTGAGAAGCGGGGAGTCTGGGCGTGATACCAAGGGGGAAGTTAACAGGTTTTCCGACATGCTATTTTTGACTTCTCATTCTGGAGCACTGAACCTAGGTACCCTATTTTTTCAGAGATGCTGTTGGCTACATTGGAGACAGACTGAGAAACTAAGCAAAAATGTGAATTCAGTGCTTCGTGCCTCTGACTTGTGTTTCAGGCATGCCTAGGGACAGCGCCTCTACTGGCTCATTTCCACCACATGAAAGGTTTAGGCTCCAAACTCAAAACAGAACATGTTCCAATTAAGTGATCTACGTAACTTCAGGTCTACTTAGCCTCCCATACAAAGCCCCGTGATAGATTTCTCTGTCGACCAAGCATCACACGTTGGCTTTCTGTTGTTTTTGCTCCAGTGATACCTCCATGTATTTTTAAATGGTAGTATATACACTATGTGGTACAGGATTGCCCAGTGTTCAGCAGCAGAGAATGTGTTCTGTTTACAAGTATGTTTGAGAAACACTTGTTTAAACCAGTATATGCGTATCTTTCTACTCTGTTATTTCTCAAAATTCTACCAAGTTCATGTGCATTATGAGTCACCAAGATAGGAACAGAGAGTCACCATTCTCCAAACTTATTTATTCTCAAAACATCCTCTCAACCCCTCACTTTTTGCTTTTCCTGGAATACTGACATCCCACAACATTCTGAGTCACTGGGGAAATACCAAGGGCAAGTAAAGACCGTTGACTCCTGGTTCAGCGGTGTTCAGCTTACTCCTCTAACTGGCTGTGGAAACCGGAGTTGATTGTTTTCCAGAACTGCGAGCAAGTTTAAAGCAGTGTTGTAACCTGTCTCTACTTTCTGGCTTCTGTTTTGTGGACTTATGAAAGTGCGTGCTTACCACTGCTCCTCCTTTTTCAGTTTTCTCTTTCCCACCTTTCTCACTTGTTTAAAAAATGTACCTTTTTAAGCTCTAGTTCTAAGTTTATTCTAATACTAAAAACTACAGAAAAATTTGGGAGAAACCCATAAAATTACAATCAGAAAACAAAAATTTATCTGTATTAACACACTGTTAACATACTGGTCTGTGCTAATCATTTTTTTTCCTATAAAGTACACATTTTCCACACCTATGTACTTTTAAGAAGTTGACATCTATTTTCATTTTTATTTATTTTGCATTTTTATGCATTCTTAGAAAATCATATTAAATGTTTTCTGGATCACGGTCAGGTCTGTGTGAACAGACAAATGGGAAAGAGGGACAGAAAGAAGGAAAGATGTTCTGAAACATGAAATATTAGCTATGATATCTGGCCAAATTTCCCAACTCTCAAATAATATTCTCCTCATGTTATTCATTCTATTAAATGAGGTTTATAATGTTAGCTGGCTTGTATTTTGTAGTTATTCAGCCATTGAAAGCTATTACAATATTATTATCTATATCTGCATAGTAAGTTGTGCTTGGGAACATTTCCAGGGATACTGAATGCTTCTAGTGGAAATATGTAAAAGTTAATTAATTTCTTATTAAATCCTCCCAGTATAGAAGGAATATTTATAAATCTCCTTAGGAAACAGATGATCTGAAACTTTCCATTATTCAATGTTCTAATCATCTTTCAAAGCCTTGTGTTTTCAATACCAGACCGTTGAACTATCTGTGTCCTTCAGTGGGATACTCCCCATTCTTGGTGTGTCATTTTGCAAGTTTATGTGGATTTTCTGCATGCCGTTTCCTCTCTTTCTAATTTTACCAGCTGTTCTCAGTAATACCTGCTTTGGGTAATTACTTGAACTTTTTGTCATCTCAGTTGGTAGGATCCTTTTCAGCAAGTGATACATGTTTGTTTTCCTAACACTAATCTTTGCATTTAGATCACTTATTGTCATGCAAAGATTGTCTTTTAAAAATTAACCTTTTAAGAGAAACATTTTTTCTATCCTGTAGCAGCATTTTTCATGTTTCTTTGACCTCGTGAATCCTTTAGAAAAGTCAATTCTAATCAATAGGCTAAGTTTCAAGTTTTTTTAAAAAAATTTTCATTGCACAGGTAAATGAGAATTTTTAAGAATCTGTTAACCTGCTTTGTAGAACTTAACTATTTCGATAAATACTTGATTGGGTGTGTTGGCTCACACCTGTAATCCTAACACTTTGTAATCCTAACACTTTAGCAAGAGCATCACTTCAGCCCAGGAGTTCGAGGCTGCAGTGAGCTGCTGTGGTTGTGCCACTGCCCTCCAGCTTTTGTGACAGAGTGAGAGCTTGTCTCTAAAAAAAAAAAAAAAAAAAAAAGGAAAAAATATAGATGAATACTTGAGGAAAATTAAGCGTTAGGCATACTATATATCTGAAACCGATTTTATTGACAGATACTGCAAATGAAGTAGGAAAATGCAGTTTGCTTTCTGATGAGAGCTGTCCTAGATATATTTGGCTTAAGAGCATCTCTCTGCATTGGCAATAATTGTAGGTGCTTTAATATCCATGAAAGCCTGAACATTACTTGAGTGAGTATCTGTTGAGATGTGTTTGTGTCTGTTGGTTAGGGAAATATTATTCTAGTGTTTTATTAGTCAGTATAAGACAACTGGTTTTGTTGTTTCACAATATATTAAGTGTATCAGACAGTATATTAGTCTGTTCTCATGCTGCTATAAGGACATACTCGAGACTGGGTAATTTATAAAGTAAAGAGGTCTAATTGACTCAGTTCCACAGGGCTAAGGAGGCCTCAGGAAACTTACAATCATGGCAGAATGGGAAGCAAACACGTCCTTCTTCACGTGGCGGGAGAAAAGAGAAGAATGAGAGCCCAGCAAAGGGGGATGCCCCTTATAAAACCATCAGATTTTGTGAGATCTAAGTCACTATCACAAGAACAGGAGGGGGAAACCGCCCCCATGATTCAATTATCTCCACCTGGTTCCTCCCATGACACGTGGGGATTATGGGAACTACAATTCACAATGAGATTTGGGTGGGAACACAGCCAAACCATATCAGATAGTATAAGTCTTTTTAAAATTACTATTTTAAAATGTTTTTTCCCTCTCAGGGATCCCTTACCTTTGTTAAGAGAAAAAGATTTAAGCATGTTAACATTAAAAAATTGATGTAAGGCTGCTCAGAAGGCTGAGGTGGTAGGATCACTTGAGGCCAGGAGTTCGATACCAGCCTGGGCAACATAGCAAGACTCTGTCCCTAAAAATATTTTTTTTAATTAGCAGGGCATGGTGGTATGCACCTGTAGTCCCAGACACTCAGGAGGCTGGTGTGGGAGGATGTCTTGAGCCCAGGAGTTCAAGGCTGAAGTGAGCTATGATTATACTACTGCACTCCAGCCTGGGCAACAGAGTAAGACCCCTGTCTCTGGGCAGGGGGAAAAGACAATATAATCAATTGTTAAAATAGATGATTACAGAGCTTTGGGAAGGGGAACGACCAGTGGGGCTGGAGTTAGTAGTGACTGCTTCATAGAGATGATAGTTTGGGAGCTAGATCTTATTCCCAAGAATATGTATAATTTAGCAAACTAGAAAAATTCTACCCTCACTTTCAGTCTCTCTCCCCCTAAGCACAAAGGCTTATGGAAAGTGGGCAGTCTTTTAACTGCCTGGATTCTTTACAAGTTGTGATTGTATTAGTGGTTAGCAGTCTCCCTGTTAATGCTTTCTTTTATCTCTTTTTCAACTTTTAACCGTTTTGTATTTTAAAACCAGTTTCATCTCATTTTAGCATTGAGGGATGCAAGTTAACTTTCCCTCCCAGCTATTCTAAGGGACCACTATATATTTCAGCAACTTGCATTCTTCCCTGGAATTGGAAATGTACCTTTAAAACAGTTGTTTTCACTCAAGAAAATTTTTTTCAGGGCTCATTTAGAATATGGAAGTCCTTTCTTCTCAATCAACTTTTACCCTAATATGACAAAGATATTAAAATCCCACTTAAAATTGGAACTGTTACCAGGGTAAGAAATTTAGTGGAATAGTATCTCTCTTTTGGGAATTCAGCATAGGCACCAAACTGGCAGCTTACCTACTGTTAGGGGGCAGTTGTTAGATTCACCTGGCAGGGGGAGGATCACCCAAAGGAAGGATGAGTTGAGCTGCAGTATTTTTGAAGTCTGCCATCTGCTGAAGTACTCTGAGGGCCCAATAAAGCCTTCCATGGTGGACTAAAACTGCTTTCTCAACAGACGGTTCTTTCCAGTTGTTTTGTAGCTTAAATTTCATTTCGCCATGAATTTGGGTTTTATTTGATCAATTTCTGTAATACTGACTTTTTGAGAGAAGAAATACTGTTGGAAAAAGATCCACGAACTGTTGTTCCCAGAATGAGGCTTCTGGATGGCAGTGCAGTAAGTTGGGGGTAAAATGTTTCCCAAAAGAGTTGATTGCAAGATCCTGAACATTGTTTTGAAGATAGTCAACAACTATCTGATATGTAGCAATCTGAAATTTATTAAAAACATTTTTTCTGTTAAACTAATATTAGTATATTCTATCTTCTGCAGACATAACTTTTTAAATTAAAAATCGTTAAAAGACAGTTTCTATTTCTTGTAGTCTTTAAAAAAATACAACATGTAAAAAGAGATGTGTTGCAGCATCATAGCTTTGGAAATGGAGGTATTTGGTATGTAACTGAGAGGTTTAAGGACACCACTGGTTTTGCATCCCAAGGAGTTTGGAAATGAAAGTATTTAGTATGTAACTGAGAGGTTTAAGGACACCACTGGTTTTCCATCCTAAGGAGTTTGGTCACTTCGGTGGTTATTCCCGTACCTGGTACCTTTTCTGGATATATAAAGACTAGACTTTATGATCATAAAAAGTTCCTTTCATCTTATTCTACTGCAATTAGTGCTAAAAGCCATTTATTGTAAAAGCAAAAATACTAATGAATAGAAATGTTACAAAAACAGAAGTCTTGTGTGTTTTATCTTCATCGAGCGTCATCCATTTTAATTAGAGAAAAGGTGGTGAACACTGTGACAAGAGCCTGGAATTAAAATCATTAATTGATGTCAAGCTGAAGAGAGACTGTTAGCATGAATTTAGTGACAGCAGGAAAGAAATTAACCTTATTACTTTATTTAGTATATTACATTATTTTGTGTATTATTTTCTATGCAGGTTCAAGGCAATTTCATTATCATAATGGAACACTTTATTTTTTTTTTTACAAAAAGGAAAGATGTATTTATGCTTGAACATAACAAGTTGAAATGATAAGTTCTTTATTAAGTTAAAAATGACTTGATAAAAGGTTTTAATTGTTTGAATTTGTTTTTTCAAGTTTCAAGGATAGGAAACAGTATAAATGTTGTCCATCAATGTCGGGTGGTACAACTGCCTGTGATAATCTGAACTTCAGAATAGTTCTTTTTAGAACCAGGAAGGACTTACTGAAATGTTTAAAGCAATAGACATTTATGTCTTTTGCTGGGTTTTGGACTAATCAGTTACTTCTGTCATTGTTGAGGTTTGGCCCGAGATAAATGGGATAGAGAATGCTGAACAACAATCTGACTGTTCAGAAAAATGAGTGACTCTTACATCTTGGAGATAATTTGTGACCTCAGGGTCACAATAAAAGAGTAAAGGGGGTATGCTTTTATAGCCCTGGCCATCTGGATCCATTAAGGGCTCAACTGCAAGATACTCACCATCTTTTCAAAGTTTCCTTAAGAAGTCATGTTATTTTTATGAGGACACCAAACATGTTTTCTTCCTGAGCCAAATATTTTCTTACTGAAATATGTATCTCCACAGAGTGGAAATACATAACATGCAAATATAACCTTTTGGTCGTGTTAGAAAGTTCATATTCTCACTTTGTAACAAGACATTCAAATATCAAAGAATATAATAAATTCATTTGTGTCTTTTGTTAATTTTGCTTGTGAATTGCCACTAAAATTTATGAAAATCACAGTGCATGCTTAGTTTCAAAAGTCTACTCTAAAGTGCTATTTGTACAGCAAGCCTCGTTAGCATTAATTTCTAGAATGAACTTGAGAATGCACATTAGTTCAGGCTACTGACCAGATCCGTTAGCCTTTTGCGGCAGTAGTTCTACCTGGTGGACCACACGTATGCTATAGTTTTATTCTAAGGTTTTCACCACCAGTGTAAGCTGCCACATTGGAAAGCAGTGATGCAGGTTTTAGAACTTTGGGGACAACATTATTGGTGATGACAAGATAAGCAATACAAATACAATTCCTTCATTATTGGAGCCTTGAAAAAAGTCAGTATTTCTGGAAGGTACTACAGATGGGGCTTTAACGTTTATTAGGCTCAGTGACTGGTGGCGATTAGTCATAATGTACAAATTTGGGTAAAAGAAGGCAGCTGAGATCTGGGCTTTATAAATAGTACTTCATGCTGCTGAGCACTTCTTTTGAGAGATTGACTTGTTAGAAATTGACTGCTAATTAATATTATTTTCTGCGTCATTTGGAACAAAAGAATATTCAAATCCAGAACCCATCAGTAATATAATGAAACTGATGTGCAAGAAGTTTGGGGAGATTATTTAGGTTTATGCCTCCCTTGAAAAGAGTGTGTTCCTATTCTCTTTCTGTTAGCTTTCTTTCTTAAGAGGGATGCATTTTCTGATGTAAGTAAGCTGGATTTTTCACTTTTAGTGAATTAAGCTAGATGTATCATAGAGTTTAGTCATTAATAAATCAGTCTGAGTCCTTCTCTTTGATTTTTGGAGGTTCTCCAAATTCAGAAATTTCAGCTTTATATTTATATAATTATACTTAGGTCTGTTGTGTTCCTTCAAACTTCTTCAGTTTGCCAAACTTCAAGACTTATGTGAATGCCTAGTTACCCTGGATATTACCTATGATTAAGTGACTGATGAATGGTGACCAAATATCATAGTATAGTGGGTTGTCAGATAAGTGATCATAATTGAGTTTCAAATTAATATCCCATTGAATGTAAGAAAGAACTCATTTTCCTCTTTCTGCTAGTGATTTCTGGTCAAATCAAGAGTCAAAAAGACATTATGGTGCAAAGAATAAAATTATCTCCTAACTCCTGTCAACCTTCCATTATGGATAGCTAGTATTTAGTGGTAACCAGCTTTTATAATAGCATCCTTAACTGTCATAATTGCTCTTAAATGGATAAATGGCGTAAAAATTTAAAAACTGTCTAGTAGAATTTTAGCTAAATTTGACATTAGAATTTGAGTTGCTGTTTCTCTTGTGGGTATTCTGTCTGTGGAACCTACAGTCTTAGAGTTACTAGGATCTAGAACAGTCCTGATAAAAATTTCTAACTTCCTAATATTCACTTTTGAGTTAAGAAAGTCATTGGTTGTCACCTCAGGAAATAAGGTTCTCCTAGAGAGTTTTGGGGAACATGAGAAGCAGTTTTCGTTGCCCCATTGGGGACACTGCTGGATTACATGTGGCTGTGACCAGTTCTGGTAAAAGTCCTGCTTGATGACAAATAGCCCCTTCTCAAATGTCATTGGGTCCTGTTGAGAAACACTGAGCTAGGTGAATTTATGTACTTTTTATAGCTGGGAGAGAAGAAAAGTCAGACAGATTTGATCCCCTGTATTCAAAATTGGAAACCAAGAGTGGGGTGATGGTGATACACTAGATACAAGAAAGAAACAAGGAAAATGCAAAGTTTGCTTGTAATGCTATGTGACAATTTTCTGTCTTTAAAAAAACTTTTAAGTTTGTAATAATTTTAGATTCATAGGAAGTTATGAATATAGTACAAAGAGGTCCTATGTACCCTTCATCCAGTTTCCCCCAGTGGTTAAGTTAGATAACTGTAGTACAGCATCAAAACCAGGAAATTCGCATTGGTATAGGGTGTGTGTAGTTCTGTGTCATCACCTGTGCACATTAGTGTAGCCACTCCTACAGTAAAGAAACAGAACTATTTCATCACAGAGGTCTTCCTCTGTAGCTAACCCCTAGCCATCACTAACCTGTTCACCAACTCCATACTTTTGTCATTTTGAGAATGCTATATAAGTGAAATCATATATGACCTGTGAGATTGACTGGGGTTTTTTTCACATTGCATGATGCCCTTAAGACAGATTCAAGTTGCTGTATGTATCAGTAGTTTGTTCATTTGTACAGCTGAGTAATGTTCTGTGATATGGACACACCCCAGTTTTTTTGTTTTTTTTGTTTTTAACTATTCACCTATTGTGAGCTATTTTGGGTGTTCCCAATATTTAAATATTACAAATAAGGTAATATTTGGCAATGAACAATTGCATACAGGTTTTTGCTTGGACATAAGTTTTCACAACTTTGGGATACGTACCGGGAGGCACAATTACTGGACAGTATGATAAGTATATGTTTAATTTTTAAAGATACTACCAGGCTATTTTCCAGGGTGACAGTACCATTTTAAATTTCCAACTGCAATATATGAGAAGCCCGGTTTCCCTACATTCATGGCTGCATTTGGTATTGTCACTGTTTTTTATTTTAACCAGTCAGGTGTGTAGTAATAGCTCATCATGGTCTTATTTGCATTTCCCTATTAACTGGTGGTGGCGAACGTCTTTTCACATGCTTGTCATCCATATGTCCTCTTCAGTGAAACATCTTTTCATGTCTTTTGCCATTTTCTAATTGGATTGTTTTCTCATTGTTGAGGTTTCAGGGGTTTGTTTGTTTTTTTGTTTGTTTGATTGTTTGTTTGTTTGAGTCAGGATCTTGCTCTGTCACATAGGCTGGAGTGCAGTGGCACAGTCATGGTTCACTGCAGTCTTGGCCTCCAGGGCCCAGGCAATCCTCTCACCTCAGCTGGGTGGCTGGGATTACAGCTGTGCACCACCATGCCCAGCTAATTTTTGCATTTTTTGTAGAGACAGGGTTTTACTGTGTTGCCTAGGCTGGTCTAGAACTCCTGGGCTCAAGCAGCACGCCCCCATCAGCCTCCTAAAGTGCTGGGATTACAGGTATGAGCCGAGAAGGCTGACTGTTTTAAAAAATATTTCCTGGATATAAGTCCTTTGTCAGATACGTGCCTTGCAAATATTTTTTTCTAGTCTGTACTTATTTTTTCATCTTCTAATTAGAGCTTTTCACAGAGGAAAAGTTTTTTATTTTGATGATGTTCAATGTATATACTTTTAAAGTTTTATGGATAATGGTTTTGGTATTAGTCCTAAAAACCCTTCTCCACGCACTAGTTCCTAAAGAATCCCTTACATTTTTTCTTAAGTTTTATACTTTTACATTTACATTTAAACCTGTGACCCATTTTGAGTTAATTTTTTAGTAAGGTATGAAATTTATTTTTCCTTTTCTTTTTGCCTATGGTTATCTCATGGCTCCTGCACCATTGGTTGAAAAAACTATTTTATTACATTGAATTGTTTTTGCTGCAGCATTGTGTAGTTTTCAACGTATCTATCTTACACAGGTCTACATAAACGAAAGTTTGGCTTATAGATGTGTATCTGTGTGTTTTGTTTCGTTAGGGATTATAAATAGCATTGCATTTTTAATTTCAGTGACTACGTGTTCATTGCCAGCATATGGAGAATACAATGGATTTTTATATGTTGATCTTATATCCTCTGACTTTGTTGAACTTGCTTTTTAGTTCTGGGAGATTTTTGTAGATTCTTTGGAATTTTCTTTGTAGATCATCATGTCATTTGCAAGTAAGAAGCATTTTATTTCTTCCTTTTCCATCTGTGTACTTTTATTTCCTTTTCTAGGCTTATTGCATTGCCTAGAACTTCCAACACTATGTGGAATTACAGTGGTAGGAGCACACATCCTTACTTTATCATAGGGAAAGCATTCAGTCTTTCTCCATTATGCATGAGGGAACCTGTCGGTTTTTGGTAGATGCTCTTAACTTTAGGAAGTTTCACTTTATTTCTAGTTTTCTGAAGGTTTTCTGACATGATGGGTGTTGAATTTTATCAAATGCTTCTTCTGCATCAATTGATACAATCATGTAACTTTTCTTCTTTGATCTGTTAATATGATGGATTGTAGTAATTGATTTTTGAATATTGAACCAGGCTTGAATTTTTGCAGTAAACACCATTTGGTCACGGTGTATAATTTCTTTTATATATTGCTGAATTTCATTTACTAATATTTCATTAAGGGTTTTTTGCTTTCATATTCATGAGGAATATTGGCCTATATAGCTTTCTTTTCTTTCTTCCTTTTCTTTGCTGCTGTCTTTATCTGATTTTGGTATCTTTTCTGAATTCTTTTGAATATATGTTTATGTATTGTTTTTGCTAGCAGAGGTCTACTTCAAACATGAAAAGAATAACTGCAATAAAAGATTATATTCAGTCTAAAGTGTTGCTTTATAGAAGTAAGATTTTACTGCATTTAAGTGTGTACTTAAATTTGTAAGTATATAAAGGAGATATTTTTTCCATTAAAATTTTATTGAGGGTTTTAAAATTTTTTCCAGGTAACTAAGATTGACTTAGGACATAAATTATATCAATATATTATAAGTTGAAGAGGACATTGTACCAAATAGTTTAATAAAATCATAGTAAACTAAACGTAACTTCAGTAAAGGTGAGCATTTAAGGTTTGTTTCTTAGTTGTAATGTAGGCAAGTTTTACTTCACAATTTGATTGGATACATGCCTTCTAGTCCTTAATTTAAGGATTCTCCATTTCTGTATGCATCCCATGAAATGACAGAGTCGATGTCATTAAGCTGAGATCCTCTTTTGTCACTAATGAAGAGTTATGGTGTGGATTCGTGTTTAAGCTTCATAGTAGGTTGAATGTTTATGGTGTATTAATAATGAGTAAGATAGGTATATATTACATATAAATATTTTCATATATAAAGTGTATGTAACGTTAAAAAAATTATTTCTTGCCTTAAACAAATTCATGAGTAATATCCAAGTAGATGCCAGAAATGATCTGTTCCTTGCGAGTTTTTAAAGCTAGTTAATAAGTGAAAGTTTAAACTTAAGATTTAAATTATGGCCAGGCACGGTGGCTCACACTTGTAATCCCAGCACTTTGGGAGGCTGAGGCAGGAGGATCACTGGAGCTCAGGAGTCTGAGACCAGTCTGGCCAACATGGTGAAACCCCATCTCTACTGAAAATACAAAAATTAGCCAGGCGTGGTGGTGCACACGTGTAATCCCTGCTACTTGGCAGGCTAGGGCACAAGAATCACTTGAACCTGGGAGGCGGAGGTTGCAGTGAGCCAAGATCTCATGCCACTGCCCTCCAGCCTGGGGGACAGAGTGAGACTCTGTCTCAAAAAAAAAAAAAAAAAAGATTTAAATTATGACTGCAATCTTGTAGACATGAACAAAGGGCATCTCAAATTATTCTTTTTGAGCATCCATAGCATTACTTAACAATCTAGAATGTGTATGACCTGTCATTTATACCACTGATCTTCTATAGCTGCAAGAAATCAAATATATTTTACAACATATTTTGATGAATGTTTCTATATGC